>NC_000002.12:150519921-150822951 GCF_000001405.40 Homo sapiens
AATCTCTGTGTGTTTGTGTGTGTGTATGTTGAAATAAGTGCAGAATTGAGATAATGATGTGGACAACTTGGGTTTACAAAACATAAAAAACATGGAAAGGTAAGACACTTTCTTTCTTGAATTTGAGGCAAAAATCTCTGTCCTTCCTCTCCACTTGGCAGGCTGAGAAAAAATGTTGGTCTGAACAACTCAGAGAATCCTTAGTTTCATCTGCACCTCAGTCTTGTCAAAATGACATGGGCGTGTGAGCTTAGTTGGATTTAACTGGATGTGAACCCGAGTACATATTACAAATGCAAATCAAGTCTTCATTTTTTTAACCATAAAAGGTATGAACATAAATTCCAAAGCTGATTTTACATGAAATGACGTGGGATAACAATATTACTTCCTTTTGTGGACCTGTTTCTCCTCCCACAGTACGTAAGACTTCTTTACCTCTCTTGAAGCTTGTCAGTGCAAGCCCATCAACATTTACCTGTATAAACTTATAATTAAAAAATATACCCTAATTCTTTAGCAGCTAATTCTATTGAGTATTATTCACCCTTTACAAGAAATCCCTTAAAGATCTAAAGAGTGACAGCCTCATTAAATTTTCATTGCCCACCTTGATGCTTTTCCATTTTTGGAAGTATCCTCTCACTTTCTCCTTTACATACAGGAGCACAAAAAGAAATTCAAAGGAAGGTACCTTGGAAGAAGAACTTCATTAAACAATTATCAAATTAGAAAATTACATGCTTAAATATCACACACATACATAATAAGATGAGATATGCATGTGTTTGCATGTTTGTGTGAGGCTATACATATTCTGATATATGTATAAATATGCATAATTTTCTCGTACAACATAATTACAGAAAATTATGTATCTAACCAATTAGTCATCAGAACAATTTTCTTCATATTTTCTTTCTCCTTAGCTAAAATGGCCTTGATAATCCTACCTTCACCTTCTGCAGTTACTCTCTCATCCACTGCCCTCCTCTGACTCTCCCCTACCATGCTTCACATTTTATGCCTTCCTTGCAGTGCCAGCTCCTTCCTCCTGCTCTGATTCTGTTCACTCTTCCACCCTCTTCCCGAGTCTCAGATACTGGGCAATACTCCAACTGTTTGTGGGTGGACAAAACAATTACATAGAAACTCTAACAGAAACACAGAAGATTCCGTCTGAGGTTGTGAATGGTCCTAGACCACGACTGGTTCTTTCCACCTGTTTATCATTCAGTTGCAAAGAGGAGAATATGGCATCACTCTAAGCAGGATTTGGTTGCCAAAGTGTCCTTCCATGCCAGTCCACTGGCTTACCAAAGGTCCAGTGTAGCCAAAACACTTCCCTTTAGAGCACCACCACAGTCCACAAAAAGGGAGAGACTTCCAGACCTTGGAGAGACAGCATTAAGGCTAAGCTCAGCCTTGCAAGTGTGTTCTGGAATGCAAAGCAATACTCGGGGAACTCCAGCTCTGTCCCTACAAGCCTGAGCTCTAAGGAAGGCCATGGGAAATCCCCACCCTCAAGCTTAATGCACTACACTGAAGCTGGCAGGGCCTGCCTCTTCCCCTGCTGCCCCTCTCTCTCTACCCTGGCTCTCTCTCTACCCTGGCAAGACCTGCCATATCTCATATTCTGTCATCAGCTCTCTGAATAGCTACCTTTAGCCTGTCAGAGTAGATGCTGAAGTATTCAAACAGTTCCACCTTGGCTCATGGCATAAAAAGTCAAGGTGGGGTTTGCTCAGAGATTTTCTTTTCCCTCCCCCTCTCCACTTCCCCTGTAAACCCACCGGGGCAAGGTTGAGGCTCCTATGACAGCATTTCTCAACCTTTTTTCTCACCATTGCTCTCAGCCTTTTTAGACGTTTTTCCTAACACAGTAGTACCAAGTTATTTCCCCGTAACAATTTAATAACACAGATGTACTATGTATCTGCTTATGTACGATATGTATATCTCTGTTTTATACATAACACAAGTTAGACGTTTTGACCCCTCCAAGAACCAATATTCACCTCTTGGAAGTGATATGATCCCCATTAAATGCATGGTCTATGGATTTTTTGGTATGGCTAAGGTAAGGCTGACAATGAATTTGGTATAACCAAGGTCCCTAGCCTTTAGGCCGCCTACCTGAGATGTTCTGTGCACACCATCCCACTGCACTCTTACAACTCTAGTGTATTTCACTTTGTATCCTCAACATTGGGAAGCATCAGAGATATCCATAGGGCTGCCTGGGTCCAGAGGTAGGGCTGTAGTGGAGATGAGAGTGGTGCAAAAATAACAGGTGTACAATATTATTGTGGAGTTAACCACCGTACTATCCCGAAAGCATTCTCCTGACCTCAGGCCGATTGTTGCCTGGTTCTTTATCTAAATATTTAGTGATACAGAGACATTGCACATCATATGCAGTTTATGAAACATTCCCGATATAACAAGGATTGATGATGCGGTGGGCTTATCTGGATTCCCAGCACAGGAAAGTTGTGGGAGAGTGGGGAGGAATGAAATGTTGTGGGCAGACCCAGTGAAGAGTGGAGAGACGATAGTCTCAGCATGGTGGTAATAGGCATCACTGGCTTTTCTAGAAACCACAGACCATGTGATATGGTTTGGTTCTGTCCCCACCCACATCTCATCTTGAATTGCAGTTCCCATAATCCCCATATGTCATGGGAGGAAACCAATGGGAGGTAATTTAATCATGAGAGCAGTTACCCCCATGCTGTTCTCCTGATTGTGTGTTCTCACAAGATCTGATGGTTTTTTAAGGGGCTTTTCCCCCTTTTGCTTTGCACTTCCCTTTCCTGCTGCCATGTGAAAAAGGACATTTTTGTTTTGCCTTCCACTATGATTATAAGTTTCCTAAGGCCTCCCCAGCTCTGTGGAACTGTGAGTCAATTAAGCCTCTTTCTTTATAAATTACCCAGTCTCAGGTATTTCTACATAGTAGTGTGAGAACAAACTAATACAGCAAATTATTACCAGTAGAGTGGGGTGCTGCTATAAGGATACCCAAAAATGAAGCAACTGTGGAACCAGGTAACAGGCAGAGGTTGGAACAGGTTAGAGGACTCAGAAGAAGACAGGAAATGTGGGAAAGTTTGGAACTTCCAAGAGACTTGGAAAGCTCATAAGACAGGAAGATGTGGGAAAGTTCGGAACTTCCTAGAGACTTGTTAAATGGCTTTGACCAAAATGTGACAGTGATATGGACAATGAAGTCTAGGTTGAGGTGGTCTCAGATGGAGATGAGGAACTTGTTGGAAATTGGAACAAAGGTGACTCTTGCTGTGCTTTAGCAAACAGACTGGTGGTTTTTTGACCTTGCCCTAAGATCTGTGGAACTTTGAACTTGAGAGAGATGATTTGGGGTACCTGGTGGAAGAAATTTCTAGGCAGCAAAGTGTTCAAGAGGAAGCAGAGCATAAAAGTTTAGAAAATTTGCAGCCTGATGCTGCAATAGAAAAGAAAAAGCTATTTTCTGGGGAGAAATTCAAACCTGCTGCAGAAATTTGCATAAGTAACGAGGAGCCGAATGTTAATCACCAAGACAATGGGGAAAATGTCTCCAGGGTATGTCAGAAAACTTCACAGCAGTCCTTCCCATCACAGGCCCGAAAGGCTAGGAGGGAAAAATGGTTTCCTGGGCCAGATCCAGGGACCCACTACTGTGTGCAGCCTCAGCACTGCATCCCAGCCACTGCAGCCATGGCTAAAAGGGGCCAAGGTACAGCTCAGGACATTGCATCAGAGAGTGGAAGCCCCCAGCATTGGCAGCTTCCATGTGGTGTTGGTCCTGTGGGTGTGCAGAAGACAAGATTTGAGGTTTGAGAACCTCTGCCTAGATTTCAGAGGATGTATAGAAATGCCTGGATGTCCAGGCAGAAGTTTGCTGCAGGGGCAGAGCTCTCATGGAGAACCTCTGCTAGGGCAGTGTGAAAGGGAAATGTGAGAGTGGAGCCCCCACACAGAGTCCCCACTGGGGCACTGCCTGGTGGAGCTGTGAGAAGAGGGCCACCATCCTCCAGGCCCCAGAATGGTAGACCATCTCTTGCATCAGCTTGACCTGGATGTGAGACATGGAATCAAAGGAGATCATTTTGGAACTTTAAGGTTTAATGACTGCCCTATTGGATTTCAGACTTGCATGGGGACTGTAGCCCCTTTGTTTTGGCCAATTTATCCCATGTGGAACAGGTGTATTTACCCAATGCCTGTTCCCCCATTGTATCTAGAAGGTAATTAACTTGTTTTTGATTTTACAGGATCATAGGTCAAAGGGACTTGCCTTGTCTCAGATGAGACTTTGATCTTGAACTTTTGAGTCAATGCTGGAATGAGTTAAGACTTTGGGGGACTGTTGGAAAAGCATGATTGTGTTTTGAAATGTGAGGACATGAGATTTGGGAGGGACCCGGGGCAGAATGATATGGTTTGGCTGTGTCCCCAACCAAATTTCATCTCGAATTGTAGTACCCATAATCCCTACATGTCACATGAGGGAACTGGTGGGAGGTAGTATAACCATGGGGGTTGTTACTCTAATGCTGTTCTCATGATAGTGAGTTCTCATGAGATCTGGTGGTTTTATAAGGGGCTTTTCCCCCTTTTGCTTGGCACTCCTCCTTGCTGCCACCAGGTGAAGAAGGATGTGTTTGTGTCCCCTTCCGTAATCCTCTTTCCTTTATAAATTACCCAGTATTGGGTATTTCTTCATGGCAGTGTGAGAACTAACATACCATGCTTCCCTTTAAATATGTCTCCTCCTTGCACTTGGTCTATACAATGCTTCAAGGGATGGATATGGTCAGAACTGCACTTTACGAAGCTCAACTACTACTTTTTAAATATATATATTTAATGACTTTTAATTGTCTACAAGGTGAAGTGAATTTTTATTAAACTAGCATTTTAGGACGACCATAGAATGATCCTACTTACTTATCTGCTACTGGTCTGTGCCCTGCAGTCTATAGCCTCATTGTAACACGAATTCTAAACTAATTATGACTGAAATACAACTTACATGCCTTTGCTGATGGTACGTTTTCTACATGCAATAATCTTCCCTTCAATTGCCACCTATTCAAATCTTGCCCTTTTTACACATTCACGGTCAGCCTCTAGAAAGCAATTTCTGAATCCAAAGAGATATTAATTCTTCCTCCTTTGAACTCTCATTTCATTTCCTTGTACAAGCACAAAAGAGGAAATCAAATTATAATAAAAGGTAAAATTAGGTGTTTAGCTTCCCCACTAGACTGTAAGTTCACTGAGAACAAGAATTGGAGTATCTGTGAATCTTATTTAGTGTCTAGGGCTCATACCGAGGACACAGTCAAAGTACTGAATTTATTGTGTTCATTCTGTTGTGATGTTGCTTCTGGACAAGAATAGGAAAGAACTTTGCTGGAAACACCAATCTCAGATCATCTCCTCTATGACTGATAATGAGGCTTGAGCAGACTCTAACACTATAGACTACAGATTAAGCAGAAGCAAGATATATGTTTCATTGCTGTTTGCAGTCTGTCGACAAAAAGATTCAAACTCTAGTAAAATATTTAGAAAGATTTATTCTGAGCCCAATATGAGTGACCATGACAAAGCCCCTCAGGAGGTCCTGAGAACATGTGCCCAAGGTGGCTGGGGTGCAGCTTTTATACATTTTAGGGAGACATGAGACTTCAATCAAATATACTTAAGAAATACATTGGTTCAGCTGGGTGTGGTGGCTCATGCCTGTAATCCCAGCAGTTTGGGAGGCCGAGGTAGGTGGATCACTTGAGGTCAGGAGTTCAAGACCAGCCTGACCAACATGGTGAAACCCTGTCTCTAGTAAACAAATTTTAAAAAGTTAGCTAGACGTGGTGGCACGTGCTTGTAGTCCCAGCTACTCAGGAGGCTGAGGCAGGAGAAGTGCTTGAACCTGGGAGGCACAGGTTGCAGTGAGCCAAGATCACACCACTGCACTCCAGCCTGGGCGACAGAACAAGACTCCTTTTTTAAAACAAATAAATAAATAAATAGGTTCCGTTCAGAAAGGTGGGACAACTTGAAGCTGGGTGTAAGTTGGGGGTGGAGTGGGGGTTTCCAGCTTACAGGTAGACTTAAAAATTTCCTGGTTGACAATTGGTTGAGTTCACCTAAAGACCTGGGATCAATAGAAAGGAATGTCTAGGTTAAGATAAGAGGTTGTGGAGACCAAAGTTGAATCATGCAGATACAGCCTCCAGGTAGCAGGCTTCAGAGAGGAGAGACTGTAAAATGCTTCTTATGAGACTTAAGGTCTGTGTTGATGTCAATGCTGGAGAGGTGTAATGAGACATGTCCAACTCCCATTTCCCTTCATGGCCTGAAACGGTCTCTCAGGTTAAATTTTAAAAGAGGCCCTGCCAAGGAGAAAGTCTATTCAGATGGTTGAGGGGGCCTTAGAATTTTATTTTTGGTTTACAAATCTTTTTGTTTTGTTTTGCTTGTTTGCTTTCTTATATTTCCTTGAGGAAAAAGGAGTTAGTAGGACTCATGAGCCATGTAACCTGGATGGTTTGTCCTTTTGTATCTTAATAACTCCTTTTAACTACAAAGCTTAAAATAGTCCCTTTAACTGGAGCTAATGGGAATCCTTCACATGGCTTACTGGGCCCAACAACCCAACTCAAAGAATCATTTTTTCTATCTTTCCATTTTGCTTCGTTTATAAAATTTTGCCAGATGATAGTTTTCTGGGTAATTTCCTTGCTGTCCAATCCTCTCAGATTATTTAAAGTTAAGCAGTGTAGCTGGATGCAAAACTCTAGCTTTTATTATGTGTATAGAAGATAAATGTTATTGTTGTCTGTTTGGGATACTTGTACATTGTTTTCAAAGGGACAGGTCATATCCAAATCAATTGAAAAAAATAAACTTTCTAGGAGACAGTGTTCAGATGAAGGTCACTTTATGCTTGGGATTGAACAGCAAAGCAGTTGAAATTTGAAGTATACTGTTTTTTTCTCCCCTTTTGGTAACCATGGGAATAGCAGAGTGACTTATATACAAAGCTTGTGGGAAGGAATAACCTTGGAAATTCTTCTACTGAAGAATGATTTAAACCTTCTTGTGACACATGAATCACTGGGTGGTGCTTTCTGTCAACATTCTTTGCTCTTCTGAACCAGAAAAGCCAGTATCTGCCTGGTTACTGGTGGTGCCACTGCTGCTGGGAAACAGAACTGTGACAGTGGAATTCTTCTGAAATCATTTTGAAATAAGTTGCATGCATTTAGCAAATCCTATATAATATTTTCATCACAGGTATCTTTTGGACATATTATTGATATTCTGCACTATAAAAAATGACATTTTGAACAACTTAATTTTTATTTTTAACTCAGAGAAAGGAAAAATATTTCAATAAATTATTTTAACACCAGAACAATATCTACGTATTGTATGTGATGGAATATTATATTTCTTTCAGTTAATTTTAATTCATTATCTTCAGTTTGCATCTCCTACAGAAGATATATATATATATATACTTATTTCTTTTTTTAATTCAAGTGATTTGAAGTGTTCTTCTTTTCTTTTGTGGAAACTATTGCTTTGTACTATACCTTTTCTTCAAAAACAAGATTAAATGTAAAAATATATTAAAGCTGTTCTAGAGATTATTAAATTAGGTCTCTGTAATAGTTTTTGCCTATTAAATAGGAAGATAAGGGTCTGAGAAAACTATGGCTAGATCATGCAGTCAAACTAATTTTTTAATTTTCTTATCTGAACATTTTATCAAAAATCATTTTGTATTTTGTTTGCTGGCTGTCATTCTTTGCATAAGAACTTGCACATCACTCTTCAGATTACATTTATTGACACAACTTCACTATAAATCATTCCCTGACAATTCCACAAGCACAGTGGCTCACACCTGTAATCCCAGAACTTTGGAAGGCCAAGGTGGGAGGAATACTTGAGGCCAGGAGTTCTGGACCAGTCTGGGCAACATAGCGAGATTCTGTCTCCACCAAAAACAAACAAAAAACAAAAATAACTTTAAAAATATTTTATACATTAATAGGTTATATTAGCTTTTCCTTCACTGGCTCTTCTATTTTTATCATTCCTTCACCAGCTTCTTTTTTGCTAAAATGCTAATACGTGTTCATCTAAGACAGCATGTTAAATGTCTAAACTCAGAGGGTACCTTTAACCCCACTTTCCCCATGCCCAGGGGCATAGCACATCATCACCTTGTGCTATGATAATCAGGCATAGGAAATCTCCTAATACACATACACACACACACACACACACACACACACACACGTAGAGAGAACATGAGCGTGTTGAATTAAGCAAACTAGGAGAGAGTAGTTTATATATATGTATTATATAATATTTTATATATGCGTACATATATAAATATATACATATATATCATACATACATACATTATATATACACATACATATATACCATATATAAATATGTTTTATATTATATATATATAGAGAGAGAGAGAGAGCTAAAGAGAGAGCTAATAACTGGCTTTAGTCTTTTGCACTTAGATGTGTCTTATTTCGTTCTCATGTCCAATCTCCTTTAGCCTGAGAAACGTTTTGGCTTGTCTCTTTTGCCCACTCTTACCCATTCAGCACATTTACATGCATGAGCTGGAGCTACTCGACTTTGGGACCCAGATCCTAGGACCTCACATGTAATCAGGATGTGAATGCAGACATTCATTGCTATTGATTCATCTAGATAATCTTCCATTGTCACTAGTCAGTCATTGCAAACACCACTGGATTTTATCAATCCACTTTGCCTGTGAATATGGAATACTGGAAAAAGTTTCTACCACCCAAACAAATTTTAAATTGGCCTTGCTTGTTTGCACCACTCACATCAAACTGTAAGAACATCTGCAGTACCTACAAGACTGTGATTTCCTAGAAGAGACAACCATTGATGCATCAGTTTGTTGCCCTGTGCTTTGATCAGTGCACAGTGTATTACATATGCCCAGTAACTGACAAATGAAGAGCTTCCTCTCCCCTATCTGGTTTGATAAAAAACCCTGTTTCTGTAATCACTTGGAAACCACTGTGAGCTTATAACAGGAAGTCTCTAACTTCTACCGATTCTATTACAGAAATCACTTCTGGGGTTATGTGAAACAGAAACCCATAAACCATCTATGGAGATGAAGTCACCACAGTGCTGTGTTGGACTTCGTCCTGTGAGTGTGGGGTAGGGAACTGTCTTCTAGGAGCAGGTGGTCATGGTATAGTGTGGGAGGGAAGAAGACAAGAGAAAGAAGACAGTTTTCTGGTACCTGATGTGGCTTTGTCAAAATTCCAAAATAGATCAAGTTCATTTGGGATATTCTTTCACATTTTATTTATTTTTTATTACTGGCAATTGTCTCTCAAATCATGCTGTGCTTACTTGCTCCCCACTCCCACTCCCTACCTCCACAATGCCTTTTTTCTGTTCTATACTTTCACCATAAAATCTCCGCAGGGGTGGGTGATGAGAAAGGCTAAAAGCAGCAGCTGATTTTAATGAGAATGACAGCAGCCTTGACTAAACTAATATCCACTAAGGTTTGAATGACTAATAGCATTATTATTCCTCTGTTATTTGCATTTTGAAGTCTTGCCCCAGAGCGAATTATACCAGTTCCTGCTTTCACAAGTTCCTTTCTCCACGTTTATACTCCACATCCAGTGTTTAGAACTGAAAGAGTTGCCACACATCTAAATATTCCTCACAATGTCTGTTCTGAATCAGCATTTTTGCATAAAGGTGAATGTGGGTTCTGTGGAAACAGGGAATTCTGTGAGCCTGAAACTCTGATGAATGGCTTTATGTTTAGAAGTCAGCAATGCTGGTATGTGGGAAAATGTTGCTGTTCAGATCTTTTTGGTCTCCATTTCATCGTCTTTGCAGCTTAAAAAATAATCCAGTGAAAATCTTTGATGGGGAATGTAGCCTCAAACAAGTTTTCTTTATTCTTTTGTGATTCTAGAAACTTGATTATATCAATTAGGAAGGCTTTAAGTTTCTTGAGTGTCTCTAGGGAGTTTCATGTTTTACTCTTTGGTAATTCCTATAAAATTATGAGTGTGAACAAGCTTCAGACATCAGAAATCATTGCCAGCCTCCTTGAAGGGTCCAAAAGAAAATAATGTTCTTTAGGTAAATAATATGTGATGTAAAAGGAATATATGAACTGCAATGGTATTGTCTTACCTTATTCTCCTTTATAAATAATATATAAATTCATATTACATATATAGTGTATATGTTACATGCACACGAATTTACATGTAGAATTAGATATAGCTGAGCAAATACACAAAACAAATACATATTTGTTGTATATATTTATATTTTATATGTGTATGTATGTGTGTATATATGTATAAAATGCTACATAGACAAAAATATTATTTCTGAAGTATAATGATCATGTTAACATTAAAAGTTTGAATGTAAATTAATCTCCAGCCCTGTAACCAACTCCAACTCCCAACTCCTCTTCTCAAAAAGGAGCTATGCTGGGAAAAGCTAAACAGCTGTATGATTGAGAACATCCCCCACTCCCTCCTGCCCTCAGCCATGCACTTTTAATCATTTTTTTGTTTGTTTGTTTTTGTTTTCTTTTGATGGAGTCTCGCTCTGTCTCCCAGGCTGGAGTACAGTGGTGCGATCTCGGCTCACTGCAAACTCTACCTCCCAGGTTCACCCCATTCTCCCGCCTCAGCCTCCCGAGTAGCTGGGACTACAGGTGCCCGCCACCACACCCGGCTAATTTTGTTTTTGTATTTTTAGTAGAGATGGGGTTTCACTGTATTAGCCAAGATGGTCTTGATCTTCTGACCTTGTGATCTGCCTGCCTTGGCCTCCCAAAGTGCTGGGATTACAGGCATGAGCCACCGCACTTGGCCTTAATCAATTTTAAAATAAGACTGTAGTATGAGTTAGTGTATTGTCTTGTTGACACAGTCTTTCTTGTTCAACTGGCATCCCTTTGAGGTCTGAAACAGCAGACTTTTTTCTATAAAAGTGTTCCTTAGTGTTATTTTTAATGTTTTCATTTGGTCAACAAATATTTATCAAGGACCTACTTTGTGCAGATACCAAGATGAGGAAGACATCCCTGTCGTCTTCAGTGAGCTCTGTGTCTAGAGAGAGAAGTATTGTCTTCTATTATATTATGTGCATAGAACTATGTATTATGACTATATGTTCATGTTTACAGATTTAGGATTTTTCTGTAAAAGGTATTTATATTTAGATGTATTGAAATGTAAGATAAGTACATTTCTAGATCTTGAACCAAATTTTTTAGAAAGTCACTGTAAAGATAAATAAAAAAGTGTGTTTATCCTGTGAAGAAAAAAACAAAAATGTGCATTTTTCTGACAATGATTGGTGAGTTTCCAAATATCTATAGCCTAAGTTATTAAAGTTAAATAGTAAAACAATATATCTTTATAAATTCTTGTGTAACTTTGACTTTATAACTATGTTATTGATCAAATGTGTTTTCCCTTTTCTAGGGAAAAAAAGGCCTTTAAAAATCTCATATAGCTTATTGATGATCAAGTGCCTTGTAGAAAGTAACGTTTTGATGAAGAAAGTGAGAATAAATCAGGAACATATGGATTTCATTTATCTCCAAATGTACAGACTTTTTAAGAGGTTCTGAGGGAAATTCCTGGCAAAATGCTCCTGATTTAGAGTATAAAACATATCTGAAAAATACACAAAAAGGTGGGCAACAGAAAAATTTAATATATGGAGTCTGCAACACATTGAATTTCTTTCTCACTCAAATATGTCTAGGACTATTCTGGAAACACACAGCCACATCCTGGAGTGACTCGTCCTTGCTAAAACTTCAATTCTGTGTTAAATGTGTGGACTGGTTCAAAAGGCAGCCGGTTATACACTCTTACAAATAAGAATAAGCCTTCTTGACCAATAACCAGTGAGGTACAATCAACTGTGGATCTCCAGCTAAAACCTAACTCCTTTGTCACTTTCCTTGTTACCCTGAATAATGTAGGATTTCCAACATGTGACTTGGAAAACCCCTTACTAGTGGCTGGGGTTGGTGGGGGGTGGTAGAAATGGAGCATGTGTGCACACGTGTGTGTGTAAAACAGCGAGCGACATATTTTTAGAAATAGGGCACTTGCATCTCAATAATGCATTCTCATACCAATTTTCTGATGTAGTTGCATAATTTCACTTACATGTGCAGTGTTACTCAATTGTATACCTCATTAACATGTTATGATAGTCTTCCTGAGAGGTAGGCATGCACATCTTAGCCATTGGAAGGGGATAAGGAGGAGATGAGGGCACCTTCTCCCTCTCACGTAGAGACAGTGGCATTGTTTGTGAGGTTTCTCTCCTCCCTGCTCTGCTCCTTTTCACCTGTAGCCCGTGTAGGAGTGATTCCAAGCTCTCTGAAAGAGCAGTGAGTCTGTGTATACGTTACATGCACACAAATTTACATGCAGAGTTCCTCAAAGCAGAATAGTTCCACGGTGCTCTTGTAAGCCTCCATGGAACCAAAGTGCATCATCCTTCTTTCCTCCATCTCCTTCAAGGCAGGAGGAGGACACTGAGCAGCCTCAGGGATGGATGGATGACTGGAGGAGATGATTCAAAAATAAGACTCAAAAGAGGGCAGTGGCACATGATAGGTGGTCCTCAAGCTTGATTACCTGGAGGACCAGGTAATCAGAAGGTGGCCCAAAGCATGAGGCCCCTGCCTTACGTTCCCCATAGCCTCCAAGTATTTGATGCTATAGCATTGTGCCCAGAGATGACTCCAGTGGTCTTAAAATTGAACCTGAGCCTGGGGCAGAATAGAAATTGCAATCTCTGACATCACTGTCTCCGTGATGCTTGTGAGCAAACTACCTCTTTCTCTGCATGTGGCTCCTCTGAGATCCAGGCTTCCCTGGAGTCCATGAGGTGCAGAGCACCTCCATGACCACGAAGAACAGATGAACTCTTTTCCACATTCTAGTGGAAAGCTCTCTGTTCAGTCTTCACTTGGGTGAGTATTTTTCTTTAGTAAGTACAGTCAGATCTTCTTGAATCATAACTTAACATTTTTGTAATAATGCCAGGAATTAATCACTTTCTATTGCTCACATCTTGATTATACATTCTTTCTTCAGAACACTGTAAGATATCTGATCTTAAATAACAAGGTTTTGGAATTTACAAAACATTTGTTTCATTCTTTTCTCACTCAAAAATAGAGAGGCCTGATTCTTGCATTGGCTGCATAAAGAGGCTAGCACCACAGTCTTAAAGGTACAGGTGGGAGGAAAGCAAAACTTTGCATCCCACCCACAGACCTGGATTTTTATTCATCCCAGCTTCCATTCCAGTAGAGGGGGCAATGGTGTCCAAGTCCCTGGAGACTAGCAGAAGACCATGGTAGATAGATGCCAGAGCTTCATCACCACCATATCAATGGGATCACCATGAGCACCTGGCAGTCAGGCTTCCCATCCCAAATGCTCTAGGACATAGGGATCCATGTATGGCCAGGGAATTCCTGGGCTTGAGCTTCTGGCACCACTGTCCATTGCATCCTAGGGTGATTTTCGCCCAGTTCTCCCTAGTCATCAGCCCCAGGAATGTCTGCAGAGGAATAAACTCCTGGCCTTGGAACAGCATGGTCTCCCAGTCTTGTAAAGAGGGCAAAGTTAGAAGGACTACCAGCTTCCCAGCTGTGAGATTCTAGACAGGCCTGTCACATCTCCTGTCACTTCTCCACCCCTTTCTCTATCAATGGCTCACAACATTTTTTGAACATGCCCTGTGGAAATTTTGGCCTAGCACAAATACAAACACAAATACTGACCACATATTGTAAACACCAGAATAATAGTTTCAGAAAACATTCCTTACCTTTTTTTTTTTTTGGTGGGGTGGGTGGGAGATGGCATCTCACTCTGTCCCCAGGCTGGAGTGCAGTGGCACGATCTCGGCTCGCTGCAACCTCCACCTCCTGGGTTCAAGCAATTCTCCTGCCTCAGCCTCTTGAGTAGCTGGGATTACAGGCATCCGCCACCACCCTCGGCTGATTTTTTTATTTTTAGTAGAGACGGGGTTTCACCATGTTGGTCAGGCTGGTCTCAAACTCCTGACCTCGTGATCCGCCCGCCTTGGCCTCCCAAAGTGCTGGGACTACGGGTGTGAGCCACCGTGCCTGGCCCATTCCTAACCTTTTTATAGTAACATACCCTGAGATTTTTTTTTCTTTTTTTCTGTTTTCCTTTGATTCTTGCCATGGTCCACAAAACTGACTTCATGACCTAGAAATGATCACAACCTACAGTTTTAAATGTAATGCCTTATGGGATGTGGCTTACTTGCACATTAGAAAACATTTAAAAAATATTAATAATAAGAGCTGTGATTTATTAGCATCTACCACATATCAGGTACTGGGCTAGGTGCTTTACACAACTCCTCTCATCTTTACAATATCTTTTAAAGGTAGGTGTAATTATACCCACTTTATTTTATTTTATTTTATTTATTTTTATTTTTATTTTTTTGAGACAGAGTCTCACTCTGTCGCCCAGGTTGGAGTGCAGTGGCGCGATCTCTGCTCACTGCAAGCTCCACCTCCTGGGTTCACGCCTTCTCCTGCCTCAGCCTCCTTAGTAGCTGGGACTACAGGCACCCACCACCACACCTGGCTAATTTGTTGTATTTTTAGTAGAGATGGGGTTTCACCATACTAGCCAGGATGGTCTCCATCTCCTGACCTTGTGATCTGCCCGCCTCGGCCTCCCAAAGTGCTGGGATTACAGGCGTGAGCCACTGCACCTGGCCCTACCCATTTTATAGATGAGATATTCAAGTT
The DNA here is from genome assembly GCF_000001405.40 of Homo sapiens. Classification (NCBI taxonomy): domain Eukaryota; kingdom Metazoa; phylum Chordata; class Mammalia; order Primates; family Hominidae; genus Homo; species Homo sapiens. The sequence goes on from NC_000002.12 coordinate 150,534,833, forward strand.
TATATAATATAACAACATTTAGATTTTATAATGTAGTACAAATTTTTAAAATATTTCTATTTACAAAAAATGGGTGGGGTTATATATGTGCATATGTATAAAGATTATATGCATGTGTGTGTGTATATATATGTGTATATATATGTGTGTGTGTGTGTATGTGTATATATATATATATATATAAATTTTTTTTTTCCTGTAAGATAGTGAATGGATTCAGAAGAAGGCAGATTGATTGGCATGGGCAGGAGAGGGCCTCAGGAGAAAAATAATCCAATGAATTTTGTGTAATAACTTATGAAATGATTTTAAGGCTGGGGAAGTACAGCTATAAAAGAAAAGCCTGTCATGTGTAAAGCAGTACAATTTTTGTAAGCTTAATTTTTTCCTGAGGAAAAAATTTAAAATATTTGTTTTTGTCTCTCTTACAAGATTTCACAAACTATCTTCTATCTTTTGTATGGAAGTGAGTGTGCTGCCTAAACTTGTCTCAACCTACTACCAACAAACCAGGTAAAAATGGAAAAAGGCATCAGAGATTCATGTTGTTTGATCAACTGGTCTCTTAACACTTCGTTAGGTTGACTATCCTCAACAGGAAATGATTCAAAGGTAGCAACATTGACTGCTTTTGTTTTTGTTCTATTTTGTTATTTAATCTACATGATATCATTGGTGCTAAAGAGTAAATCTTTGGTAATTTGTAAAGGTATTCTGTCCCTCTGGCCACTACAATAATCCCAGGTCCAAAAGCCAGGTTGTGGGGTCACAGAAGGAAGCTGCTCCCTCACTGATGTCTGTAGTGTCTCGCTGGCTCCTGCCTAGCATTCTGTATTTCTGTGCTAGGTTAGATACTGTCAAATATGTTGCTTTTCACCAGCCCAGATACTTGGCATCTGTCTACACTGTAGGATTATTATGCTTTCTAGTTCCATAAAAAAGCCAGCAATTTGTCTGCATCGTTCTCTACACCCTAGAATAAGCCTTCTTGACCAATAACCAGTGAGGTACAATCAACTGTGGATCTCCAGCTAAAACCAACTCTTTTGTCACCTTCCTTGGTTGATGGAGCTTCCCTTCCTCCCAATCAGAGCCTTGCAATGATAACCAAACTCTACATATCCAATGACAGTCATAGGTCATCAAAAAAATCAGAAGTTATTCACCTTTATACAATCTGCTGACCAAAAGCCACGATAATCAAAGCAGCAGAAATTTTTGATCATTTTCCTCTGCCTTTTTTGAGAAAAAAATAGGTGGGGTGGAAGGAAACCACTTATAATTGAATAGGAAAGAAGTTACATGCTTTTAGGGAACTTTCAACCCTTCATGTGACTTTTTGGGAATAACCAAACCAGAAAGGCCAATTAAGTTCCAAATGTCTGTGGGGTGTGTCCTGTAACGAGTCAAGAGGTAAACGTCCTGACAGAAGAGCAATACAAAAGAAGAAGCCCCCTGCCCTACAGAAATAAAATGCTCTCCAGAAGAGAGTGGTAAAGATTCTTCTTAGAAAAATGAGACCAGCATGGATGCAAGTAAATTGTTGGACATAATGATCATAATAAAGACACATCCATATAAGAACTTACAAGGAGTTCCCCAAATAATTACAGGGAGTAAACAGATATCCTATAGCACATCATTAGCAATATTTTTCTAAAAGTCTAATTGTTATTCGTCTAGAATTCCTGCAGTTGTGATAGTGTGGTGATGTGTAGGAGCACACATGTGCTTATTCATCTCAAATTTTCTAGTTCTCTCTCAAGAACAACTTAGAATGGCAGCAATCAGAAAGTTAAAGGATTCTGGACATGTCTTTAATTTTACTTTTTTTGAGCTTCCCTGGAATTATTTTTAAAGAAGGAATGAATCCTTAAATATTCTTTTAAAAATTATTAGTTGTTATGGATACATACTAGTTGTGCATATTTATTGGGTACATGTAATATTTTGACACAAGCATGCAATGTTTAATGATCAAATTAGGATAATTGGGGTATCCATGACCTCAAGCATATATTATTTGTGTTAGGAACATCCCAATTGCACTTTTTTAGTTATTTTGAAATATATAATTATTCTTAACCATAATTGCCCTATTGTGCCACCACATGCTAGATCTTATTCCTTCTAACTTTATTTTTGTACCTGTTAACCATTCCCTCTTTATCCCCCCTCCTCACTATGCTTCCAAGCCTCTGGTAACCATCATTCTCCTCTCTCTCTCCATGACTTCAAGTTTTTATTTTTAGCTCCCATATATTAGTGAGAACATGCAATATTTGCCTTTCTGTGCCTGGCTTATTTCACTTAACAAAATGAAATCCTATCATTTGCAGCAACATGGATGGAACTAGGGGATCTTATGTAAAATATTTTTATTTGTTTATTATACTGACTTCCTTAAATTAAAAAAATGCTTTTAATTTTTTTACCCAGTAAATCACAGTCTACTGATGGATTACTGTATTACTCTGTTCTCATACCACTATCAAGAAATACCTGAGAATGGGCAATTCATAAAAAAAAAGAAGTTTAATTGACTCAAGATTCTGCAGGCTGTTTAGGAAGCATGGCAGCTTCAGCTTCTGGGGAGGCATCAGGAAACTTACAATCACGGTGTAAGGTGAAGGGGAAATTGGCATGTCTTATATGGCAGGAGCGGGAGGAAGAGGAGTGGGGGAGGTCCTACAAAATTTTAAACAACCAGATCTCATGAGAACAATATCAAGAGAACTACAACAGGAGAATGTTGCTAAACCATTAGCAATTGTCCCCATGTTCCAATTACCTCCCGCCAGGCTCCATCTCCAGCACTGGGGATTACAATTCAACATGAGATTTGGGTGGGGACACAGATCATCCAAACCATATCAGCCACAATGCCAGGGGTTAATCCTCTTGTTCCCTTTTCTTGGCCTGTGGGAATTCCCTTCTTCTCCAACAGGGACTTATAATGAAAAAACTTCTTCCACTTGTTCTATAACAATTATGACACCAAGTAAACAATAAGTCATCAAGTACAAAAAGAGCTGAAATTCCGAAAAAATGTTAAGAGGATATTAAACTTCCATAAGGCCATCTACTCTTGTCAACCTGTGATTAAATAAAATAAATGGTGGCCCTCAACTCCCTGGGACAAGATATTTAAAAATAGCTTAGAAATGCTACCCAGACTGGGTGCAATAGCTCACATTTGTAATCCCAATGACTTAGGAGGCCGAGGTGAGAGGACTGCTTGAGGCCAGTTCAAGACCACCCTAGACAACATAGTGAGACCCCATTCTACCCCTCAAAATTTTTTTTTTTTTTTAAGATGGAGTCTTACTCTGTCACCCAGGCTGCAGTGCAGTGGCGAGATCTCAGCTCCCTGCAACCTCCACCTCCCTGGTTCAAGCGATTCTTGTGCCTCAGCCTCCCGAGTAGCTGGGACTACAGGCACATGCTACCATGCCTGGCTAATTTTTTGTATTTTTAGTAGAGATGGGGTTTCACTGTATTAGCCAGGATGGTCTCGATCTCCTGACCTCGTGATCCGCCTGCCTCAGCTTCCCAAAGTGCTGGGATTACAGGCATGAGCCACCGCGCCTGCCCAAAATAAATTTTTAAAAAGAAATGCTATCCAAAGCATGTAGACAATGAGCATTAGGGTTAAATACTCATAGAGGATGGACTCCAGTTTTGATTGGCAAGCCATACCTACATTGACTCTCCCAAAGGATGACTCATTGAAGGTAAAATCTGGATGTTTTCTTGCCAGTGATGGTCTGGAATGGTCCAGAAATTGCCCATCAAAACTCACTTAGGCTCTACATATCTTTGGGCCATTTTTAAAACTTAAAGGGGAATGTTGTCTTTATTATCTAGATTTTAAGTTCTAAAAGTTAACTCTAGCCATGTGCACATTTTGTCACGTTTCTCATCAACTCCCTCAGGAAAAGTAACATTTTAAGATGGTTGCACGTAGCATGACATCATCCAAAATAAACCAAAGCAGATTTTCTGAACATGCTGCACATGACAACAAATGCTACAATTTGACTGGTGTCCAACATGGGAAATACTTCAAACATTTGAGAAAAGACATTAAAATTAAAGAAAACAAAAAGCCGGGGTTATTTTCACAGGAAACAAAGAGCACTTACCAAAATCACCATCTTTTGCTTTGCCTTCAGCATTGCTAGGTTTTCAGTCTGTTTTTTTGGTCACACTGTCTGTATTTTAGACACAGGATATAAGACAGCCAAAGGCAATATTCCTTACTCACATTACTCATGCAAAGTCTCGTGATGAGCAGCGGCGGAAGTCATGGGATAAACAAAAACAAATCCATGACCCTCGAAACCATGGATTTTAATTATTTCACACAAGTAAAACTTTCCAAACATGTATGCTGATATTTCAGTGGACAACAGTACTTGGAACCAAAAGCATTTCTTCCATATGAGAAGTATGGGAAATGTAAATATCCTGGTTTTATTTTCTCCTGATCCTGGGGGATGTTTGGGGGCTAACAGAAATCTTTAGATAGGAAATTCGCAAGTGCGAGGTAGATACAATGAGTCTTTCTTTAGTCCACTCTCTCACTGGCTTCACCACTTTGGGCCTCAGTTTCCTTACATATAATTGAGTGCTATGAAAAAGACATTATCTAAGATCGTTTTCACTGCAAATTTTGGGAGTGTATGATCCTTTCAGAACTTCCTCATGAATTCTGTGGGTATGTGACAAACTTTATCTCGTTAAAAGAAATGCGAGTTTAATTTACTCACTATGTTGTTTGCCTAAGTGTATTAACCTCTGTGCCATGATTCTTAGTATTTCCACATTGTAGATGATTAGTCCAGGGATATCATCCAGCCAAATCCCGTTTCTATAGAAGGCAACACTGGCAGTATTTGCAGTCTCTCAGGTTTGCATTAACATTTCTTAAAAATGGAGCTGGTGTTAGATATTTCACAATCCAATTAGAAAGAATGAGATAATTTTTACAAGTTGTATATCTTCTGCAATTTACATCTCTAAGTGACTGAGCAGTGACTAATGTGAAGGCAAATATTATTTCATTACCTCAGTTTACTTGTTCCACACCTCCAAGATATAAATGACTGATGATGCTTATGAGTTGGTGTTAGTACATTAAAGCCCTAAATACCCTCTCAGTGTTTTTTGTTTGTTTGTTTGTTTTTTTGAGACGGAGTCTCACTCTGTCGCCCAGGCTGGAGTGCAGTGGCGCCATCTCGGCTCACCGCAAGCTCCGCCTCCCGGGTTCACGCCATTCCCCTGCCTCAACCTCCCGAGTAGCTGGGACTGCAGGCGCCTGCCACCACGCCCGGCTAATTTTTTGCAGTTTTTAGTAGAGACGGGGTTTCACCGTGTTAGTCAGGATGGTCTCGATCTCCTGACCGCGTGATCCACCCGTGTCAGCTGGGATTACAGGCACAAGCCACCATGCCCGGCCCCTCTCAGTGTTTTAAAGCACATCTTCCTAAGTAAACTCGTTTCGTTTAAGGAAGTGAACTTTGTTTTGTTTCTTTTAAATCCCTTAGTCACTTTATATGTGTTTATGAATGTTAGGGAAAGAATGAGCAGGAAGAGGCCTTATTAACTTAAAGAAAGTTAGGACAATGACGTTGAATGAAGAAGAAACATTGTTTTTTGTTTTGTTTTTCCTTAAGGCTCGCTATGTTGCCCCTGCTGGACTCCAGAGCTCAAGGGATCTTCCTGCCTCAGTCCCCTGAATAGCCGGGGCTATAGAAAAAACAAATTTGTCATTGTTTGAGGCAAAGCCCTACACATATATTCCATATAATTTCCATTTTTAAAATTTACTCCACTCAAGTAGCTAATTTTCCAAGTCAGCTTATGTCTACACAAATAGGCAAGAAATTGAGACTTCCAGTTAAATATGGAGAGATATACTTTTATCTCAACCCTCTCCAAAAGCCTTACTAAAGAGACAGTAAAACTAACAAAGGCATAAACAGTGCTGGGCTGGAGATAGCACTTACCTGCTACTGAGATATAACTGATAAGTATTCAGGACTCTTGCAAGCCTGTTAAATTATTGGTAGCTTGAAGACAGTCATATAGTAAGAGCATCTACACCACTAGAAATTGGCAAATGCTATAAATCAGTTTTCCCTTTTTCTTTTTTTCCATAGAGAGTCATTTATTTGCACTGAACAAGCCCCTAAGAAAAATGGCCATCAGAGACACCAGGCATGTAAAGACAGCAGATGGGCATTATCAGCATGAGTTCAGAAGCTAGGAAGCAGATATTTAAGTGGTAACTGATTTATCAGACTAAAGGAAACAAGGGAAGCTTTCAAAGGGGGAAGGTCTATTCCTCACTACCACCACCAAACAAACAAAAAGTTGTTCAATGCAGAAAACCCTGGAAAAACTTATGAGTTTGAGACCTTAGTACCTGTGAAAAGTAGAAGGGCAAGGTGGTGTGTCCAGAATTGGTGGGTTCTTGGTCTCACTGACCTCAAGAATAAACCGCGGACCCTCGCGGTGAGTGTTACAGTTCTTAAAGGCGGCGTGTCTGGAGTTTGTTCCTTCTGATGTTCGGATGTGTTCGGAGTTTCTTCCTTCCGGTGGGTTCGTAGTCTCGGTGGCTCAGGAGTGAAGTTGCAAACCTTCGCGGTGAGCGTCACAGTTCTTAAAGTGATGCGTCTGGAGTTGTTCGTTTCTCCCGGTGGGTTCGTGGTCTCGCTGGCTTCAGGAGTGAAGCTGCAGACCTTCGCTGTAAGTGTTACGGCTCATAAAGTCAGTATGGACCCAAAGAGAGAACAATAGCAAGATTTATTGCAAAGGGTGAAAAAACAAAGCTTCCACAGTGTACAAAAGGACTCCAAGGGGTTGCCACTGCTGGCTGGGGGGGGGGGGGGGCAGCCTGCTTTTATTCTCTTATCTGGCCCCACCCACATCGTGCAGATTGGTCCATTTTACAGAGGGCTGACTAGTCTGTTTTACAGAGAGCTGATTGGTCCGTTTTGACAGGGTGTTGATTGGTGCGTTCATAATCCCTGAGCTAGACACGAAAGTTCTCCAGGTCCCCACTAGATTAGCTAGATACAGAGTGTCCATTGGTATATTTACAAACTCTGAGCTAGACACAGAGTGCTGATTGGTGCATTTACAAACCTTGAGCTAGATACAGAGTGCCGATTGGTGCATTCACAATCCCTTAGCTAGACATAAAAGTTCTCCAAGTCCCCACCAGATTAACTAGATACAGAGTGCCCATTGGTGCATCCACAAACCCTGAGCTAGACACAGGGTGCTGATTGGTGTGTTTACAAACCTTGAGCTAGATAAAGAGTGCCCGTTGGTGTATTTACAATCCCTCAGCTAGATATAAAAGTTCTCCATAAAGGTTCTCCAAGTCTCCACTAGACTCAGGAGCCCAGCTGGCTTCACCCAGTGGATCTCACACAGGGGCTGCAAGTGGAGCTGCCTGCCAGTCCCGTGCCATGCGCCCACACTCCTCAGACCTTGGGCGGTTGATGGGACTGGGCGCCCTGGAGCAGGGAGCAGTACTCGTAGGGGAGTCTTGGGCGTGCAGGAGCCCACAGCAGGTCTGGTGGGGGGACAGGGGGATGGGGACGGTGGGGGGGGCGGGGAGGGGCGGGGAGAGGCGGGGGGGGGCCGGGGAGAGGCGGGGGGCCGGGGAGAGGCGGGGGGGCGGGGAGAGGCGGGGGGGCGGGGAGAGGCGGGGGGGCGGGGAGAGGCGGGGGGGCGGGGAGAGGCGGGGGGGCGGGGAGAGGCGGGGGGGCGGGGAGAGGCGGGGGGGCGGGGAGAGGCGGGGGGGCGGGGAGGGGCGGGACTCAGGCATGGCGGGCTTTGGGTCCCGAGCCCTGCCCTGCGGGGTGGCAGCTAAGGCCCGGCGAGAAATCTAGCGCAGCGACAGTGGGCCGAGACCGCTGGGGGACCCGGCGCACCCACCGCAGCTGCTGGCCCAAGTGCTAAGCCCTCACTGCTCGGGGCCGGCTGGCCACTCCAAGTGCCGGGCCCACCAAGCCCACCCAGAATTCTAGCTGGCCCGCAAGTGCCGCGGGCAGCCCCGGTTCCCGCCTATGCCTCTCCCTCCGCACCTCCCCGCAGGCTGAGGGAGCCGGCTCCAGCCTCGGCCATCCCAAGAAGGGGCTCCCACAGTACAGCGGCAGGCTGAAGGGCTCCTCAAGCGCGGCCAGAGTGGGCGCTGAGGCCGAGGAGGTGCCAAGGGCAGGTGCCAAGAGCGAGCGAGGGCTGCGAGGGCTGCCAGCATGCTGTCACTTCTCAGTGGGACTGAAAGCAAGAAGAAAGGTTGAAAGTCCATTAAAGAAGAAATTGGATCCTTAGAACCCCTCAACTACCACACCCAGTCAGGTGATCCTTCCTCCCATAATCTGCAGATAAGAGAGTTTAATAAGATAGGCTGTAAAGTGTGGTATGCCAGGGTTACTGAGGGTTAGTTAGTCTGACATGCTGTACTGAAAACGGGAGTTAAGTGAAGATTAACATACTGAATGGAGATACCCAAACTTTCTTCTTTCAAGGTTGGCAACGAGGTTCATAATCTCCAGGTATGAAATTGAAGAACTAGGCCTGGGGTCGTGGCTCGCGCCTGTAATCCCAGCACTCTGGGAGGCCGAGGTGGGTGGATCACGCGGTCAGGAGATGGAGACCATCCTGGCCAACATGGTGAAACCCCATCTCTTCTAAAAATACAAAAATTAGACGGGTGTAGTGGCACACGCCTGCAGTCCCAGCTGCTCAGGAGGCTGAGGCGGGAGAATTGCTTGAACCCGGGAGGCAGAGGTTGCAGTGATCTGAGATCACGCCACTGCACTCAAGCTTGGCAACAGAATGAGACTACATCTAAAAAAAAAAAAAAAAAAAAAAAGACAAACAAACAAAAACAACTTTGCATTTAAAATGTCAGCTGACAACCAAATCAATAGATATTACAGAAAAAACTTACATAAAGGGCAATGCCCTAAAGAAACAAACAAACAAAAGAATCTGGAGAAAATAAAGACAATATTTAGAGGGTAGGAAAATAGGTAAAAAGTAATATTTAAAAGAAACAAGAGCAGCAGGCTATGAAAAGGATCATACGGAGAAAAATCTTTGTAATTAAAAATATGTTAACTTATCTTAAAAAGTTAACAGGAAACTGGAAATATAAAAAAGTTCAGGATAAACTTTACAATGTAGGACAAGATAAAACAGGAAAATTATAGATACAATTTAAGAAAAATAAAGAATAAAGTGTAATAATGTGAGTTATAAGAAGAGAGAATTAAATAAAAATGAAAAAAAAATTGTCAAGCAAATAATACAGAAATGTTTCCCAGAATGGAAATGAATAAATTTTTAGATTGATCGGTTCAGATTTTCAGAAAAATGAACTTCGAATACTCAACTAAAGGCACATGTATATAAAATGCTAAAATGCCAGGAATAGAAGGGTCACTTGAAAAGATTGAAATTAGAAAAGATTTCTAAGGTCAGAAAGCGACCTTAGAAAGTAGAAAATAATGAACAAATTGCTTTGAAAACCTGAGAGAAAATGATTCCAGCCTAGAATTCCATGCCAAGAAATTTTAAAAGACAAATATAAGGGTAGAAAATAGTGAACGAGGCTGGGCGCAGTGGCTCACGCCTGTAATCTCAGCACTTTGGGAGGCCAAACTGGGTGGATCACGAGGTCAACAGATTGAGGCCATCCTGGCCAACATGGTGAAACCCCGTCTCTACTAAAAATACAAAAAATTAGCTAGGCATGGTGGCAGGTGCCTGTAGTCCCAGCTACTCAGGAGGCTGGGGCAGGAGAATCGCTTGACTCCGGGAGGCAGAGGTTGCAGTGAGCTGAGATCGTGCCACTTCATTCCAGCCTGGCAACAGAGCGAGACTCCGTCTCAAAAAAAAATAATAAATAAAATAAATAAATAAATAAATAAATAAATAAAAGAAAATAGTTAACTGCAGGTAGAAAATAAGTATTTTCAATTGCAAGATCTCAAAAAATACTTCCACATACCATGTTTTAAGAGCTATTGGAGGATGTGATTAAGCAACATGAGGGAATAACCCAAAACAGAAGTAGCTAGAGGATACAGGAAACAAGCGTTGAGAAACAGAAAATAAAGAAAATTCCCAGGATATTGATGAAGAAAAGTTCTAGAACATCAGCTCCCTGTGGTCTGAGAGAAACCAGTCCAGACTGGTGAGGAGGTTGGAGGGCTCCAGATGGAATAACCAATATGTTGGAATACCTAGGACAGTTTTGGCAGAAAGTTTAGGGATGAATTAGCAATTGGTACATTAAAAAGTAAGAAAAAAAAAAGAGGTAATACTTAACTCCAGGGAAAGCAAGTTACACAAAAAGAAGCGTAATCATAAGTAACATCTGTGACTAGTATTTCCATTATATCAACAATTTTGTTTCAGGGTAAGGTAAGTGCATCTGATTTTTTGGTGAGGTGAGAAATAGCATATAGGTTGAGAAAGCTAAATTTTTAACTTTCCCAATAGCAGAGCAAGAGATAACATCTACAACTGGCTTGCTTTTAAAATAATGTACATGTATTACTCTGATTAAAAGAAAAAACCGATGGCGTATTTTTTAAAAAAGAAAAGCAATTACTTGAAAAAATTTAAGCCAAATTCCATCACTTTTCTACCATAACACTTTGACACCATTATTTGAACAATTTAGACATTTTTAAAAGTTGAAAATCATGACTTGTATTTTATTCCAGGCTAAAAGATTTGACTAGATGTTACTTCCAAAGTGGTCAGGCCAATTCTCAACTTACTATGACCCTCTGAGTAGCAAGATTAGTATTTCCACAGTCTCTGAGATTAAAATTCTATGCAATTGATTTGTTGTACACAAACATGTCTGTTCTCCTCCACTGTACTAGTATGCTAACTTTAGAACTTGGAACTCCCAGGGAAATAGTCTAGAATGTATCATTTTCCTTTTACCTGTACTGTTTGTCTGTCTCATATTATCTAATGGCATTTTTATTCTCTATTGAATATATATTTCTAAATATCTATGAAAGATTAAAATTTGAAGGAAAAATTTCAGAGAATTCAAATCCTTAAGGTCAACTGTTTGCTTAAATCAGTTTTTCCAAGAACTGCTAAGTCAAGTTTAATTCTTTCTTAAATATTATTACATATCCCTATCCGCTCATGTCCGTGCCAATGAACCAGCTGTTTTTGAGAAGGCAAGAATTTTATCTCTAGATTTTATCTGAACAAGTTTTCCAAAAAAGATCATTGTAGAATGAAGCATACCTGCTGGTGACCTCTTCATTTCTAAGAGAAGAATTAGAAATATTTTTTTGTGTGTGAATAAACAGTGGCTGACCTACATCGTTGCTGAAATCCATTGTTTCAAATATCAGAGCAAGGCCTTATGGTTTTCCTTTCTGAAGGCACAGTACTGCCAGTATCGTTTCTTACTTGAGCACTAAGAAAGTCAATTTTCTTGACTCTTAGAGCAATAATTTTGGAGGAATGTGAACCTTTTACGAATGTGACTAGAAAAAATAGTAGGTACAAATACAACAATAAAACTTTGGAGGATTTCCAGGCTTTGGACAGTACCTTGAATACAGCATGCATTTTTAAATATGTACAGACCAATTGTCACAAAAAGAGAGACAGAAGAGGTTGTTTCTGAAGTTCAGTTTTAAGAACATACCTATATTTTTATAAAACTGAAATAAAGGGCCTGGCACGGTGCCTCACGCCTGTAATCCCAGCACTTTGGGAGGCCAAGGCGGGCGTATCACCTGAGGTCAGGAGTTTGAGACCAGCCTGAACAACATGGTGAAACCCCGTCTCTACTAAAATACAAAAAAATTAGCCGGGCATGGTGGCACATGCCTGTAGTCCCATCTACTCGGGAGGCTGAGGCAGGAGAATCACTTGAACCTGGGAGGCAGAGGTTGCAGTGAGCCAACATCTTGCCACTGCACCAGCCTGGTGACAGAGCAGGACTCCATCTCAAAAAAAAAAACCCTGAAATAAAGACACATACATATATTTGTTTTATTTATTTATTTAGACACAGCAGCTCTCTCTATTGCCCAGGCTGGAGTACAGTTGCATGATCATAGCTCACTGCAGCCTCCAACTCCTGGGTCTGAGAGATCCTCCTGCCTCAGCCTCCTGAGTAGATGGGTCTGCAGGGGCATGTGACCACATCTGGATAATTTTTAATTTTTTTTGTGCAGACAGAGTCTCACTATTTTGCCCAGACTGATCTCAAAGTCCTGGCCTCAACATACATTTAATATTTTAGGAAACCTTTTCATTTTAAGTGAGTTCTTTTTTGAAATACAGATAGTTAATTTGTCTTGTTTTGAATTTTTGTAGAATAAAACGTTTTTTAAAAAAGTATACACACAAACACTTTAACCATATATGGAGTGGTTTATTAAAAGGAAAAACCCAGTTTAGAAATTATGATTTTCAAGCTCCAATGGGTAGAAATACACAACACCTCTAAAATGGCATCAGTTTTCATGAAGGGGAAAAGTGATAAATGATTTCAATAACTCTTAGTCTATTCTTTGAATATTTCATGAGAAAATGTAAATGAAGGTTGGGAAGAAATTGTCCTTATGAGTCCAGAAGGGTATTGACAAATACTTATTTTGTATTTGATTTCTTTTGTTCTATTTCCTAATTTTATAAAACCATCTGGAAGAGTGCTGCTAAGGTAAACTGAAGAGTTCTAATGATCTATGTTATAGTTTAGATATCTTAATAGTCACCATAGTTGTAACTTAAACCAACTGAATTTTAGCTTGAATTTCGTGCTTTCTGTTCTTATATTTTACTAAATAGCTTTAGTTTTTTTAAATGTAAAATTCCATATATCTCTCTATGTTTGGGTTCCTCTCATTCTAGATTATTTAATTTTCCCCTTTTATATAGTGTAGTTCATTTCAGAAATGAGATTTTTTTTTTTTTTTTTTTTTGAGATAGAGTCTCGCTCTGTCGCCCAGACTGGAGTGCAGTGGCGCCATCTCCACTCACTGTAAGCTCCGCCTCCTGGGTTCAGGCCATTCTCCTGCCTCCGCTTCCTTAGTAGCTGGGACTACAGGCGCCCGCCATCACGCCCGGCTAATTTTTTGTATTTTTAGTAGAGATGGGGTTTCACTGTGTTAGCCAGGATGGTGTCCATCTCCTGACCTCATGATCCGCCCACCTCAGCCTCCCAAAGTGCTGGGATTACAGGCGTGAGCCACTGCGCCTGGCCTTGAGACTTTTTCTTAATATTTGTCTGATTTTCAGTATCCAACAGGTGCTAAAATTGCAAATTTGATCAAGAGAATAAGTGCTGTGGTATAAGGGGAAGTGTGTTTAGTATAAAATAATAACATCTTCAAAATAAGTCCATTTTATGACTATTAGTAAAGCTACCCTGATGTTATTCTCTATAAAAATATCTTTTTCATTTTTAACCAAAGTTTACTTCATTTATTTTATTATAAAATAAAATAACCAATCATACTAAGAAAAACATGTTAAGAGTATTGTTAGCCCACATAAAAGGAATGAGCAGGAAATAAATGCAAGCAATGAGAGATACCAAATTTAAAATGGTGATTCTTGGCAGGGAAGTAAGTTGGTATAATTGGAAAAAAGTACACAGGGCCTTCAATTATTTAGACAAAATGTTATTTCTTAAGTGAGTTCTCTTTGTAATACTGCATTTTGTATATATCCTAATATTGCACAAACTTGTAAACACACACACACAATCAGCACAGCATGTGAAATTTAGCGTAGCTCTGATTTTGCCACATTCCTATGGTTAACAAGGAACAAAGCCAGACTTAGCCATTAAAGACTGTGTAGCTTCATATCTCCTGCATGAGCAGGGGTGGCGCTGTTTGAAGGCAGTAGTAATGTTGCTAAAACCTAAGAGGCCACACCACTCAATATGGGATGGTTTGGACCACTGGAGAAAGATGGGTTCTCAGTCAGCAAAGTGGAAGCACAAAAGGAGAGTTTATGGAGGTGGGACAGAGAAGTCTGAGTTGCTCTTTCTCTCCCCCTTTACTCTGTCAGGCTTGGATTTCAGAATGGATGAATGCCCTAGGTGGTGAGTGCAACATGTCATCTTCTATGGTAAACCAACCCAGGAGCTACAAAGGAGGGAATTACCTTATGCCATTCCTTTTTTTTTTTTTAAACTTTATGGCAGGAATAATCTCTGTAAACATGTGAGATCCATTACCTAGTTTTATGTTACAGTTTGGGCTTATTTCTTTTTATTACCTGAAAGCCTATAGTAAGGTATTGTTTATTCTCTCACACCGTATGCCTAAAGGTGGGATAGGAGCCAAATCTTAGCATCCCTATATTATTTGAAGATTATTATGTCTCCATCTTGTCTAAATAAAATGGCTAATATGAACCCATTTACAAGAATTAACACAAATATCTTTTTAATAATTGTATTCCTTGAAAGTTGTGGATAAAGGAGACTTTTGTGAATGTAACTTTTTAAAATACACTGCACAATAGCATTATTTAATAAATCAAGGAAGAGTGATCACTATTTGTAAGGTAAATAATCATATCTTAATCTATCTTGTCTGCGAAATTTATGTTTGTATATATTTATTTTTAAAATGCTTTATAACTATGTTGGTGATGTTGACTCCAATTTTTGTGGGCAAGTTGCCAGAACTTGTCAGCGGAACTTCCTAAGGTAGTGAGCAACTGTGTAGTCAATTGTGTTAATACAAAAGCTTAACCAGTCATGCCAGCACTCTGCTTTTACTGTGCATTATCCAGTCAGAAAATCTGTACTTTGTATGTAGACTGAACAATTGACAATTTGCTATTTTATTCTACCAAGTGGGTATGAACCCAAGTAGTGAGGATAGTAATTCTTTTCTGTTTAAAAACTAGAATCCAAGAAGCAGCAAGTAAAATGGTGAAGAGAACACAATATAGCCCAGACCATCTGACCATTTCACTTGACCTCACCAAGAGGCCGACAAGCAATTATCTGACCATTTCATATCATTGCAATATGGATTATTCTCTCACCAAATAGATCTTGTGATCATATGCATTTGTTGTTCAACTGTCAAAAGAATTATATTTATTTTTAATTTATTCATTTTCTAATTAAAGTTTAGAAAAAAGCTTCTCTAAATGCTCATATTTCATGACGTAGGGTATTAGGCTGTGCTAATGAACTCGGAGTTCATCACATTTCTTAAAGTACAGAACTTGACTTAATAAAGTTTTTGTCTCTACCAGGCATTGTTATGAGAAAAGTCATTTTATTTTCATTCTTAAAAGGACTTCATGCATGAGATTGCCACTTCACAGAGTATTTATCAAACATGGACAAGCTTATTTTTAATCACTGTGTTGAAAGGTAAGTTAAAGTAGCATATAACCTATACATAAGAAGCAAGATAAATATTCCAATTGTAACCTTACAGAAATGTCCCACTATATAGGGCAAAGGGTCTTCAACTGGAGTTTTTGCCCTTAATGGCTACCTCTATGCAAAGTGTCTAAAAAGATAGCATCTTCCAGTTAAAATTATGGTACAGACAGTTTGTTGATATTTTAAAAGTAATGAATTACACATATCTAACATTTTAAAGTTTTATCCTTCTTAAGCAGTTTTTGATTATGTCCATCTTATACATTTTAGTAATTACCTATATACACTGCAAGCATGAACATTCTTGTGATCAAAAATCCTTCAAAACTACCTCTTATTGTGATTATTTATGGAGAGTTACTGGAAACTGGAACTAGAGAATGATAAATTTAGGAAAATGTGGTGTTGTACGTATCTATATGTAATAATACGATCAATTTTCACAGTTAACATAGTGCATCTTGTTATAGGTTATAAATGTTAAAAAATATTAATTTTCTATTAACGAGATTCTTGGGCAAAAAGTTAAATTGTAGAAATGTCATAGACATTCAAAACTTTCCTTTTTTACTTATGTCCCATATTTACTCACGTCTCCTCTTTTGTTATATCCATGGTTAAAAACACAGACTTTGGCTGGGCGCAGTGGCTCACGCCTGTAATCCCGGCACTTTGGGAGGCCGAGGCAGGTGGATCAGCAGGTCAGAGGTTGGAGACCAGCCTGACCAACATAGTGAAACCCTGTCTCTACTAAAAATACAAAAATTAGCCGGGCGTGATGGTGCTTGCTTGTAATCCCAGCTACCCAGGAGGCCGAGGCAGGAGAATTGTCTGAACCTGGGAGGCGGAGGTTGCAGTGAGCCAGGATCGCACCACTGCACTCCAGCCTGGGTGACAGAGCGAGACTCCGTCTCAAAAAAAACAAAACAAAAAAACCCACAGACTTTGAGTCAGGCAGACAGACCTGGATTCCAATTCAGCTCTTTCTGAGCTAGTTTCTTTACCACTCTGATCCTCTAAGTCTGTAAGTCTTCATCTGTAGAACATTAATAATAATGCCAACATCATAGGGTTATTGTGAGAAATTCCTGCCTGAATACATCTGAAATGCCTAACTCAACTCCTGCCAGGTAGAACACAGTAAGAAGGGGCTCTCCGAATCATCCTTTAGGAACGAAGACCCCCATCTTTAGGAAGCCCACAGTGGCAGGGGCAGTCACTGTAGAGGAAGTTGGCAGCAAGGACAGTAGCATCACTTCCACCCCTCCTACCACATCAGGTGCTTTTTTCTCTACCAAAAAGTGTTCACAAGAAAAATTTCTGATATAATTCTGAGGGTATACTCAATGTATGGACTTAGGAGTAATTGCTATTCTCAGAGATATTTATATTTGAATGAGTGGAAACCAAAAGAATGACATGAAATTAAAAATGACATAAAAAATAAAAACCCAATATGGAATTTCAGGCATCAATGAAACAAATAGCCAAGGTACCCTGTAAATTCATGTCTAATATTTCTAATTGTTTGCCTATTGTGGCTATCTTGGTTAGGAATTAATTCATTACAAAGAACAGAAAACTACACATGTGATATCAAGAAAAAAAATCAAGGCAAGGGATTTTTTAGGAGGAATCTATGATATCTCATACAAACCAAGGGCAGGACACATTTCTCTACTCATATCTGTTTAATTTTTTCTTTATGGAATCTGTTCTCAGTTTTTCTTGGCAAATGGGCCAAAGATGATCATCCCTGTCCAGGAGTATTTTAAGAGACTCTGGGAGAGTCATTTTTGGGAGTTTGTACCTCTCTCCTTCCATCTGCCACCTTGTAACAAAGCTTTCTGCCTTAGGTCACCAACTATCTGCTATAGTAGTTGAAGCCCATCTGCCTTAAATGTAAGACAGGCAATCTCAACTGAGACTAAATATTACATCCATTTTTGGCATACACTATCATCTTCCTGGGAAATAAGCCACAAGACTTTATTTCTCTTAAGCTAGTGTCCTCTTTTTACACACTTGGCGTGGGGAGTGGTGTTAATTTTTTGTTTTACTCATACTATGTGGGTGTGTTCTCTGTAAAGATACGTTTATCTGTATTTGTATCTACATCTGTGTCTACACCTGTATCTGTATCTATATCTAGATCTATGTCTATCTATCTGTAGATCTGATGCAGGATTTTTTGCTTGTTAGTTGAGCTAAATCCGGGTTCTTGTCTCAAACCAGGAAAAATTAGGCATGTGGACACATTGACAGGTGAGGAGGATGGAATTTATTAAGCGAAAGGAAAGCTGTCAGCAAAGAGAGGGGTCCTGGACACAGGTTTCCATCTCACAAATTGAATACCAGGCCACCACACACAAGCTGGAGGCCAGGCTCTTCCCCTGCATAAGGAGCGAATTTTTGGTGGCTCTACCCTGTCTTTCCAATGTGCCTGCAGGCCCTTAGTCTGAGCCACTGTACACTGCATGTGTTAAGGGATGAAATTTTTCACCATGGGCATGTTTAGGCAAAACCCTGGTGCACAATGACCTGGGCAGGTCAGAGGTTCTCCAGGGACACCCCTTATCTGCCTAGGCATTTGTCTGTCTCTTGCCACTATCCTATCTGCATATTTTAGTTCCAACTCTGGGGCTAGAAAATTAGTCTGTAATCAAAGAACATACTTGCTTTCTGTTGCTTCTCAATGCCCAGGGAGACTGACTAGCCTTTGGGTCTGAATGACAATTCACCAGTGCGGCTCATGGGCCCATGTTGGTTCAGGGGTCATTCTCCATTCTAATTAACCAGGGACAATTAGCAGGGGCAGTGGGACTTAGACTCCTTAGGCATGGAAAGTGAGGAGAGAAGACTGGAAAAGAAATTTACAGGAGCATTCTCCAACAACAATAATCCTGCCACCTAGGACATCAGGATTGCATTTTCAGTATACATTACCTGGGGCATTTGTTTAAAATGCAGCTTTCAGTGCTCCATCTTTTGACGTGTTTGTTGATGTTGAAAAAATTAATATGACACATTTTTACCTGTTGGTAAGGTTCATACTCTTAACCTGGGGTAAATAAAAAGATATCTGAAATTAATCTTTTCAGTATAAAGAGGCATTTTTAGCAACATTTTCTGAGTGTTTTTGTGGAACTAACAAAATGAGAGTGGAAATTCCTTTTTTTTTTTTTTTTTTCCAAGACAGAGTCTCGCTCTGTCACCAGGCTGGAATGCAGTGGTGCAATCTCGGCTTACTGCAACCTCTGCCTCCTGGGTTCAAGTGATTCTCCTGCTTCAGCCTCCCGAACAGCTGGGACTACAGGTGCAAGCCACCACGCCCAGCTAATTTTTGTATTTTTAGAAGAGACGGAGTTTCACCATGTTGGCCAGGATGCTCTTGATCTCTTGACCTCATGATGTGCCCAACTCAGCCTCCCAAAGTGCTGGGATTGGAAATTCTTTAAAAAAATGATACATGAGGTTACACATTTGATTAAAGTGAATCATATAAGAAGTAACCCAAAGCTTAGTTACAGGGTTATTAGGATTTTATTATTCCTGGTAAATATTATTTAAAATTGAAACCATCTTTCATAAGATATTTTCTTGAAACTTCGAGTTTCCCTTATTGTAACCTAAGAGCAAGAGTGAATTATATCTAGCTGTGGACAATAACCCAAGTAAGTCTTTCTGGTGGGTACTTTTCAGTGTCATCCTGGTATGACAGCTTGAAAATATTACTTGAAAAACATTACCTGCTTGTTATGAAAGATCCAAAAAAAAAAAAAAGAATTACTAGCTCTATTTATTTTTGGTTAAGAAATATAGTTATAAAATTAATTATGACCATCACCTACATAAAGAACTAAAGGGATTCAGTAAAGTCAGTGCTAAAGTTACACATTCATTTGGCAAGATTAAACAATGAAAGATAATCTCACTTTCCAAAATATCAATAAGTTGCCTAAGATCACGCAGCTAAAAGGTGGTAGAGCCAGAATATAAACCCAGGCCATCTGCTTCCAAAGTCCATTAACTCTTCAGCCCACTAGGCTTTTTCATGCATTTTTTTTCTCTAGATCCTCTAAGATCTCTTTCTTAGGAACTATGAAGATCCATTTACAACATTACTAATTATTGAACAAACTTGGATAAATCTAGAGTCAAATCATTTATCCCCTGAAACATGACACTTGGCTATACTTAGTGGGCCTTTGCCAAGTTGTTTCTCCAAGCCTCAGTCTCATCAACTGAAAAAGATGATAATAATGGGCTCTATCTCATTAAAATTCTTATAAGGAAATGCATGATATATGTGAAGTGCCTTGCACAGAGGCTGGCAGGTGAGAACCACTCAATAAATCTTAGCTACTACTTATGTACTTACAGAAGATAGACATAACTCAGTTAGCAATAAGGTGTTTAATGTGTGCTCTATCACCTTGTGTGTTTTCATTTCTAGATGAATAACAGAGATTTATTTAAAAACACCTAGTGATGTCATAGAAACTTTGGATGTAGTTATGATTAACACTATTATTTCCCCTAATAATTTTTCTTATAGCTGTTCCTTTTCCAAGGATAACTAGGTAAACTAACAAGGAGACAGATGATGATCATGAAGATAGATAAGTAGATAGATAGATAGATAGATAGAGATAGATAATAGACACAGATGAAATAACAAACACATAAATATATAAAAATGAATGCATACAGTACAATTTATAGTCATGCAACTTTTAGTGGAGTGTCTTATGTTTTTCTAGTTGTTTGCACACATATTTTTTTGAATGACAACTTGAATCCTTTTCTAGTTAAAGGAGTATGCATTTCCCTTCTTAAAAAGGAGTGTACATTGTTTCTCTTCTTAAAAAATACATTTAGAGGCCAGGCGCGGTGGCTCGCGCCTGTAATCCCAGCATTTTGAGGGGCCGAGGCAGGCGGATCACGAGGTCAGGAGATCGAGACCATCCTGGCTAACACAGTGAAACCCCGTCTCTACTAAAAATACAAAAAATTAGCCGGGCGTGGTGGCGGGCGCCTGTAGTCCCAGCTACTCGGGAGGCTGAGGCAGGAGAATGGCGTGAACCCAGGAGGCAGAGTTTGCAGTGAGCTGAGATCGCGCCACTGCACTCCAGCCTGGGTGACAGAGCTAGACTCCATCTCAAAAAAAAAAAAAAAAGAAAGGAAAAAAAATTAAATTAGTATATTTATATATGCAGTCCTGCAACCTTCACCAGACCTACTTTAAATTTATTCTCTGACTGGAGCCTGGACCCTTCTTACAGCTGAAGAACCTGGAGAAATTTCTGCTTTCTAGAAGGAAGCACTGCTTGGGATACAGAATGTTTAAATGCTGTTACACCTCTCTCAATTTTTAGTTACTGGCTATTTAACACTTACTTCTCCCTGCTTCTGTGTGCTGTCTTCCTCTCCCCACATGTCTTCTTTGAAGGATTCCTGAGCTGCAACTCCTCCCCCATCCTCTTCTCCAACATTCTGAGGTGGTTTCCCTATTATTTCCACTGCCAGCCAGCAGATTTTCCACTTGCAGAAAGGAGATGAGAAAAACTGAACCGTGGTCTAGCCAGCTTGCCTTCCCTGACTAGTTCTTTGTCTGATAGAAGGGAAACTTCTGTCTGCTACAGCATATTATTGCGGAATTGTGCTGTAAACATCCTCCTCCAAGCTACACCATACAGAAACGCATCTAATGTTGACTCCAGTCTATGTCCCTTGGTACCTGGGCTGCTTCTTGGCATCACAGGTTGAGTTGACAGTGGCTTCCCTTAGTGGGGCTGAAATACATGGCAAAGAGTTGTCATGAGGACCATGTGTTTGGAGAGGGTTGTGTCTGCCTAGGAGTCATAAATGTGACATGTAAGGTCTAAAGTTTCCTAAGAAGTGTTAATATTTAAGAGTAAATCCAGGAATTTGTAAATCAGCGGTTTTGCTTTGAACAGAGCTCCAGCCAGTTGTGACATTGTTGAGTAAATTGGCAGCCTGTTTGCTGTTGTTTCCTCTTTTTGAAATTTAACCTCTTGGAAAAACAGCAGCCTGGGCTGTTATATGTCTCAACACAGACCACCAAAATAGACCACTTAAAATTGTTTTTTGATCTGGAGTACCAGTTCCCCTCTAGCAACTTTCTTTTTCTTCTTTTAAATCATTTTGACAGGACATCTTTGCTGGGTGCAATTTCTGTGTCCTTTGAAAAGCTGGGGGCAGAGCATTTACGATGGAACATCCACTCTTGGGCGTTTCCTTGAACTCACATTGCAAAGAAAGAAAGTTCTTCACATTTTCATGCCACGAATGGATACCTTCTTAAAGCCAGTTCCATGATGTTTAATTCCATACTTTTCAAATGTCAGACTTTTTAATGTTGTTTTCTGAGCACTTGAGGACTTAGAATTAGCTGTGTTTGAATGATTAACAGTGATAGAGGTAATGATTATAGTAATTCAAGCCATTGTTATAAATAATATATGTTTAATATATCACAGCTTTATCACTTTTACATTACAAACAAAAGCTTACCATTTGTTTCAAAAAGAAAAAAAATTATCATTTTTACATTACAAAAAAAGCTTACCATTTGCTTCAAAAGAAAAGTTCATAGGGAAGAAGTAGGCTTTGCAAAGAAATCAGTTCTAGGATATTCACACCCTGAACAATATGATGACTCCTGATATTTCTCTTGGATTAGAATTGATTTGAATCTTCCTTTACCACAAGCAACACACTATGCAACTAGCCAGAACCTACATTTTTGGCTTCCTTTTTTGTCTCAAATATCAGTTGGTAGAATTCAATAGAAAAGAGATGTTTGAGACACTGAACCATGTTGGTAAAGTACTGTTTTGTTTGGAAATATTACAAACTGCTGCTTCAAAGTGCTTAATGAATGGGTATGTGTGTGTTTCTGCATATTTTTAAGGAAACTAGAAGACAGGAAATACAAACCTACACATGAAAGAACCATGCCAAATTAAGTGCTCTGTCCTTTTTTATAAAGAAATTCTCTGTCAGGAGTTTGCCAAAACCCTATTGCAAATGAACATCACAACTTCTCCTAAACAAACTGAGAAATTCTGTGAATGGATGCCCAGTGTTTGCATGTGAATTGCCAAGAAATCACTGCCCACGGGATAGAAGTAGGAGAAAAAAAATACATTGAAATGTCTGTATATGAGTGTACCAACATCCTGCAGTTCAGACCATCAAAGTCATGATGATCCCTCATTTATAAAGCCTTTAAAGAGTAGGCAAACAGTGGCTCAGATAGAGGAGGAATTTCATAATATCTAGTTTCTCGTGGAAAAAGAAATGGTGTCTCTTTTCCAAAAACCTGGAAAAATATATTTTAACTTATTTTTCTATCTAGAGTTAATTCAGTTTCATTTGGGGGCTCAGAAGCTAGAAAATTCCAACTATTAGAATAATAATCTTACAGATTTTTATTTTTAAGGCTTAATGAGAAAAAAATTGGTAAAATATTTTTAAGCAGAATTTCATTGACCATGCTTGTGATAGGCAGTATGCTAACTGCCTTTAATATTAGCCAATAAACTTAATATTTTGGATCCTTATGAGCTAGGTAACTTAGTTCCCGTTTTATAGCAATTTAATAAATTTTTAAGGAGTTCAGGAAATTTGTCTCAAATTATTTAACTAGCCAATGGCAGGTCTGGATTTTGAACAAAATTCTGTCTTACTCGAAATCCTGTGTTGCTCTTCATGATTATATTGTAATGATTCCCTTATGTGAATAATAAGGAAAAGCATAATCTTGCTTGACTCCAAAACGGAAATTAAAAATTCTACTTATGACATAATTTTATCCATGGAACCAAATTAGCATGTATTTGAAAAAAAATATTTTATACCTTCTTCTATAATCTCTCGTGCTATTGTGGTGGCATAAATGCTTCTACTATCTTTACCCTTAATCTGACCAGAGGCCTACAAACATCAGGCATAGATGTGCTGCAACCTGCTTTCCCTTGCTCATGTCAGGCATCACTAGTAGAAAACAGCACGTCTTATAGAGAATAGCCTCAGCCTCATACTTCTCATCACAGTGCTCCAGACCAGCATTACCAATAATCTGAGTCTGCACAATCCTCAAAAACATATTTGCCATTAAAGATCCATCTCATTCTGCACACTGTTATCAGAAGAATTCCCTCAAAATATTGCTTTCATAATTTCATTGTTCTGATCAAAATTAGTCAATGGCTCAATACTGCCTACTACTTATAATCGGGTCCCTTAGCTCTTCCAGATCTTTCCAAAAGCTTCTTCTGGGCCTTTTCTTCTCTTTTCTTTACTCCTATGCATGGATTTTTACCTCTCCCACTCTGAAGTTTGCATTGTCTTGCCATTTGTGTGTTTATTCTTAACTAAGAATGTTGCTTTGGGCCGCGCGTGGTGGCTCACGCCTGTAATCCCAGCACTTTGGGAGGCCAAGGCAGGTGGATCACCTGAGGTCAGGAATTCAAGACCAGTCTGGCCAACATGGTGAAACCCCATCTCTACTAAAAATACAAAAATTTTCTGGGTGTGGTGGCACGCGCCCGTAATCCCAGCTACTCAGGAGCCCAAGGCAGGAGAAACGCTTGAACCTGTGAGGCAGAGGTTGCAATGAGCTGAGATCATGACACTGCACTCCAGCTTGGGCAACAAGAGTGAGATTCCACCTCAAAAAAAAAAATTGTTTTTGCTTTGTTCTTCTATAGTGAGAAAATCACACCAATAATTTTACAGTCAAATTCCCAACTATTCAACAAAACTGATTTTATCTTTTCCCAAATCCTCAATATAGTAGAAGTTCTCTAATTTGATGAAAGCAAGACCAGTAGTTGATTTGCCAATCAGCTACAACAGCAAAAAAAAAAAAAAACAAAAAAAAAAGAAAAAAAATGATCAGAGAAGGAATCTTAACAATGATACATATGCTTTATAAATACTCCAATTTAAAATGTTTAAAACTGTACATTATTTCCTTAAGCTTTTGATTCAGGGGCATGTTTTCCTGTGATTAAGAGTCTGCTAATAGGAATCCTACAGCATCTTGCATACAATTCACCCATAATGCATCCTCCATGATTCCCAGTCTTGGTTTATTTAAAATAGAGCAAGAACCTTCCAAGTATTGTGAGTCTGAAGTCTTCCTATAAATTTTTCTGATTTCTGCCCCTAATTTTTAAAAAGTTTTCTTGGCCGGGTGTGGTGACTCACGCCTGTAATCCCAGCACTTTGGGAGGCCGAGGCGGGCGGATCACGAGGTCAGGAGATCGAGACCATCCTGGCTAACACAGTGGAAACCCCATCTCTACTAAAAATACAAAAAAAATTAGCCAGGCGTGGTGGCGGGCGCCTGCAGTCCCAGCTACTCCGGAGGCTGAGGCAGGAGAATGGCATGAACCCAGGAGGCGGAGCTTGCAGTGAGCCGAGATCGCGCCACTGCACTCCAGCGTGGGCGACAGTGAGACTCCGTCTCAAAAAAAAAAAAAAAAAAAAGTTTTCTTGCAATATTTAATTCATTAGTAATTGTTTTTAGCCATTCGTATTTAAAAGTCCTCATAATGCAATCAATTTAGTTTTCATACCAAAAAAACCCATACCTCACTTTCTGTACGATATTTCATTGATTTATGTTACATGATTTTAATAACAAGTGCCACTCACAGTTTGGAATAAACACACTTGGGCTTCACACTGTTCAAGTGGCTCTAGCAGAGGGGTGCACGCTAGCTCTGAGCAGACAGTATGCTATGACAAAGGTCAGCGTATTTGATGGGGTGAATGAAGAGCTGAATTTCTTCCAGAGTATTGGTTAAGTGGATGGTGAAGAGAGATTCTTCTCATTTATATTTACAGTCGAGACCGTTACTCGACTTTGATTATATACTGCTTTTTGGGCGATAATTATCTTTCTCATGTAAACTGCTATCGTTGACTCCAGAGACACTGTTTACAATTCCTTTAGGGTCTTCCTCATAGGAAAGCAGGGTCTTCCTCATAGCAAAGCAGGGTCTTCCTCATAGCAAAGCACAGCGATATTTTACAGAATATATATGTAGTTATATATATAGTATTCATTAAATTTTTTTGGTCCTTACACTCAAATAGCAAGGTAGAAGTGAAGAGGCTTTTTAGAGCTACCTAGAAGAGAAATACTCCAAAGATTTATAACTTGAAACAATATACCATAATTTGGACTGAGACAATCATACCACAGAAACTTTTAGGAAACTAAGGTTATGGTTCCTGCATTCAAATGTTGGATACATTACGGATATGATATGGTGTCCAAAGCACAAAATGAATTAGTGGCAACTGGTGTAATTGTTTAAGTAAATACATAAATAACATTTTTGCTCTGCTAAAATGTGAATTAAAATAACATTCTAGGAGTTAAAAAATTGAAATAATATTAAATCATAATTGAATTGAAATAATATTCTAGAAGTTTAAAAATTCTTTAAAACCTTTTTTTAATTGTCTACTTACTGACAAGTCACTCTATCATTTTCAACTTAACAAGAGAGAAGTGGAAAGGCTGGGAGATTTGTCCAAGGTCACAGATCAAGTGATCTAAACATAGACAACCAACCACAGGGTACCCAAAATGTTCTTACTCAAAAGACTTAATAGCTTTTACCAAAAATAACTACTTCAGTCAAAGAGAAAAGGATAATTGCTACTTCCACAGACAACATAAGAAACCAGCATCATTTCAGCCCAGAAAGCAACATTAAATGACCACCCACACACCCCATCACATATTTATCTCCTCCAGCTGCAAGACCCTCTTCTCTTTGGCTTCTCATTGACCTAGAAAGAAGAACTAATGAATAAATAAAGTCTAAAACAGATGCAAAGGCAGTGTCTGCATAAAAAGTACACTGCTGTGGGTAAGCAAAAATGCAATCTCTGGGTCAGCTCTTTCTTGCTTACTACTGCTTTAGTCAAGAAGTCCAGCCAGCTCTTTGCAGAGACTGTGGTGATGCCACATCTGCCAATGCAAATACCTGGCTGTGCAGAACAGGAAACCTTAGCCAGGCCTCAAAAAGTCCTCAGCTTAGGCAACAGACAACCTTTGGCTAGCACTAATTTAACTCCTTTTTTTGGTCTGGACAACAAGTGGTTCCTGAGGCAGTCATGATTGAGCAGATGTGTAGTCGTGTCAGATGCCCACACTTAAAAGAGTGTTCTGGCATGAGTGCTTGAGATTCATTCATTGTAGATGCATTTCTTTAAAACAGAGGTCAAGGGTCAGGCACGGTGGCTCACACCTGTAATCCCAGCACTTTGGGAGGCCGAGGCAGGTGGATCACGAGATCAGGAGATGGAGACCATCCTGGCTAACACTGTGAAACTCTATCTCCACTAAAAATACAAAAAATTAGCCAGGTGTGGTGGCACATGCCTGTAGTCCCAGCTACTTGGGAGGCTGAGGCAGGAGAATCGCTTGAACTTGGGAGGCGGAGGTTGCAGTGAGCAAAGATTGCACCACTGCACTCCAGCCTGGGTGACAGAGCGAGATTCCATCTCAAAAAACAAAAAAACAAACCAAAACAAAAAAACCAGAGGTCAGAAACTGGTGGTTCACAGTCCTATTTAGCTTTTAGATGGACTTTGTGTGCCTGTATGGCTGTCTACTTATTCATTTTTTTAAAAAATTTAATTGCCTTTAGATGGGCAGTTGTCAGTTTCTGTGGTGTAAATACTCTAGAGTTTGGGAGAGGTGCAGTATTTCTACCATACAGATGTCATAGAAAGAAACTCAAATGCATATATAGTGGTCAAATAGAGTAACATAATTAGTGATGTGTTTTAAGTGTTACTTTTTTAAAATAAATTTAATTTCATTGTAAGGTGGTATAATTTAAATTTTTATAATGGTCACGTTTAATAATCAGCTCTCAAAATTCCTGCAAATGTAACACTTGGCCCTTGTGAGTCAGGATAAGCCTGCTGCTTCACATGCTTGGATAACATATGACAATAGCAGCCATAGCATATAGTGGTTCAGGCTCTGGAGGGTGAATTTAAATCCCAGCAGTTTCATTTACTAGCTGTGTGAGCTTGTACAAACTACTTAACTACACAGAACCTTGAGTTTCTCAGATGGAAAAATAAGTTAATGTTTATTTTGAGAGTTTATAGTGAGGAATAAATAAAATAGTATATGTGAACGGCTTAGCACTAGATTTGGCACATAATAATCACTCAGTGAAAAATGAACATGTATTTATTTTAACTCTAGGCAGAAATTACTTCATCAGATTCGTTTTGCTGCTACCTCAAAGACCTAACTGCAGCACCTCAAAGAAATGAGAAATTTCATGAGTAGAGGAAGGAAAGGAACCAGGGAGATCAGAAAAGACCAGGATGAAAGGTAAGATGAAGGCACTGAGAAAGAATGAGAATAAAATAGCATCAAAGATACAGAATTAGAATAAGAGAGAGTAAAAAACGCTGTTGCTTCTCCTTGTGCAAACCATGTCTATCCTATCCATTAGAGGTTCATTCTCAATTTCTCACAAAGGTTGTATAATCAATCTCTGCATGAATTACCAAAATCATTTCTTGAAAGTACAGCACCAAATACCAAACACTCCCATCCCATCTCTTTGGCTTGAATAATTAATGTTAGACATGGAACCCACACTCAACCAGTTAGATGCTCTTGTCTTAAAATCTGGAATTCATACCCAGAGACTGAAGTGAGCCAGTGTTGAGTGCTTCCAGTTGGGCAGCTCTGACTGGCCATAAGCAAATGAGGAAAGAAAGCCAATCTTCAGAGTTGGAGAGAAACAAAGTAACAACACACAGAAATGAACATCCCTTATCCCCATACAGAAGAAAAGGAAAACAGAAGACAAATGATGACTTTTCTTTCCTGTGAAGCCTGGCTGTATCCTTTAACTTTGTTTCTATGAGATAAGCCATTTTCCTTACCATAAACTTCCTTTACCTAACTAAGCAAGCTTGAGTGGATCTCTTTTCCTGATAGCCAAATGATTCTTGACCAGATCATCCCTGCTAGTTCCAAAGTTCTGTGAAAATATACAAAAATCACAGTATTTGTAAAATACCGAAAGCTTGAAGGCATGTGATTTTAGCTCCCTTGATTTACATATGATCAATGGAGTCCACAGAAATAAATGACTTGCACAGAGTCCATATTTAACTAGTAATTGAGCTATTCCAAACCTCAGCTTGGCTCAGCTGGGCCCCAGGCAGCGCCATACTCCTCTGCAGTA
This sequence comes from Homo sapiens, assembly GCF_000001405.40. Classification (NCBI taxonomy): domain Eukaryota; kingdom Metazoa; phylum Chordata; class Mammalia; order Primates; family Hominidae; genus Homo; species Homo sapiens. The sequence goes on from NC_000002.12 coordinate 150,563,540, forward strand.
AAACGAAAATGGCATGGTTCTAATTTTGGAGTGGCAGCATGTTCAAAATGCCCTGACACTGTTCTCAAAGGCCAAATCCCATTTTCTTTTTGTCTGCTGTTTCACTTTATGAATAACGCCAGACCAGAACAGAAGCAGGGAGCTGGTCTACTGAAAGACAAGGTTAAAACAAGGGCTTTGAGGTCAGATCAACCTGTGTTCAAATCCTCACTCTTTCCCTGACAGGCTGTTTGACTATGGGCAAGAGCCATGACTGCTCCAAGCCCCAGTTCATCTTTGAAAAATGGAGATCAATAAAGTTATCTAATTAATTTTTGTTGGAGGATTAAATAATATAATGCATAGAGGTCCCTCAATGTAGTGAACATTCACTGAATGTTAAATTGTTCTTGATCTTAGTATTGTCAGTGATAATTGGTCAGGCAGGGGTCAAGAATCAATTCCAGTGGGTATTTTCGCCTTGAGGCTGCAAAGACTTCTTTCCTCAATGTAAGTTTATATCATCAGTACCAACATCTACATGTTTTTTTTTGTTGTTGTTTGTTTGTTTTTTTTTTTGTTGTTGTTGAGATGGAATCTCACTCTGTTGCCCAGGCTGAAGTGCAGTGGCGCTATCTAGGCTCACTGCAAGCTCCGCCTCCCGGGTTCACGCCATTCTCCTGCCTTAGCCTCCTGAGTAGCTGGGACTACAGGTGCCCACCACCACACCTAATTTTTTTTTTTTTTTTTGTATTTTTAGTAGAGATGGGGTTTCACTGCATTAGCCAGGATGGTCTCGATCTCCTGACCTCGTAATCTGCCTGCCTAGGCCTCCCAAAGTGCTGGGATTACAGGCGTGAGCCCCTGCGCCTGGCCTACACATGTATCTTTCTACCTGTTACCAACTGGCCCTTCAAATATACTTACCACACCGTTTCTTAAGGATGTGAATGACTTCAGTCGAGAATATCATTGGGATTTAATGTGCTTTGAAAATGGAAACTTTTACACTCAGTGATTAAAAATTTGGCACTTAATGTAATAAATCGTGAATGTTAACAGTCAGCATTAAAACACACAATACCTATTCTGGAGCTTCTATAAGGCACAGCTAACAATAATCACCAGCCTAGCAGTTCAAATCAGGAAATACTGTGTAAGCACAGCTACACTTCATTAATGCAGAAGAACTAAACTGTTTTCAGCTAGAAGGAATGTATAATGCAACATAATTAAGTGGAGATTGATCCACCTACAAACTTTAATTGACATTATTACAGCCTTGAAATTCCGCGAAGCAGTGTTTATTAGCAAGATCAAGGTAATCGAGGGCAGTGATTCTCAAGCTCTTATGGCATAAGGATCAACACGAGGACCTTATAAAAAGTATCTTTTCCCAAATCTCCCCTCAAGAAATTCAAATTCAGTGATTCTGTAGTGCTGACCAATTACTTATATTTTTATCAAACTCTGCAGGTAATTATAATCCAAATAATCTTGGTAGAACTCACTTTGAGAAACACTGATCTAGAACCTCAGATTGAGTAACATTTCGCATAGGAAGGAAGAAAAGGCTTTGCGAAAGAGAGCTCTTCTCAGCAGCCTGGGATGGAATGCAGATCTAAGCCTTGAAGAAAGAAAAAAACCTAAACAACTCAAATTAGGCAGGTATTTTCAATTAGTTGTATCTTGACTCTCACTGAACCTTAGAGGGTAGGTTCTGTGGAAACACCAGGTGTTAGTGTTAGTTCAGTCTGTCCCAAGGGAATACAATGTCTCATGTGAAACAGCAGAAGGATAAAGGAATCCCAGTTTCAATAAATCATGCAGTGGACAAGAGAGCTATTTTTTCAATAATCTGTAGATATAAATAATCAAACATACATTTCTGCAATAATGATTACCAAGTACTTATTTTAATAACATCTCAGAAATGAAAGGATTCCAAATTCCAGTGGTAATACATTTCATGTGATACACTGTTGTTGAGTCTACCCAAGTCAAGGGAAGCAGCAGTAAAGCTTTCTACAATAGTGGTTGGACTGGTGCTGGGGCATTAGAATTGTAATCTCATCCCTAAAACAACTAACTCTGCAATTTGAGGGAAGTCGTTTCACCACTCTGAATCTCAGAGTGTACTTGATATCTTGAAAGTTCCCTTCTGTTCCAGTGTTCTGCAATAAAGTGCCTACTATGAGCTATGCACTGGAGCTAAGCACTCCACTTAGAAATGAACCTATTTAATCCTCACAATCACCCGATGAAGTATGTGCCCATACGTTAAACAATCTCCCTTTATAGACGAGCATAGTGAAGCAAAACAAGGTTAAGTAGCCTGTCCAAGGTCATTGTGATGGTTTATCTTATATGCCAACTTGACTGGGGTACAATACCCAGATATTTGGTTAAACTTTCTGGATGTTTCCATGAGGGTGTTTTTGGATGAGATTTATATTTAAATCGGTGGACTTCTAGTAAAACAGATTGCTCCCATAATGTGGGTGAGCCTCGGCCAGTCAATTGGAAGGAAGCCTCAATAGCATAAAAGACTGCCATCCCCAGAGTAAGAGGGAATTCTGCCCGCAAACTGCTTATGAACTCCAACTGCAGTTCTCTCCTGAGTTACCAGCCTGCATCCTCCTCCATCAGATTTTGGACTCATCAAGCCTCCACAATCATGTGAGCCAATATCTTAACATAAATCTCTTTTCACACACTCTCTCTCTCTGTAAATCCAGTTGGTTCTGTTTCTCTGGAGAACCCTGACAAAAACAGTCACACAGTAGTATGGCGGTGGAGCCAGGTTTGGTCCCAGGCAGGCTAACTCTGCAGGTGGAAGATGAGGACTATTCCATGCTTCCAGAGGTTAGCCAAGCATCCCTTTTAAGAATTCAGATGCTCCAGTGAATATAGACTACTAAATAGTATTTGTTCTTAATGGTTTTTCTCTGGCTGTCTGCACTGATGACGTCATTCAATTGGGCATAATAAACTAATGCAAGCAGTGATTTGGAAGAATTTAACATCATCCAAGTTTGATTACAGTAAATTATGTGTTCGGGGCACATCTCTATCTTTCAGAGTTAAATGTAGGAAGTAACTACTTTCTTACAAAAAGTCCCTTGTTGAAAGAGGAAAAAAACTTTCTAGATATAAGGTAGTCTGACTTAGTGCGGCAGTTTTTCTCTTCTTAAATGTTTACCTTTCTCTCCACTTAGTAGACGCTGTTTTGAAAGTCTTCCAATTCCTGTTTGTAGTGGGTAGATTTTAAAATACCATCACTTTAAAATCTTATCTATTTTATTTCTATTTAATTAAATGATAGTAGGCTCTTTTGCTTCCTTTGTAATGTGTACATATATGTCAATACTCACTTTCCTTCTCAAGATCCCAATTTAATCCTTGACCCTTAGATAAAGGTGACCCTAGAAGCATGGCCATAAACTACCTCAAGAATGGACATCTTCAACCAAGTCAATTAGCAGCAACTGTCCAAATATCTGGTAAGAAGGAAAAAAAGCTAAAGATATCCTGCATTGTTTTTTGTTGTTGTTGTTGTTGTTTTGTTTTTTGTTTTGTTTTGTTGTTTTTTGTCTGTTTGGTTTTTTTTACTAGAAGTTAGTTTTGGAATCCTACAGAGACGTCAACAAAGATTTAAGAGTCAAGAGAGGCTGGGCATGGGGGCTCACTTTGTAATCCTAGCTCTTTGGGAGGTCCAGGCGGGCAAATCACGAGGTCAAGAGATTGAGACCATCCTGGCCAAAATGGTGAAACCCTGTCTCTACTAAAAATACAAAAATTAGCTGGGCGTGGTGGCGCATGCCTGTAGTCCCAGCTACTTGGGAGACTGAGGCAGGAGAATCGCTTGAACCTGGGGCAGGCGGAGGTTGCAGTGAGCCAAGATGACGCCACTGCACTCCAGCCTGGCAACAGAGCGAGACTCCGTCTCAAAAAAAAAAAAAAAAGAGTCAAGAGAAGCCCCTGCCTTCAAGTGTACTCAGTGTTAAGGACTGCAGGGCCTCCCTGGTGGAGGTCAGCCATGTCCATTATAGATGTGTCTAGTTTGAGCACCTAAAGGTTGATAACTCAGGAAAGGCAGAGTGTCTGTAAATCCAAGGAAACACTTAGGAAGGTTCAAGATCAGTGAACTCTTTCTGGTTTTTATAAATAGGTTCATATGCTGTCTGTAGCCTCCTTGACCCAAACTACCAACTCTGAAACATGAAAGAGTAGAGGAAGAAGAAGAGGAAGACTGGGTTGTTCTGTTTTAGACACAGGCTGAGTCATTGCAGCCAGATTCAATCAGTGCAAAAGAGAAGGATTTGGAACAATTTGGTTAGTTTCCTTCCACCCAAATGTCTAGACACCCGAAGGGGTGTGCAGCCCGACCTCTCGCTATTCCTGTTAAAGGCTTCTCTTCATGGAAAATGTCATTGGTTATATGGTTTGTTTGTATTATCTTTGAACTTAATGTATACTATTCTACCTTTGTCAACATTCATTCCCATTTTCTGTAAGCTTTAAACTATCCCAGATGCTGAGTAAATGTGCATTTGCTGGAATGTGGCTGGCCTCTGTAATCTGGTTGCACAATCACTACTCTCCCTCTCCAAATTCTGTATAAAGTCAATTTTAAGTATGCATTGTCTGGGGCATTTATATCCTGTAGCTTAAGACAGATGCCAAAAGTGTAAAAAGGTAACCTTGATCTATTATTATTGGCGTCTATGCAGCTTAAAAGGAAAATGGACTCTCAAGTCTGAATGCTTATCTGCTGTTCTCAATCACTTAATGCTCCAAAGCGTATGCTGTGAATGTCAATTCTTTAGTTGGCTGTCAAGGTACTTCCCACTAGGCATTTAGCTTCCAGTATGTTCTGTTCAGAAAATACCCAGAGCTTCAAGGATGTCAATTTGGGTATCAAATATATGAATCCAGAGCAAAGTCATCTGATACATAGTTTTCTTCAGCACCGTACTGTGATCACCTTCCCTGTGTCCAAACTCTGCAGAGATACAGCGTCTTGTTTCATAATATTGTGCTTGAAAAAATGACACCCTAAATTGACTATGCAATACTGACAAGACATGGGGATGATAAAAATGCATGGCCCATGTACCTTTTTGCTGAGATTTAGATATTCTTCCCCATCCTCAATCCTCTGCCATATTTTTAAATTTTTTTGCTTTTTTATATTAAGCTGTAAATATGAAAGGATGAGGAAAGGCACAGCAAGGAAGAGCAAAGAGAACAAAGCTAATATAGAGAAGCATTAGCCTGGTCTCAGTAGAGAGACACAGTTTTGTGTATTGTTTATGAGTTACCCAGATAGGCTATGTTAACAGACCAAAGAAAGAAGATTTAAAGAAATAAATCTGATAACTTTAGAAAACATAGGGTGAGCCTGGGGAAAATATATTTGCTTTTGTCCAAAACAAGATCAATGCCACCTTTTTAAAAGGAAGCTTTAGAAAAAAGAAAAATCTCTACATGATATATAAGCTTTCTGGAGCTTCCCAGTATCAATGGCTCTGTCTTTATGCTGGCATTTTAATTGACTTTCCCTCGTTTTTTTTTCCTTTGTTGACCAATCTTTTTAATGAGCAATTTTGTGTAGTCAATTAGATCTAATTCTATTGATAAAGAAAACTGAAAATAAATGAAGTCCTAAAAGTCCAGCTTAAGCTATTAAATCATTGATTAACCAAATAAAAACTACACATATTTTTGGTTTAACCACTTGTTTAAGTTATATGTCAGCCTTTCTTCTATAGAAGTTGAGAAACTTGATTAATGAAAGCTGTTCTCTGTGGAAAAAAGAAGTTAGTTGTTCCATATGTCATAGAAAGGCTTGATCGGAACTGAGCAGACTGTAATTCTTTCCTTTCTGGAGGGAAATAGGAAATTCTTTCTGCAGCTTTTAGACTCTGATCTCAAAGCTAAATTAATTATTTTTATCTTTAGGATTTTTCTTTATTTGAGACCCACCATAGCAGGTTGCACTCATGACTAGTGGAGGAGGCAGCTGCAACCCTTGTGTAAATTTCAGGATTTTGCACTTACCCGACTCCTCTAATACGCCACACACCTAAAACACCATTGTTAACAATGTGGGTCTTTAAATCTTCTGAGGCTTCAAAAGCTGTAATCAGTTCAAAACTGTAGCTTGATCAAAGGCCTGCGTGTAAGGAAAAGAATGCTAAAAAAAGAAAATCTTTTGGAAAAATCATAATTTTGCCTCAGGCTAGATCTGAAGTACTAACCCACTGAGTTATACTTCTGAAGTTTAGGAGAGTGCTGTGTTTTCATCTTGGATATAGAAAGGTGGTGAATTGCCTTCAATTTCTCCTTCCTGGCTTGAAAACAAAGCAATTGTGAAAGTCTAATCCAACTGCATTCTAGCCAGTGCCCAGTGAGAAGATGCCCACGGGGCTGTTCAGCATCGTAGATTCATTCACTGCCCGTAACTGGCTTGTTGAACAAGGAGGTGTGAGTTTGGCAGTGGGTGGTTAAAGTTAGTATATTTGGCACAGCAGAGAGTTGTCCATCATTGAAAAGAGAGACGATGAATGTTGCTTCTAGGAATCTTCTCCCTCAATACACAATGCAAGGAGGGCTGGTAATGGTGAATGAGGAATATGGCCAGGGATATGGAAGGCCGGACTACTCAGGATTTGAGGAATGGGCTGTATCAGCTCATTCCTAATATATGCTGGGGATAAAAAGATGAGGGGACACACCTGGCTTAATTACTTACAGTCTTGTCAGCTTTACATGCAAGTAGATGACTTTGCAAATAAATAAAATATATACAATAATATTTGAACTAGGCCCAGAATTTAGAAGTAATACTGAGTTAGGAGTAATGACTTCATTGTTCTGAAAACAAGTTCGAGTTTCCTATGCATTAAGGTAAGATGAAATGTTTATTCAGAATGTACAACTGACAAGAGATCTTCACATTAGTGTACTCTGTCCCTCTGTCCCTTTTATCTAGACTCTAATGCCCTCATTTTCAAGTAGTAAGATAGTGTATGTGTGTGTGTGTGCGTGCATGTGTGTGTGCGTGTGTGTGTGTGTTTTAAGTGAAAAGGGTGGTGGAACAAAAGTTGTTTGTACCTCTGCTTCCCATCTCCTAAGGGAAATAAATTGTCCTTAGCTTTCTTTGCTATTACTTCCATTTGTTAGCAAAATTTGACTTTTACAGGCTTATGCTGATAACTAAGCCAGAATAAATGAAGTGAGAGCCATACAGATTCATGACTGAGATGTGTAAGGGATTTGCACAAAAGGATACAGTTTATGGTTTAATTCCTCAAGGAAAGTATCATATGCAAGTGAGTCATTTTTGCATGACCTCAGCTGAGAAGAAGCTGGATTGAAAGAAATTCCAAAGACATGGAAGAATGGCAGTTAGTTTATAAGAGGTATTTGGAAAATCATATAGTTATTCATTCTGACACACACCAAACACCGGATTTCACAATGCAGGAGCAAATAAAAATAAAGAAAGAACAAAACACCAAAAAAGGAGTAGAATCTTACCTTAATAGGTAATGAATTATTAAGTGTATGCTACAAAGGAAAAAAAGGGAAATAGAACAATGTTGTTGAAAAAACTTTATGTGATGATGAAAATGTTTACACCAACATTATTCAATACAGTAGTCACTAGCCATATGTGGCTATTGAGTGCTTAAAATGTTTCTGATGTGAATAAATAACTGAATTTTACGTTTTTCTCTAATTTTAGTGAATTTAAACTTAGTTACATTTGGCTAGTACTTCTATCTTAGCCTGTCTCAAAAATAGCACTAAAGATGAGGAATACCAAATTCTTCTCTAAAATCTTTCACAATTTCATTGGCTGATCTCCACCAAATATCTCCTTTGTATTTTATTTTCCTGTCTTTAAAATGGTGCTTACAATTCATAGTCTCTAAGTAAAAACATTAGTGACATAATATGATTTAAATACAAGGTTATTCAATATAAATGTCCTATTGATAGATTTCTAATCTAAGAGGTAAGATATTTGGAAGTTAATTTCAACTTGTATTGAATTACTAAGGGTAGCATAATTACAGAAATGATTATGAAAAGTTCTGTCTGCTCAAAAAGCTTAAACAAACATAGAAAGATAGATGGTGGGCCAGGCGCGGTGGCTTATGCCTGTAATCCCAGCACTTTGGGAAGCCGAGGCGGGTGGATCACCTGAGGTCAGGAGTTGGAGAACAGCCTGACCAACATGGAGAAACTCTGTCTCTACTAAAAATACAAAATTAGCTGGGCATGGTGGCATGTGCCTATAATCCCAGCTACTTGGAAGGCTGAGGCAGGAGAATCACTTGAACCCAGGAGGCGAAGGTTGCAGTGAGCCGAGATCATGGCACTGCACTCCAACCTGGGCGACAAGAGTGGAAAAAAAAAAAAAAAGAAAAGAAAAGAAAGAAAGAAACTCCGTCTCAAAATAAAAAAAAAAAGAAAGATAGATGTTGATATTATTTCAATTAAGTAATGGGAAAATAGATGAGGGGGCAATAAACTCTGACTTGGAGAATGTATTAGTCTATCTTCACACTGCTGATAAAGACATACCCAAGACTGGGTAATTTATAGAGAAAAAGAGGTGTAATGGACTCACAGTTCCACGTGGCTGGGGAGGCCTCATAATCACGGTGGAAGGCGAAAGGCATGTCTTACATGGTGGTAGATAAGGAGAATGAAAGCCAAGTGAAAAAGGAAACCCCTTATTAAACCATCAGATCTTGTGAGACTTTTTCACTGCCATGAGAACAGTATGAGGAAAACCACCCCATGATTCACTTATATTCCACTGGGTCCCTCCCACAACACGTGGGAATTATGGGAGCTACAATTCATGATGAGATTTGTATGAGGACACAGAGCCAAACCGTATCAGAGAGAACTGGGATATTGAAAGACAAAGTTGAATTTGGGCTGAGTGTGACACAGCAGGAAGAAAAGCCTTTCTAAGCAAAATAGTGTGGCATGAGCACAGGCATAGAGGGAAAGTCAGAGCCTTCAGTACGTGATGAATTAGTCTGGTCTGGCTCTAGGGCAGCACATTGCTAGTTAGGACTGGTGGGAAACGTAGGTTGAACTGATTTTCTAGGGGGCCTAAAATGCTCACTATGGATTTGTATTGATATTCTGGAGGCAATGAAGTGAAACTAGAAGGTTTTGGATAAATGAGAAACAAGATAAGATCTGTGATTTTGAAGAATAACTCTAGTGTCAGTGTCAATGAACTTGCAGAGAAAGATGTGCAAGGATGAAGATTAATTGGGAGAATATAGAAAGCGGTCAAGCAAAAGGTGGTAAGATTAACTAGGATCCTAATGAAGCATCAATAAAAAGCGACCTTATAAGGATTGAGTAAAGTCCACAAAATCTGGTGACCCAACTCACGTGGGTGTTCAGGGAAGACAGCAAGACAAAGGTAACTAGGTTTTAAGTTTAGGTGGCTAAGTGATAACATTCATCAAACCAGGGAGCAAGGAGAAGTCTGGGCTTGTTGATTTTGAAGCATTAGCTTGGCATCCTTTTAGAGATTAACAAATAAATACAGACATGAATGGGAGTCTTCTAATAGACATTAGGCCTGCATCAGAATCAACATGTCCAAACCTGAGCAAACATCTATTGGATGTCCAACTGGGTGTTGGAAATGCAAATCTTGGTCTCAACAGAGAGGTCAGAAATAGCTATCTGATTCATGTGAGTAGAAATGATACTGAAAGTTGTAAAGGTGTGACTTTAGTTAAGAAGAGAACATTGTGTAGCTCACAAAAAAGAATAAGGGCAGGTCCTTGGGGGCAGGAGTCAGCAAGGGAGATGGAGAAGTAAAAATAGAATTCGAAGAACTCAGGAAGAAAGTAATCAAGTCAAGAAAATAATAGATTGTATATACTGGAATCTAAGCACCAATTAAAATGCAAACACAAAACATGCTGTTAATTACTTTCTGTAAATCACTTTCTACCTGAGCAGGCCCCAGAGTGGGACAAAGATAGGGAAACTTCATGTAAACAGTGGTTGTTTGACAGAAAGACCAATGTCTGGGGGTGGGTAGGGTTTAAGAAGCAATAGACGCAGCAAAAGAGGTGTTCCCTGCAATGTGAGATCTCATACAATTGAGGGGAAGATGGGAGTGGGGAGATGCTTTTGGTGCTCACATCACATCCCTGGACCCACTTAATTAGGCAGTTGAGACTCTGAGTGAGCCAATGTTAGTTATCAGCAATGACAAATAATCAAAATAATCAATGATCCGCTGTTTCTTTCTGTCTGGACCCTGAGCAAGTTGCATCAACTCTCTGAATCTCGGTTTCCTCCCATCAAAAAGAGGTTTAATTACAGGATTCATAGCGGTGAGGATTAAATAAGATGATGCATCTGACACAACTGGGGGTTAATTAATGTTAGTTCCCTTCCGCTTTTGCTCCTCTTCATGGTTTTGTACCAGGCACGTCCAACCAATGAGTATTCCTAATGTGTCAGTGGAATGCAGTGTTTCCATGTTAGAAGAAATCTCAGGCCCCTGACAAAGGACAATTTTATCTCACCCGAAGCTGGTTCCATAAATACTTTGTTGCATAAACGAATGAATAATCACTGAATCAGTCAATCAATCCTGTTCATTTAGCTCCCCCATCCAGGACCTACACTCTTGAACCACCTCGGACTGCTTGGAAATCAGAAATTTTGGGGTCAGTTTCTCTCCATTCACTTTGAAGCTAATTCTAGCTTTGGGGGTATACAATTTAAAAAGAGTGAAAGATAGACAAAAAGGTAATTACCTACATCAGACAATTTAGAAATTAACCCATTTTTATCCCATATGGCAGCAGAGGTATTAATGACTATTTTCCAGGGTAACAGGAATAGGATGGGTTAGGGGTCAGGACTGAGAATTTTTTCAAGATTATGCCTGAATGGTCACACCATAGGGTCTATATAATCCACTGAAAAAAAAAAATCATGTATCCGAGTAATTTAAGTCAATCTGTGTACGGTGGTTAGGGAGAAGAGTTATGGGTTAGGTTGATCTATCAGTCTGATCTATATTTTATCACTGAAGGGGAAATATAAATATAGTTTTAAGAGGTATGTTCAAAGCTTATATCAGAACAATGCTTTTCTATAATGAGTGAGAGAGTTCAAAATATATGCTTTACCTCAGAAAATTGGCACATACGGGAGCTAAATGAGGAGGATTGATTGAATGATTCACTGAGTAATTCACCCTTTTAAGCAACAAAGTATTTATTGAACCATACCATGTTCCACATTATTTACCAGGAGCTAGAAAAAACTGTGGATTAGATAAACAGGATCCCTGTTTTCACAGCATGCAGTCTAGTAGGTAAGATGAGCACTGCATAAGTAACTGTAAGTAAGATCAGTTTGTTTTTTGTTTTTTTGTTTTTTTTTGTTTTGTTTTTAAGACAGAGTCTCACTCTGCTGCCAGGCTGGAGTGCAGTGGCATGATCTCGGCTCACTGCAACCTCTGCCTCCCAGGTTCAAGTGATTCTCCTGCCTCAGCCTCCCAAGTAGCTGGGACTACAGTCACGTGCCACCGCACCTGGCTAATTTTTGTATTTTTAGTAGAGACAGGGTTTCACCATGTTGGCCAGGATGGTCTCGATCTTTTGACCTCGTGATCTGCCTGCCTCGGCCTCCCAAAGTGCTGGGATTACAGGCGTGAATCACCGAGCCACCGTAAGATCAGTTTTATAAAGGCATTATAGACACACACAAGAAGAGACCCTTCACCTAGTAAGTGGGAATATAGTAACAACAATAATAATGATTAGAGATAACAGTTGTACAGTGTTTACTATGGACCAGGCACTGTTTAAAACACTTTACATATATCATTTTTAAAATGATTTTATAAATCTACTTGTCAACACTATGCAGTAAGTACTGTTGTTACCTCATTTTAACAGATGAAGAAACTGAGTCCCAGAAAGGTTCAGTAACTCGCCCAAGTTCTCATGGTCAGTATGTGGCAAAGGCAAGATTTTAATCCAGATGTGAGGCCCAAAAGTGCACGCACTTAGTAACTGGAATTTAGAAAAACAGACATAGCTAAGCAATTTAATAAATTGATCTGTTTCATCTTGTGTATTTTAGGCCAGGAAGAGACACAGAGAAATCCATTTTTAACAACCTGATTTATGAAAGCTGTTATTGACCAGCTACTTTGGCAACTATAGTTGTAATACTTTTGACTTGTGTTTTTATTGACTGCATCTAGTTTTAGTGTCTGTCTCCAACAGAAGCCTGATCAGGCCCTAACTAGTGTGTACCTTCATAATTCACATGGCCTGTGTTTGTGCTCATAGGAACAAGAACAGCAAGAACAGTAGCTGTTGCTCAGAACACAAAAGAGAAGATAAGCCCAAAAGATAGACTGTGTGAACTGAACAGGCTTCTTCACAGCCTTTCCCACACTTGCTGGTATCACAGAGGTGATGCAACCTGAGGCTCAAGCATGATATCAATGCCCAACTGATGCTGCATGAAGTAACACTCACTCTTCTGTGGATACTGGAACAGATGCTTTTGGTGCTCACATTACATCCCTGGACCCCCTTCTGAATCCTGTGCAGTTGTGTGGACAGTTCCATGTAGGCTTTTTGCTCTTCTGCCTCAGGGCTTTCATCAAAGTCAGGGCAGCCTAGTCAGCTCAGAAAGCGAGTGTGGGGGAGCTTTGCAGTGAAAGCTAAGCTACCAGGGGCAACTCTCAACCCATGACGGGTGGAGCTACAACATTATTTTAGTCTGCACAGTTAAGTCACAAAAGGTGAAGCATAAAGACAGAAAGGCAAATATTAGGACAAAACACATAATCATCCAAAATTTGGATGGTGCCAGGGAAAGGAATGAGAAATGGAACAATATGTATTTTGTCATTGCTTATAGTAAGGAATTAACAGTCTTTCAAAAGAAATACAGGATTAAGGACATTGTATAATGTCAATCATACAGAACAAATATGAAAACCTTTTAAGTCATAAGAATTAAGATAGCCACAAAGCAAAGAAAATACAGATCTTATAGAAAACCATACAAAGTAAGAATAAAAACTGAGATGAAGGTGGTGTAAAATATTACATACTTCTAAGATCAAACATTATTTTCACATTAATAAATGTATTAATGGACAAATTTGCCTATTCAAAATCCCAAAAAAAGATTTTTTTTTTTGGAAATTGTAAAGCTAAATTTAATTGTAGGCTTTATACAACAGATACTTAAAACAAAAAAACAAAATAAGAAAAGTTGTAAATTAAATTATGGGAAAATGCATGTGAGAAAAATGCAAGCAAACAATTAGGAAAGCAGGGGTTACAACCTTAGTATTAGAAAAAGTAAATAGGAACTGCGCACGGTGGCTCACGCCTATAATCCCAGCACTTTGGGAGGCCGAGGCGGGTGGATCACGAGGTCAGGAGTTTGAGACCATCCTGGCTAACACAATGAAACCCCGTCTCTATTAAAATACAAAAATTAGCCAGGCATGGTGGCAGGCACCTGTAGTCCCAGCTACTCGGGTGGCTGAGGCAGGAGAATGGTGTGAACCCGGGAGGCAAGCTTACAGTGAGCCGAGATCACACCACTGCACTCCAGCTTGGGCGACAGAGTGAGACTCCGTCTCAAAAAAAAAGAAAAAGAAAAATAAGTAGGGGGAAAAAAAGGCATTTGATGATACAATTATAGTCAACTTAGATTGGTAAAGAATGAAATTTACGATAGTGTTTAATAATTAGGAATAGCCATATACCAAATAATGTAGTATTAATAATCATAAAGTAAATAGCACAGGAAACACAAAGAAAAAAGAATCATACTATGAGAAAAAGACTTAGCCTGTTCTCAGACTGTTACGCAGTCCCCGGTATTGCCATAAATACCGGGGACTGCGTAATTTATAAAGAAAAGAGGTTTCATTGGCTCATTCCATAGGCTATATAGGAAACATAGTGGCTTCTGCTCCTGGAGAGGCCTTAGGGAGCTTTTACTCATGACAGAAGGCAAAGTAGGAGCAGGCACACCTCACATGATGGGAGCAGCAGGAAGAGAGAGAGGAGGGAGGTACTACCTACTTTTAAACAACCAGATCTTGTGAGAACTCAATAATTCACTATCACAAGAACAACACCAAGGGATGATGCTAAACCATTCACGAAGAATCCACTCCATGAATCCAATCACCTCCTACTAGGCCCCTCCTCCAACACTGAGGATTACAATTCGACATGATATTTGGGCAGGGACACAGATCCAAACCACATCATTCTGCCCCTGGCCCCTCCCACATTTCATGTCCTTCCCTGATTGCAAAATACAATCATGCCTTCCCAACAGTTTCCCAAAGTCTAACTCATTCCAGCACAATAACAACACCGAGAGATGATGCTAAACCATTCACGAAGAATCCACTCCATGAATCCAATCACCTCCTACTAGGCCCCTCCTCCAACACTGAGGATTACAATTCGACATGATATTTGGGCAGGGACACAGATCCAAACCACATCATTCTGCCCCTGGCCCCTCTCAAATTTCACCTCCTTCCCTGATTGCAAAATACAATCATGCCTTCCCAACAGTCCCCCAAAGTCTTAACTCGTTCCAGCACAGACTCACAAGTCCACAGTTTAAAGTCTCATCTGAGACAAGGCTAGTCCCTTCTGCCTATGAGCCTGTAAAATAAAAAATAAGTTACTCCCAAGATGCAATGGAGGCATAAGCATTGGGTAAATACTTCTGTTTCAAAAGGGAGAAATTGACCAAAATACAGGTGCTACAGGCCCCATGCAAGTGCTAAACCCAGCAGGGCAGTCATTAAATCTTAAAGCTCCAAAATAATCTCCTTTAGCTTCATGTCCCACATCCAGGGCACTCTGATGCAAGGGTAGGCTCCCAAGGCCTTGGGCAGCTCTGCCACCATGGCTTTGCAGGGTTCAGCCCCCACAGGTGCTCTCAAGGGCTGGCATTGTGTGTCTGCAACTTTTTCAGGCACAGGGTGCAAGCTGCCAGTTATTCTACCATTCTGGGGTCTGGAGACGGTGGCCCTCTTCTCACAGTTCCACTAAGCACTTTCCTTGTAGACGTTCTCCATGAGGGCTCCACCCCTGCAGCAGACTTCTGCCTGGACATCCAGGCATTTCCATACATCCTCTGAAATCTAGATGAAGGCTCCCAAGCCTCAACTTTTGCACTCTATGCACCCACAGGCTTAATACCACATGGAAGCCACCAAGGTTTATGGATTGCACCCTGTGAAGCAGTGGCCCAAACTGTATCTGGGCCCCTTTGGGCCATGGCTGAAGTGACTAGGATGCAGAGAGCAGTGTCCTGAGGCTGCACAGGGAGGCAGGGCCTGGGCCTGGTCCACAAAATGTCAAATGCCTTTGAGACCTTTTCCCCATTTTTTGGCTATTAGCACTTAGCTTCTTCTTTTTACTTATGCAAATTTCTGCAGCCTATTTGAATTCCTCAACTGAAAATGGGCTTTTCTTTTCTATCACATAGCCAGGCTGCACATTTTCCAAACTTTTAAGCTCTGCTTCCCTTTTAAATATAAGTTCCAGTTTTAGGTTATTTATTTGCTCACGCATATGAGCATAGGTTGTTAGAGACAGCCAGGCCATATCTTGAATGCTTTGCTGCTTAGAAATTTCTTCTGACAAGTTCCCTAAATCATTCCTCTCAAAAGTTCCACAGATCCCTAGAGCAGGGACACAATACAGCTAGGCTGTTTACTAAAGCATAGCAAAAGTGACCTTTACTCCAGCTCCCAATAAGTTTCTCATTTCCATCTAAGACTTCCTCATCCTGAACTTCATTGTCCATATCACTTTCAGCACCTTGGTCACAACCATTCAACAAGTCTCTAAGAAGTTCCAAACTTTCCCTCATCTCCTTGTCTTCTTCTGAACTCTTCACAATTTTCCAACTTCTACCCATTACCCAGTTGCAAACTTGCTTCATTTTCAGGTATTTTTATGGCAATGCTCCACTCCTCAGTATGAATTTTCTGTATTAGTTCCTTCTCATGTTGCTATAAAGAAATACCAGAGACTGGGTAATTTACAAAGAAAAGAGGTTTAATTGGCTCACAGTTGCACAGCCTGTATAGGAAAGAGGCCCCAGGAAGCAAAGCAGAAGCTTTGGCAGAAGGCAAAGCAGGAGCAGGCACGTCCCACATGGTGGAAGCAGAAGAAAGAGGTGGGGGGGATGCTACTCACTTTTAAACAACCAGATCTTGTGATAACTCGATAACTCACTCACTCACTATCAACACTAAGAGGATGATGCTAAACTATTCATGAAGGATCCACTCCATGAATCCAGTCACCTCCCACCAGGCCCCACCTCCAACACTGACGATTACAAATTTACACGATATTTGGGTGGACACACAGATCTAAACCATATCACTATCATTTTATAGGTTTTTTTTTTTTTTTTTCTGAGACGGAGTCTCGCTCTTTCACCCAGGCTGGAGTGCAGTGGCGCGATCTCAGCTCACTGCAAACTCTGCCTCCCAGGTTCACGCCATTCTCCTACCTCAGCCTCCCGAGTAGCTGGGACTACAGGCGCCCGCCACCACGCCCAGCTAATTTTTTATATTTTTAGTAGAGACAGGGTTTCACCGTGTTAGCCAGGATGGTCTCCATCTCCTGACCTCATGATCCGCCCGCCTCGGCCTCCCAAAGTGCTCGGATTACAGGCGTGAGCCACCGTGCCTGGCCCATTTTATGTTTAATCAAGTTTTGAAAATAAGAATGTAGGAGACCTAAATAATATAATTAACAAGGCTCTTCTACTTGATTTTCTACTCTGAAGGCAGAACATATTTTCAGGTAACCATGGAACTATCACAAATCTTGGCCACAAAAAAAATTGCCAAATCCTAAAAATCAATAACAATAAAGGTAACAATCTCAGACCTATGTATTGCACTAAAATTAATGTAGTAGAAGTTTAAAAATAAACAAAAATACCATGCTACCTCTAAATTAGAAGAATCTTTTTTAAAAATACTCTTGGGTCAAAGACTCAAATACGTATTAGCACTATGGATTTGGTTAGAGAGGTTCTTGGAAGAAAATACCTAACATGAAAGTCTTACATCAATAAACAAGAAATAATACAATAAAACAAGAAATAATATCAATAAAACAAGAAATAATACAAATAGATGAGTTAAACATTCAGATTAAAAAGATGGGGAAAAACCCACAACAAATCTAATAAAAGTAGACATAATTAATGAGATAAATATAAAAATATATATTAAAAATAATGAAATAACACAATTACAAAATTTGTAAGCAAATTTCTGAGTTATTTTCTTGAAGTGTGTAAAATTTCAATCCATTAGCTAACCTAATTATGAAAAAAGACAATGTAAAACTACTTAAACAAAAAATTACAATATGAGAAGTTCCCAAAAGCATATTGAAAGAAACTGAAGACATAACTTAGCTCAATACTTTGCAAGTAACTTTGAAGATGTTAATGGAATAATGACCATTCAAAATTATCACGTTCTAATCCCTCAGATTTGTAAATGTTGCCCTATTTGGGACAAGTGTCTTTACAGATGTGATTAAGCTAAAGATTTTGAGATGAGATTACCCCATATTATCCAGATGGCCCCTAAATGCAATGACAAGTGTCCTTTTAAAAAAGAAACAGAAGAAGGCAATATGACCATAGAAGAACAGACTAGACTTATGTGGCCACAAGCCAAGAAACACCTAGAGCCACCAGAAGCTGGAAGAAGTACAGTACGGAACCTCCCCTAGATTCTTCAAACAGAGCAGGTTTAGGCTGACACCATGGTTTCAGAACTCTGGCCTCCAGAACTGTGAGACAGTGAATTTCTATTGTTTTAAGTCTTCTAGTTGGTGGCAATTTGTTACAGCAGCCCAGGAAATTAGTAACAGAATAAAATATATGAATCTTAAGTGCACAATTCTCCACATATTTTTAATTTAAAGTGTTGTATCTATCACTTCCATTTCCTTTTTTCCGTGTTAACTCCTGTCCCCATAGTCTCACCTTCTAGCCCCAATTTATAGCACATGCAAAGGCCCTGGGGCAAGAAAGAAAGTAGCCTGTTCAAGAAACTTGAAGAAGACCAGTGTCTCCAGAGCATGGTAAACAGGGTAGTGGGTGGCACCTGATAAAGGTTTTTCCTGACAAAAGACAATTCCCAGTGTAAGACGAATTCTGGTACCAGATATTAAGCTAATGTGTACTAATTCATCTATGCACTGTTTATCTGATGTTGTTGCTCAAGGTCTGGGTGAGTTACACAATGAAACAATTAGAGGACAGCTTAAAAATGAAAACAGTAAGGCCAAATTAGTGAAGCAGAAAGATCTCCTTTATAACAAGAGTAGCTACATTGACTTCAAATGCTTCAACCCAGGAATGGATTTAAACAAACACGTACGACACATTAAAGATTGGTGCCACAAATGTGCTGTTTCATAAACAGTGGCAGTTACTTCAACATCTCAACCTACTCGGTATGTTCAAATAAAATGAAAGGACTTAGAGCAAATGATTGCTTCTGCTTATTTTTATTTCATTGTTTGGCTGTTTGCATTACTATACACTCAATATTTTTCTCATGGATTATCAAAAGAAATCAGAAACAGCTGCTGCTGGCTGCAAGATTATTTGTTTGAAGTACCATGTCACTCCTCTTAAAACACACACACACACTAACACTAGCACTGAACCACGGTCAAGTAGGCAGTGATGAAAAATATTCAATCAGAAATAATGTGCATCCCTCCCTCCCTCTGACTCCAAGATAAATATATCAAGTCTGTAAAGAGCAAAGAACTGACCATTGTTTTCATCCCCTTCTTTTCTATCTCCTTAAAAATCATGGATACTTTTGTTTTAGTTTGAGATTTTTGTTGAATCTGCAAGTGCATCAAGTCTACTTCCAGATTAAATCCCCATTATCATTTTTTAGTGTTTTCATCTGCTTTTGTGGGTTAGCACTATCTTGCTAGCAGTTACTTAATGAGGTACATGGTAATATATTTGGTACAGACTACTTTGCCTACGTAACTACTCAGGTGTAACTGTTTTCCTCGTCTAATAAGAACTTCTACTCTTCAGATCCAGGCATTTCAGATCAATGTTGTCTTCTGTTTTCCAGAAAGCTAACATATAATTCAAGGAATCTCTGTTATTTATTTATTATAATACTCTTATCATTTGGAGGTGTATTTGGAAAACTACATCTCTTTCCCTTTGGTACAGCTTGGTTTAGATTACAGAAGTATGTGGGAGCATGAGAAAAACAACCCCATTAGAAAGTGGGCAAAGGGCATGAACAGACATTTCTCAAAAGAAGACATACATGTGGCCAACAAGCATAGGAATAAAGCTCAATATCACTGATCATTAGAGAAATGCAAATCAAAACCACAATGAGATACCATCTCTCACCAGTCGGAATAGCTCTTATTAAGAAGTCAAAAAATAACAGATGCTGGAAAGGTAGTGGAGAAAATGGAACACTTATACACAGTTGGTGGGAGTGTAAATTGGTTCAACCATTGTGGAAAACAGTATGGTGATTCCTCAAAGAGATAGAAGCAGAACTGCCATTCAACCTAGCAATCCCATTACTTGATATGTGCCCAGAGGAATATAAATTGTTCTACCATAAAGACACATGCATGTGAATGTTCACTGCAGCACTATTCATGATAGCAAAGATATGGAATCCACCTAAATGCCCATCAATGACAGATTGGATTAAAAAATGTGGCACATATACACCATGGAATATTATGCACCCATAAAAGAGAACGAGATCATATCTTTTGCTGGAACATGAATGGAGCTGGAGGCTATTATCCTTAGCAAACTAACACAAGAACACAAAACCAAAACTGCATGTTCTCACTTATAAGTGGGAGCTAAATGATAAGAACTCATGGACACAAAAAAGGAAACAACAGACACTCAGATCTACTTGAGAGGGGAGGGTGGAGGAGGGGGAGCAGCAGAAAAGATACTATTGGGTACTAGGCTTAACACCTGAGTGATGAAATAATCTGTATAAAAAACCCCCAGGACATATGTTGACCTATGTAACACACCTTTATATGCACCCTCAAACCTAAAATAAAAGTTAAAAAAAGGAATTTACTATAGTTAAATTATATAGCATGTTTCACACAACCTTCATCTTCATCTCCTTGCTTCTAATTTTTTTTTTTTTTTTTTTTTGAGACGGAGTCTTGCTCTGTCGCCCAGGCTGGAGTGCAGTGGTGCAATCTCAGCTCACTGCAAGCTCCACCCCTGGGTTCATGCCATTCTTCTGCCTCAGCCTCCCAAGTAGCTGGGACTACAGGCACATGCAGCCATGCCCGACTAATTTTTTTTTTTTTTTTTGTATTTTCAGTAGAGACGGGGGTTTCACCGTGTTAGCCAGGATGGTGTCGATCTCCTGACCTCATGATCTGCCTGCCTTGGCCTCCCAAAGTGCTGGGATTACAGGCGTGAGCCACTGCACCCAGCCTACTTCTGATATAATTTTGTGAGGAGTTGGGGAGGCATTATTTTCACATTTGACAAATGAGAAGTGTGAATTGACAAACGCTGAAGTGGGTGGGGAGAGCCTGGAGAATTGGGTGGCCTCAATCCTCACCTGGGCCTTTCCCCATGAATCATGAACCGCTGCCTTCAGTTCTCACATCAACTGCCTAGGGAAATATGACTATGTTCATTCCGCCTCTATGAGAAACTGTTCAGGAGGCACAAGGCAAGTGACTCCCTTCACAAGTGAGGGACTCTTCAATAAGAAAAGATATATATGATAAAAGTCACATCTCATTTAAGTATTCATGGATGCTTTGCATGTTCAAGGAGGTTTTCCAGGCACTGGGAATGGAGTAAAGAGTAAACAGGTGCAATTTCAGGCCTGAAAGAAATCAGAAGCTTGTAGGAAAATAGGCAATGAATTCAAAATTATACCAATAATCACATAATGAAAAGTATTTGGGGATTCTTTCAAAGACAGGCACAGATTTTATGAGGCCCAGATTTTACGAGTAAGTATCTGAAATCAAATCTACGTCACCAGGGGAAAACTCCTTGAAGATATGATATTTAATTTGAAACCTGAAGGCCAGCAAGTTGGAATAGGGCATTTTAGACAGCACATGTAAAAGCTCTGCAAGAAAGAAAGTGGCACTTTGAAAATGCTGGAGGAAGATCAGTATGTTGACAGCATGGTCAACAGGGGTGTAGGTCATGCCTACCTTCAGAGCTAGTCCCAGGCCAGTTCATAGAGCCTTGTGGGTTTGCTAAAAATTTTGGATATTTCCAAAGTGAAATGGGAAGGTACTAAACAGTTTTATGTAGAGGATTAATATGCTCTAACTTCTCATAGTAAACAGTCACTTTAGCTGCTCATTATAGAGAAGGATAAAAGTTGAAAGAAGAATTAGGGAGCTCAAACTAGAAATGTAATAGATAACTGGTTGATATGGTTTGGGTCTGTGTCCCCATCCAAATCTCACCTTGAATTGTAATAATCCCCAGGTGTCAAGGGCTGGACCAGGTGGAGATAATTGAACCATGGGGGTGGTTCCCCCATACTGCTCTCGTGATAGTGAGTGAGTTCTCACGAGATCTGATGGTTTTGTAAGGGGCTTTCCCGTTTGCTGGGCACTCATTCTCTCTCCTGCCACCCTGTGAAGAGGTGTCTTCTGCTATGATTATAAGTTTCTTGAGACCTCCCCAGCCATGTGGAACTGAGACAATTAGACAACTTTTTTCTTTATAAATCACCCAGTCTTGGGCAGTTATTTATAGCAGCGTGAGAAGAGACCAACATACTGGTAGATTCTTTCTTCTTTTTCCTGGATGACTTAATCTTATTTTGCTAACTTTCATAATCTGAGATCTCAGATACCTTGCCACATAAATAGCTATTTTATTCTTTATCTGAAGTTGATTTCTTATTAATGTTATTACTCTAGAAAGTGTAAGCACCTTCCTTATATATGTGATTTATGCAGAGACATTTTGGTTATTAGAGATGATATTAGGAAAATATCCATTTTCCAGGATTTTTGGTTAACAAATGCAATGTAGGACTCACATTTTTGTAGGGTTCACAATTACCTCCACCACATTTCTCAAGAGACTCTCTGGTAACTTTCATTCCAGATCAGTGACAAAGATGACAGAAATTTTTGCTATTGTAGCTCATTTACACACAAGATGAAACAAGCGGGACAGATGTTCCTAAAAAGAATGAAGTGCAATTTAAGAAAATAACTCTCTTTGAACTTTGAAAATGACATGGAGGAAATTTGGATTCTGATTTCAAGAGGTAGAATTTGTGAAGAGTAATGATTTTACAACATCCCACCCCACTCCCTTCTTCCTGGTTGAACTGATGGATGCTCCAACCTACAGCATTTGTACTGATTCTACATTGATCTTTTTCTGCATTGGGCCTGACTTAAGGGAATCTGACAGCACTGGGCCAAAAAACCAGTAACATTTATTAGGCCCTTGGTTACTGAACAAGCACAGAGACAAAGAAAAACTTAACTGAAGATTGTGTTTATACATTTGACACGTGTCAGGTAAGATATTTGGTTCACATGCAATAAAAATGAAATGTAGATTTCTCTGGAACTCGTGACTTACAGGACTTACTCAAATGGGCATTAAAAAGGTGCAACATGACTGCTTTTCTCTATAAAGGAAGGATATTTAAATTGAGACAGTGGAGAAATGCACATTATACAGGTACATCTTCCGTCTAGAAAAGAATTCTTGCCTTTTTTCTTTTATTGGCACAGACAGAGAAGAGAAGAGAAGCGGTGTGTCCATTTGTTTGCTTTCCAAATGTTTAAATGTCACTCAAGAGAAAGTTTTTCCCATATTTCTATGAGACTCGTCTTATCACCAGAATTCAAGTCTACAATCTCTTATACACAATTCCAAAATTGAAAATTCTGAAACTGTAAATGTTTTTGCAATTTTGGCTCCAAAGCTCTTTGAGTGGCAAAATCTGCCTTAATCTGATGTGAGGCTATTTATAGACTTTATTCTACTAAGAATATTTATTTCACTGTATAAATTTTAATATATTTATTGTGTGGTGCACCCTCAGGCCTGTATATGCAGAATATTTAGAATATACACTGTATTTCCTTTCTAACATCTAAAATATTTTGAATTTTCATCTAAGAGTTTTGGATAAAGGAATGTGAACCTATGCCACAGAGAAAAGAAAATTCAGTTCATTGAGCCTGATTACCTCCAAGCTCCTATCACTGTGGGCAAGGGTTGAAAGACTTGTCATATTGGGAAATGAAGTCCTTGTCCAAATGACCCGATGAATCACTTCCTTCCTTTTTGGCCAGTCTGGTCTGTTCATGGGTCACCGAAGACAAGAGTCAAAGAATCACTGTGTTTTAGAACAGACGTGCTGATCTAAATTTTAGATTCTAAAATATGCTCTGTTGACTAAGCTGCATTGCCTGGTAACAAAGACAATCACAATGAGGATTCATTCATTCCATAAATATTTACTGAGCACCTATTATGAAATGTCAAACATGTTGTAACAGAAAAAGAACCTAGATACAACTCAGGAGCCCTGGGTTCAAATTGGTTTAGCCATCTAACTCCTGTATAAAGTTTGGCAAGTCATTTAACTTCTCTTTCTCTCTAGATATTTATGATAATTAAATTTAATAATATACTCAAAAGATTTGTACATTTTATTGAGCTTCTGTGCTAAATGCCTTATATGTACCATATAAAGAATTATTATGTGCAGAGAATAAGATTGGTGGGCATACTAGGATGGGTAAAACACCCACTCTCAAAGAGCAAACTGATAGAGGAGTAACATATGCACCTACAGAACTATGCCAGGCTTTTATTTTTTTTTTTAATCACTGATAGGCAGCACCAAAATAATTTTGGAAGATAAGCTGCTCTAAGTCCTTGCAAGAAAAATATGGACGGGGGAAGGGAGAAAGAAGCATCTGAAAGGAATTTCATCTAAAACAGCTGCCTTGCTAAGTCCCTGTTTCAAATTGCCTGTTAGCTGATCTGACTTAAGACTTTTTTTTGTAATCAAGAAACAAAATCTGTGGGGTTTGCTAGTTCAATTCATTTGCACATTTCTCACAGCTACATATGGCAGGACTGGAATGATCAAATTTCCTTCAGCTTTATCATAAATCAGAGAGATTCCAATGTGTCCTTCACAGCTTTAAGTTTTCAAAACCATCACGACTAATGAAATATTTATTCTGAGACCTACAGCCACTTGCATGGAGTCACGTTCCTTAGAGGAGAGACTTTGACAAAAAGCCCATCAAAAAAGCAGCTGGGGGCCCCCGACCCTGGCCGCACTACCATTCTCCACTTTTGGCCTTTGCATCTGCCACCTTCAGGTTACCAAATGGCATCTCTCATAAACTGTAAGCACAGGCATTTTGCTCAACCCGACAGCTTTCAGTTGGAAACTAATCAAACTTTAAGGATTCGACTTAAGAGCAGGAAAAGGCTTTCTCAAGGTTTTATTACTTTGTAAAATGTATTAGGTTACAAATCAAGTTAATTTTAAAAGAGAACCTAGTTATTTTTTACTAGATGGTTTAAAAGTTTTCACTGTTATATAAAGCCAAACAACCAAAATCAGATAAATTTCCCTACAAATTGGCTGTTGGCCAAGTGTTTGCAGAAAAACTAGGATGAACCCATTTGCTGCAACAGCAACAATGACGCAAATGATGAAGAGGCTGGGCTGACACAGAAATGTAGTCCTTCCTCGTTGAGATTGTTGACCGAACATAGAAAAGCATTTACAAACAACCTAGGGAGATTTCTACCATGCTCCTTTGCAATGTTTCTTTGCTATTCTTCCCATCAAGAAGTGAAATCCATTTCTCCTTCTCTTATCTGATCTGTCTATATGGCCAGCTTTCACCAACAGAATGGGACAAGAGTGGCAGTGCCAGTTCTGGCCAGGTTTTAAGGGTTCTTACAACTTTTGCTTTTGCTCTCTTGCAACACCGACTGAGACTGCCATGTAAAGGGAGCTGGCCCAGCCCCCCTGAGGACAAGAGCCCATTGCAAAGAGAGCCTATGTGCCCCAGCCAGCAAGACGAGTGAAGCCATCTTGTTCCTTCTGGCCAGGATAACATTCTAGCTAAATGCAACCATACAGGTAAGCCCAGGTGAAACCAGCAGAAAAGTCAGCCAATCACCTCACAACATTATGAGAAATAAATTATTGTGGTTTATGCTTCTATGTTTTAGGGACACCTGCATTCTGGTTTTGACCTTGCCACGAATTAGTTGTTGACAAGGTATTTGATTCTATGTACTTTATCTCACATCTCAAAGGTGGAAACGTGAACTACATAAAAACTAATGTCCCTTCTTGTTTCTGTGTTATGGAAACTTGCCCCAAATCTGCAAACTTCAATCCATCCTTGATAGCAGAAAGCTGTAAAGGTTCACTAAGAATAACCAGGTTGGGAGCAGTGGCTCACGCTTGTAATCCCAGCATTTTGGGAGGCTGAGGTGGGTGGATCACGAGGTTAGGAGTTCAAGACTAGCCTGGCCAAGATGGTGAAACCCCATCTCCACTAAAAAAAAATAAAAATAAAAAAAATTAGCTGGGCATGGTGGCAGGCACCTGTAATCCCAGCTACTCTGGAACTCCAGAGGCTGAGGGAGGAGAATCGCTTGAACCCAGGCGGCAGAGGTTGCAGTGTGCTGAGATCGCACCACTGCACTCCAGCTTGGGTGGCAGAGTGAGAATCCGTCTCAAAAAAAATAAAAGAGAGAGAGAGAATAACCAGCAAGAAAAATCTTAGATAATGGTGGCTCCTGTTGTGGTGGGATAACAAGCATCTCAAAAAACATGCTGGCAAACACATAAAGTAATTGTTACATGCATCATTGAAATGTAAATTAGAAATTCGTGCTTTTGGGAAAAGTAAAGGGCTTGGGTAGATAAAGTATAGAAGAAATAGATTCTGTTTGAACAAGAATTGTTCTGCTTTGTTTTCTATCATTGTGGTTGAAGAGCATTTTGCAAATGAGTGTGGGTAGTTGGCTGTTACCATGGGTCAGGTGCATACAGTACGCACAAGTCAACTGTCAGGAGCCAAAATGAGTCCATCTGCTCCCTTTAAAAATCTTATCCAGTTATTCATTCCTGCTTTTTTATGCACCAACAACATTATCTCTTGCATATACTCTGCATAATTGGTGATTTCTGATTGCCTGCTGAAATTCTATCTTGATGCTGGTCGTAATCATTGCCTGATGGGAACATTTCATTCTTCAGCATGTGTAGTCATAATTATTTTAGATTCCTATGTAAAGTTAATCCACCCTGAAGGGGAATCCCTGGATGTCACCACAGAGGTAACATCTAACATTTCTGCTATTTTACTTTGTCTGATCTTTGTTGAATAAGTAATCATCTTCTGTTTACAAAACTAGCCTAGTAAAATTGAAAGTATTATGTGAAGCATAATGTGTGTCTTTGGCAGATAAATACACCTAGTTATTGATATGTGCTGAATATCGTTATTAAAAAAATAGAGTTACACTGAATGAATGAAATATGCACTGGGTAATGTATTTCATTCTTTCTTAAATTGCCTAGAAAGGCTAAGTTAAACAAGGAAGTATTAGCAGTTGCCTTCCTTGGTACTTTCCTCAGATTTTTCTTACCTGCCGTGACTGTTACCAAGTAATGCTGAATGGAAAATCTGTGACACTTTCTATAATAAGACAATTTTGACACCAACATAACATATAAACTCAAAGATATTTCTAGTCTCAAATACCTGCTGCTATGGCAACTTCCAAAGAACTCACTTTTCAAAATATTTGGATATACTGAGAGCATGTTAAAAATTTATTGACTTTTCCAAAACTCTCTGATTTGAATTAAGACCTATTTTTATCTACCTGTTAAAAATTATTTCTGTTCATTATAATTTTTGTCAACTAGTTTTAGAGGTTAAACCCTAGGAGATAAGAAACCAAATAGATCAGGATTTCAAGAAGTAAAACATGAAATGATTGAAAATTACAGGTATATTGATGTATGTATGATGTTTGTATGTATTCTGATGCAATTAAGGCCAGCGTTGTTTGGTGTTCTCTGTTGGAAGTCATGCCCAATGGATGTAAACTGTAGGATACTATATTACGGTTTTTGGGTTTTTTTTTTTTTTTTTTGAAGATTAAATATTGATCCTGTGGCTTTCTCTCAGCAAATATAGGCCAGTTTTGGGAAGTAACAACAGGTGTAGAAATTACAAGGGAATACTCTGTTCACATCTGCACATCATCACGTTTGAATGGTGTTGGGCAGTATTAATTGCTGGAACGAACGGTCTGTTTTGCTGCAGTTCAAATGTTCATCTTTGTTGAATAAAACTTGGTCTTCAAGGAAAGCCTGGCCTCTCAGGACATTTATATTTCCATTATACTAATTGGAGGTCAGTATAAACCTGACAACAAAATGAAAAGTGCAAAATCCACAAGTGAGCTCAAACTCACAGGGCAGATTCTGGGCTCAGCTACCCCATTCTTCATTCTATATATCTGGCTAAAACTCTTAGAGCCAGAGCTTTGTGAAACAAATAAATTGAAAGTCTGAAGTGACCTACAACATCATCTATTCCAATCCTTTCATTTTAGAGATGAGTTGAGGCTGAGATGGTAAAGAACTTGCCTAAGATCACATGTCTAGTTTGAATGCGTGCTAGTACTAGAATCCCAATCTCTAGGGCCTGCTTTTCTCATTTACCAAATGAGGTTGGATTGGATATACTCAAAGGTCCAGCTTTATTCTTGTATATTGTCTCCAAATACAGTAAGTACTGGAAGAGACCAAGGAGCTGAATATCTATGGTACCTCTGCTCCATCTCAAGGGACATTTCTATCCAAGGAGAGGTGGGAAGAAAGAGAAAATTCAAAGTGCACATTTTGTCCTGGAAACTCCTTTTGTAACCCACTACTGATGTAGTCAGTGCTAGCGGGCTCATCCTGAATATTCATGAGATTAACTCATTAAAATATAACCCTAGCTTCTTAGGAAGAAAAGCCAAAAAAGCCCTCATTAAAATTGCATTTCTATTCATGCAAATGTCTGGTTTTGCTTCAAAAACCGGCCAGTCCATGCTGGGTGTAAAGTTTGCATCGTGGTTGCATGATGGATCATGGATGAGTGAACAAAATTCAGCTCTCAAATGTTTTTGACCAGAGTTGAAAGTTAGAATGTATCGGGTAATATGGTACAAACATTCCCCCCCAACCCCATGTCCATTCCACCCTTTTTAGTAATAGAATCTCTAATTTTTAAATAGGCATTCAGCCTCTCAGAATATAGGCTTTAATTTCCTATCTTCCTTTCAGTTAGTTACAGCCATATGACTAACATGACTAAGCTTCTCAGGATTTCTCAACATTGCCACTATTGACATTTTGGGATGAATAATTCTTAGTTGTGCAGGGGCTGTTCTGTGCCTTGTGAAAATTTTAGCACCGTCCCTGGCCTCTTCCCATCAGATGCCGGTAGTCTCCACTGCCTCCCACCCCCCATCCCAGTTGTGACAACCAAAAATGTCTGGAGACATGGTCAAATATCAGCTAAGGGACAAAATGTACCCCAGTTGAGGACCACTGAGTTAAAGGAATGTAAGTGAAAGCATCCTATTCCATTTCTAAGGAGTATCTTTAAATGGGATGTTCTGTGTGACTTCATCTTTCCTGCTGTGATGGCTGGAGCTTGAGCAGCTATTTAGGACAAACATGAGGCAGTGCATTATTAAAGACAGAAGTGGAACACGATATAAGAAGAGAGGTTCCCTATGATCGGTGGAGCCACCCTATAGCCATAGGTCTGCACACCTCTAGACATTTTACATAAGAGCAACATAAACTTCTTTCTCCTTTATTTCCTTGTTATGTTGCGTTCTCTAATAAGGAAACGGTTTTCTCCACCTTATTTTCAACCCCTTTCTGGTTTTCTAGAACACAGTTATGTAAAGAGGGAAATATTTATAATCACAATTCAGAAGCAATTGACTGGTCATTAAAGAATCTAAATTTAAAGATCCCTCCTTCCTCACATAAA
Organism: Homo sapiens; assembly: GCF_000001405.40. Lineage (NCBI taxonomy): Eukaryota > Metazoa > Chordata > Mammalia > Primates > Hominidae > Homo > Homo sapiens. The sequence goes on from NC_000002.12 coordinate 150,592,747, forward strand.
TTTTTTGATAAGCCAAATTCAAGGTATACAAACATAGATCAGTGGCTTACAAACTTAGCTATACATTAGAATCATCTGGAGAGCTTTTAAAAAATCCTCATGTCCAAGCTGCACCCCAGACAACTTCCAGCAGAATTTCTGGGAGTGGGACTCAGGCATCAGTGCTGTTTGCAGTGCTGTTTGGGTAATTCCTGTATGTGCAGCCACATTTGAGCACTGCTTGTGTAGAGTATTTTTCTTCAAGTTCTGCTTGCAGTTAATTAACCTTGGCTGCTTTTATTTGCCTTGTAAAGGTAAGGCATATGTTACATCATGCACTGGAAATATTCTACAAAATATTATGTTTTTGCTTCTGGAGATACTCACATATTAGGTGCAAATGGTTAGAGTGGGCCAGATGTAATTTTGTACGTCAGCAAAATCTGCCTGCGGAAATATTTTGATATCTCATGTTGCTGAAAATAATTGAGCTCATTAAATGGTAAGTTCCATCCCCACTGTTCTCTCAACACACACACACACACACACACACACACACACACTTTAACATAATCAGTAAAGGCCGATGAACTTGGGAGAAAGTAGTTTTGCTCTGATGGTTAAAAGTTAATAGAATGAAGCCTTCTATAGGTGGATGTGCGGCTGCTATTGTGCTCAGATGAATTTTGAAACCAAATTAGATTCATTTTAATTTTCCTCAGAAGAATAAGCAAAACAACTGTTAGGTTGGTGCAAAATGAACTGCAGTTTTTGCCATTACTTTAATGTAAATGCAGACCTAGTGTCATCCGTGGCACAGTTGTGCAATAAGAAGAATTTTCAATATCATCACCAACTCCATCTGTTTCAATGAAGACAATCTTGATTAGGGATCAGGAGGACAAATGACAATTTGTGCTGTTCTTATTTCCTTTTTGTCCATTATCTTCAGAGAATATTTTATTCAATGTCTACTCTTAAAAGGTTCTTAATGAAGCTGCAATATATGCATGATCTGAGAAATATTACAACAGGCTGTCATCACAGAAACCATTCCCCAATAATGGGGTTTCTCTTAATGCTAAAGGAGGTGAAAAGAGGGAAGAAAGAAGAAAAGAGAACAAACCTGCATTGCATTTCTACAATAAGTCAGTCACTGCAGTAGGCAAGTTATCTGTATTATCTCTAAACAGTAATTTAAAAACATAATAACACATCAAGGTACCGTAACTGAGAGTTACAGTAAGTTAGAGGTGAAATAAACTTGAAAGATCATCTACAGGTTAGAAAACTGATTACTTACCTGGGCTCACTTTGCTGCCTGGGAGAAAACTGGATGCAAAATGATGATCTCCTAGCTCAAGGTGGGCGTTCTCATTTCCTGCCTCTGTCCCTACCCAACTCATTATTTACAGAATCTAGTGAGCAGAGGCTTTTCCTCTTCATCAAGAACAGAATAAGGAAATTGGTTTAAGCTGCAATACAAAAGACTTAAGATGCAAGACAATTTCCTGATGCCAACATCTGCTTACCGTAAGAGGACACCACGGAAGATCTCTTTTAAGATGTAATTGCTTGTCATCTATTTATGAGAGTAAAGCTCAGTAGATTTGGCTAAAGGTAAACAGTGCAGGGTCTAGTGTAACAATTCTGTGAAATGTCTTCAGCGTCCATAGCGTGTACAGAGAAGGTTGAGAACTCTGCTTGGGTTCAGCTTTTCACCACCTGGGTGGCAATGGTCAGGGATGGCCTTCTCATCATAGTTTATTCAAGACTAATAGCAACAATAGCCCATACTCATCTCACACTTACACTGTGGATGAGCGTTGCCCATGGCACTTAACATGTCTTTGTATTATTCCCATTTTGTAGATTAGGAAACCAAGAAGTTTATTTGCTTAAGGTCACGTAATGCCATCAGCAAGTGGTAGAAGCTGGATAAAAACTCACATGGTTTTCTTTCTACGCTTCTGACTTTAAACTGCTAGCGGTGAACTCTGTGCCATAAATACGATGACTGGTATTTACATTATTAATGTGGTTCTAAAAAGGACACATGCTCCAAATGCTATATTTTAGGTTCTATCAAGAAAATCAAGGCATCAGATTATTTCAAAAATCACAGTAAAGGGATTCTCAGAAACTGCCAGTCAGAAGTGAAATAGTCAATGGCGGTGCTAAGGTTTTTACTATCATGCTAAGGTTTGGGTAGGAGAGTCTGTCCTGTGACCATCATCTGACCAGCACCTGGGGCAGGAATACTCACAGGGTTCAAACCTTGCTTTATCAAGGCTTAGTAGGAACTTTGGAAGTTAGCCTCTAGGAGGAACAAAAATGGGAGGGGGAAGAAGCATACAGCATACAGACTGGAAAAAGGGTTCCTTGTATATCAAAGCCGTATGTTTCTACAATAGGTAGTCTCATGGTGAGCCCCCATTTTTCTGGCTTACAGAAAAATTATCTGGATCTGTCTAGAGCTGTATCTATCTAGATCTGGAACCTTCTGATATTCAGCAACTCAAAGGTGAGTGACAGAGAAGTAGGTAGTTCATTTAATGTGCTATGATTTGGATGCAGTTTGCACCATTAAGTATCTTGTTGAAATTTGATCTCCAGTGTTGGAGGTGAGCCTGGTGGGAGACGTGTTGAGTTGTTGGGGCAGCTACCTCATGAATGGCTTGGTGACATTCTCATGGGGAGTGAGTTGTTGAGAATTGTCGTTGAAAAGAGTCTGGCACCTCTCTCTTCCTTTGGCTTCCTTCCTCTCACCATGTATGCCTGTCCCCCCTTCACTGTCCATCAAGAGCGGAAGCTTCCTGAGGCCCTCACCAGAAGCACATGCTGGTGCCATGCTCCTTGTACAGCCTACGGAACAGTGAAACAAACAAACAAACAAACAATAAAACCTCTTTTCTTTATAAATTACCAATCAGATAGTCCTTTGTAGCAGCACAAACAGACTAAGACAAAGTGTTTCCCTCAAAATCTGCTATTTGCTAAACAGGTTGGGAAATTCAAGGAGGGTATACAGATTTAGCACCAGATGGTGGATTGGACAAAACAACATCAAATCTTCCTTTCAGCGAAGAGTCCTATGAGCCTAAAGGAAATGGAGAATTAAAGTATAATGTGGCCAATTCTGGACATCACACAGCAAAAACAACAAAATAACCCACATGCAACACCTAGGAAATGGAATGGATGTGTTTCATGATCCAGGCAGCTTCCGTGCTCTGTCACTGCTTGGGAACCTAACGACCATCAGAGCTAACAATGAAATGAATGAAAGCTCAGGCACTTCAGTACTGTTTTCCTGAGCTAGCTGTGTACTGATTTAGACACATGTTTCAAAAGTGCTAAATGAAATCCTATTCCCAAATTATGAAACTAAATATTTTTCTTAGACATATCTCACATTGTTCTGTATACCAGGGAAATTTCCCATGACCCTTGGAGTCACCCCTATTTATTTGCTCCCATACACACTTCTTCTGGGATGTAAGATAATCCGGTTGAAGGCTAACATGTAAGTATCCAGTGGCATGTCAAACAAAGCTGTTATTTTATAAGGAAGAAGTGAAAGCTCATTTCAGAAACTGAAGCTTCTCAGGAATGAATTAAATGGTTTGGTAGGCATTCCTTGAAGCCTATCAGAAAATTACAAGTATTGCTTAGTTAGGAGATAGGAATTAACTGGTTTCTAAAATGCCTGAGTTTGGAATCAAGAATTTCAACAACTTGATGCATTCATGAGGGAGAATCCAACTCAAAAAAAAAAAAAAGTGCCACCTACATAGTTTTATCACTGTGAAAACAAGGAACGGGTTTAAGCTATTATGTTAACAGAGATTTTTAAGATATACCATGAAAAAAATTGCATTTCAAGCAGCTGACACATTAAATTTGGTTTAATTGTTGATTGCTTTGCAGAGTCAGAGACAGAAAATTAATAAAAGTCAATACTCAGTAGACTTGGTTGCTATTAAGTAGCATTTGAAATCTGATTTAATTCACAAAATGACTGATGGAAAGCACAACAGCCCAATTTTTCAAATCAAGCAAAATTTATTATTTACCTCACTGATAAATGTTTAAATCTAAATGAGCCAGAGAACACAAACAGGCACAAGTGGCAAAATCAATTTAAAACTCACAAAGACCCATAGCAATTATGAAAGCAAGTGACAATGGTAAATATTTTAGTGGCATAACAGCAAGGGGTTATATTGCTGAATACACCCGGTTCAAGCTGTCCCAATCACTTAAATTCATCATGTCCTTTCAAAGTATCCAGTATTCTTTCTGTTTTCCTATTTTTCTTCCTTTCTTTCTCATTACCTTGAGCAAAAAAATGATTTGTTTTCATCTCTCTGGCAAAGAAACCAGACAAGAAGCAAATGATAATAACAATAGTGACATATTTAGGCTTGGGGTGGGTGGCGGGGGATGTTAAACAAGCGTAGAAGACCAATACAAATATAAAACATTTTAAAATATGATTCTATATATTTCTGTCTTTCTTATTAGACTCTCATTTCTACATCATGTTGGCTGACAAAAGCATCTCTCTTCCAGCCTCTAAATGTCTATATCTAAATTTCTAAAATTAGTTTTCTAATGTTTTATGTACTGGATTTCACTATTCTAGATGTATTTTGTCTTTGTCTTGCCATTTCTGTGATGACTTCTCTGAGTCTTCACTATGACAGGATAACAAAGAATGAATAGGCCGGGCTTGGTGGCTCATGCCTGTAATCCTAGCACGTTGGGAGGCCGAGGCGGGCAGATCACGAGGTCAGGAGATCAAGACCATCCTGGCGAACACGGTGAAACCCCGTCTCTACTAAAAATACAAAAAATTAGCCGGGCGAGGTGGCACATGCCTGTAGTCCCAGCTACTCGGGAGGCTGAGGCAGGAGAATGGCGTGAACCCGGGAGGCGGAGCTTGCAGTGAGCAGAGATCATGCCATTGCACTCCAGCCTGGGCGACAGAGCGAGAATCTCTCTCAAAAAAAAAAAAAAGAATGAATAAAATTTCTGCATTTTTACATTGATTTTTCTATTTAATTTGTGTACCATTAGGAATGGGTAAAATATATATATATATATATATTTTTTTTTTTTTTTTTTGAGACGGAGTCTCGCTCTGTCGCCCAGGCTAGAGTGCAGTGGCACAATCTTGGCTCACTGCAAGCTCTGCCTCCCAGGTTCATACCATTCTCCTGCCTCAGCCTCCCGAGTAGCTGGGACTACAGGCGTGCGTCACCTTACCCGGCTAATTTTTTATATTTTTAGTAGAGACGGGGTTTCATTGTGTTAGCCAGGATGGTCTCGATCTCCTGACCTCGTGATCCGCCCACCTCGGCCTCCCAAAGTGCTGGGATTACAGTCGTGAGCCACCGTGCTGGGCCATAATTCCTATTTTTAAAAATTATGGTCATGATGATAATGTGCTGTAAGTTTTAATTTTATTGTATATTGTAAAATACATACTCCGTATGGAGGATTTTCTTTAAAATGCTGGAGTTTATATTATTCAATGATTATAAATTTTTTTGAATATTGCTTTTTGAAATACTGACCTATAGGGATGGTAGGTGCCATATATTATTCCCTCCAGCCTACAGATTCATTTCTTTATGGATTACTTTTATTTCCATTATTAACCATTGCTAGATCAGCTGGAGAACCTCCATTTGCAGCCCCAGGGCCACTCTCCACCTGTCTCTACCCTGTTCTGTGCCTGTTGGCAGAGGCTGCTCCACACGCTGCATCAATGGACTCTGTGGCCCTCCATCTTCCTGTTGGGTTTGACATCTGGCAGGAGATCAGAAGGCAAGAAAAGAGCAAAGTTTGGGTGTTTATTCCCTCTGGTTCCCTCCCTGTGAGGCCTCTTTACATTGGCAGAGCTACAGCCAAAGGCCGCACCTCTTGCCAGATGGCCCTTTCCACACAAGGCCCCTTTCTGGATTCCAGTAAAGGCTCCTTTCACTATCACCTTAAGCCTGGAGGTGGAAAGCCTGCTGCTGCCACTACCTCTGAGGCATTGCTCCCTCATTTTCAGGCTGCTTATACCCTCTTTACAACTTTGTAAATCATTCTTTTTATTAATCTCCTTAAATTACCCTTCTTGGATGAGCCATGCATTTTTTGTCAGAGCCTGGTCTGATAATCAGGCTGAGTGTATTTCCATTTGTTAGGATATTTTTCTATGTGATAAATAACTTTTATGTACCATGATTTGTTCTCTAAAGGATTTGTTGTATTTTAAAATAATCCACAAAATGTACAAAATAAAATAAAATGAATATTGGTAAGAAAAGGAATGAATAAATGAATATTGGTAAAAAAAAAAAAAAAAAGAGACAAAGGGAAAAATAAGAGCAAGGACTTAACTAAAATTGGGAATTATATTAGCATGTGAAGTGGAAGCCATTTTGTCTCCAAACTTGCTAACAGACAAAGGCAAAGAGAAAAAATATTAAAAAAAGAAGTTCAGGCCGGGCACGGTGGTTCACGCCTGTAATCCCAGCACTTTGGGAGGCCAAGGCGGGTAGATCACGAGGTCAAGAGTTCGAGACCATCCTGGCTAACATGGTGAAACCCCATCTCTACTAAAAATACAAAAATTAGCTGGGCGTGGCCTGTAGTCCCAGCTACTCAAGAGACTGAGGCAGGAGAATCACTTGAACCCGGAAGGCGGAGGAGGTTGCAGTGAGCGGAGACTGCACCACTGCACTCCAGTCTGGCGACAGATGGAGACTCCATCTCAAAAAAAAAAAAAAAAAAAAAAAAAGTTCATAGGAGAAATACAACATTACAACATTCTTCACATCAAGAACAGAGAAAACTCCTTTAAGGCAAAGAGGAAACAATAATGCAATAAATGGCATCTTTAACTATATTCTGAATGTCCCACTCAATCAGATGAAAATATTTTCCCCAAAGCAACAAAATATTACTATCTGACTTATATAATGTTTGCTAAGAGGAATCTTTACTAGCTTAAAAACAAAGTCATATTTTCATTTTCTGGGGTGATAGGAGCTAACTTTTAATGGGTTTTAACTTTCAATGAGTTATAATGAGTGAGTTTAGAGTCTCATGCTTTGTGTCTGTTTTTGTTTAAAAATATGTTTAAATAATTTCAGAATTTGTTGGCAGCCATCAAAATGATCAGGCACTAAGAAGAACAAAGCTAGATTAAAGATAGATTGCAGTATATGTGTTTATTTAATCAACCTAGCATTAAAATGATTATAAATGAGCAGAATTTTTTGGTGTTGGATTGGCATATATAGATTATAAATTAAGAAACCCTAAAAAACATTTTTCCCCTAATAAATTGTAATTATCACCACAGCCTATTGGTGGCACTAATGTGGAGAGATGTTAACACCACTAGAATATCATCATATTAATAATAGAATCATATAGTGCTTTACAATTTGAAGAGGATTATGGCACACACACTGTTTTAACCCTACCACAGTTTGGTGAGACAGTCACTGCTGTCCTCATTTTTATAAATTAGGAGAAAGAGTGCAAAAAGGTGAGGTGACTTGCCCAAGGTCTTACAGGTGGTGTATGTCAGAGCTCAGAGTAGAACCCCAGAGGTCTTTCAACGGGAATCTAGTGTGTTTATTGTATCATAGTCTATGGCTCAATGCTTAGGGAAACTGAGGGGAGAGGGAGGGAGGAGGAATCCTCACGTGGAAAAGCAATATTATATCTATAAGTAGAAAGAAAAGACTTGAGTGTATAAACTCCAGTGATTGAAGTTTAGAAAGGACTTTAGAAACCATTCAGTTCAGCCCCATGTTTTGTAGCTGTACAAACCTGAAATGGCTAAGATCCCCCAAATGGCTTCATTTTCATTCCCTCTGATTTGTAATACTTTTCTCAAAGGAGTGCGAAGCCAAGTGAAAGAATCTTTCAGTTAAATATATGTAAAGCTTTGAATAATGAACCTGGCAACTTGGAGTATAATTTTTCAAAAGGCATCTTTTGAATTAAAAGCAATCAGAATTCATTTTTGGACAAGTCTTAAACTCAAGTGACAATATAATTCTACAGCCACTATTCCCAAGCTGCACTTAGGTGTCCCAGGGTGGTGCAGGGAACTCACAGGGGCTACAAGGTATTTTAAACTTTGGAGGGAAACATGGTATTAACTGACATCTGCCAATAGCATGAGACCTGCTAGCTCAAGGTAGTTTAAACATTTAAACATAGTTTAAACATTATTAGGTCATGCTACATTTCTTTCCATGACAGCTTCTTATTGTAAAGCTGAGTTTTTGGCAACTGACATAATAAAAACAAATATGGCACCACAATCAGTGTGAATTAGGAAATGAGGATAACCATACCTAGTCTGATTTCCAGGATTTGAAAAGCTGTGCAGTGCCCAATAGGTGCACACAGCATGTTAGTAACTGATTGTGGCTATGTACCAGTGAACTAAAATATATTTTATTTTAATGGATGTGTATTATTTTTAAATGGCTATTAAGTTGTTAGGACATAAAACTAAGTTGTTTTGACTTAGCTACTTAATAAATGAAACTCAAATATCTCTTGGCTTTGGGGCAATGTGAAAAAAAATTACTGTAATACTAAAGGTACCAGGAACCAAAGAAAGTTTGGGCATCTTTGTCCTAATGGTTAAGAATGTGGACTCCAGGGTTAGAATGCCAGCTTCACCACTAACCAGCTGTGCTACTTTGAGCCAACCTCTCTCTGTCTCCGTTTCTTCATCTATAATATGGAGCTTATAATGGGACATACCACAATAGTTATTGCGTGGATTAGTAAGTCAGCGTATGGAAGCTAGGTAGAATAAAGCCAGTCACAGAGCAAGTGTTTTTTCTGTTAGTATTAGCCATTATGCTTATATGACCAGCTCTCACTACAGTCCTTCCGATTGCAGTTATGTGCCTGCTCAGTCAAATAAAGAACATCCAAGCTTGGGAAGGCTGTGCATGTGGAGCCTGTGACCTAGAGAACTTTCTTCCTTCATTCCTTTTTTTGTTTGTTTTATATGGAAGGAAGCATACCAGAAATTTTTTGGAGAAATTTCAGCTGGCGTTCAGTGCTTTCTCAGTCAGAATTCCAGAGAAGGTAAGGCGTTTTAATGTTCTACCCACAGCTTCAGAAATTTTCATGTGTACCCTTTGCTTGGTAAACAGAATTGAAATAACTTTAGTCCCTGGCAAGGTGAGTGTCTGTACTGATCATCCCTTTGAGGAAATGACCTTTGAAACAATTACTATACCTATTCCCACATCAAAAATTAGCTTTCACTTTCTTCTCTGTGGATCTTTATAGCTGTTCACAGCTATATTTCGGAAATGTCACATCTCTTGAGCTGTGTTTTGTCTCACTTCCCAGGTAATTATTAGTTTCTAAAGAAAAGGTGTATTTTATTTCTTTTTAAAGTTTTCTCTTTTTTTCTAACAATTACTGTGTATCTATTTTATGCCCTGAAAGTAGCATAATAGCTTCTAGAGAACAAAAGATTCTGTTTCAGATATTAAATAAGCAAAGATTTAACAATATGCAAATTAATTATGGCAGATTCATACTATTATAAGTTATAGTTTTAGAGATTATTCAATGACATTCTTTTTTTTTTTTTTTTTTTTTGAGAGGGAGTCTCACTCTGTCACCCAGGCTGGAGTCCGGGGGGTGATATCGGCTCACTGCAAGCTCCGCCTCCCGGGTTCACACCATTCTCCTGCCTCAGCCTCCCTAGTAGCTGGGACTGCAGGCGCCTGCCACCATGCCCAGCTAATTTTTTTTGTATTTTTAATAGAGTTGGGGTTTCACCATGTTAGCCAGGATGGTCTCGATCTCCTGACCTTGTGATCCGCCCGCCTCAGCCTCCCAAAGTGTTGGGATTACAGGCGTGAGCCACCACACCCAATTCAATGACATTCTTAAACACAATATACTAATAAGCAAAAAGAATACAAAATTGTATTATCAATATGGCCCTAGTTTTATAAAAATGGAAATTAGATATATTTAGATATATGTACGTACATCCATTTTAGAAGTCTGAAAAAATACAGCAAATATGATTAGATATATGCAAAAACTTCATTTCACTTACATTTTGGTTTAAACAGTTATTTCAACTGAAAGAGATAGAATATACAACTAACGTTAAATAACAAAGATATTTCATCATCACAGATGTCTAGAGAAGGCTTACAAGCATTCCAAGGAACTAATATAAATATGTCATTTTATTAAAATTATTTCTAGTGATGGCCAGCGTAAGTATATGTGAATACGTGATCCCTTAAGAAGTTCATTTGTAAGTCCACACGCTCAGGTTTGCCTAAAATATAAGCTATAGCAAGGTGCCTGCTCTGTAAACTTCTCAGGGACATGTGTGGTAGAATGTAACAAATAAATCAGTTTATAAACTAGATATTTGCATACTTATTCTCATATAAAATCATAACTAAAGTTAATCCTCTTGTTCTATTTGAGCACTGAAGCATAAAAACAATGAAATTAATGGTACATGAATGATAAGGCATCATGAATGAGGTCATTGACAAATTGTCCCAATAGATGTTAGTTTTAATAAGCTTGGAGATTTTAATAAATATTTATTTGGCCAATTGGAGATTGTGTATGATAACATTAAACTGGTCATATTAATTATATGCTTTAATTATTTCTAGACTCTCATAGCTTTTGTTGTTACCTGGAATACCAGAAAATTTCAAGATAATAATTAAATGTGAGGTTTAATATCATCTCCAGAGCAGGGACCTTGTGCAGCATGTGCTTGCAAATGATAATAACACTGAATAATACAAATAATAAATGATGTTAAAGTTAGTTAAAATCAAATTTTTTTTCAAAATTTCTCAATATAGCACATAATAAAATAAGCCTAGTCTTAATTAGCCATCACTCTGATTTTAAAAAAAGGAGAAAAGGGATTAGAAATATAAAGGATAAGAAAATGTAATGAGAAAGCTAATAAGTATTTGGCCAAATAAGAACAGAACTGAGTAATATCTCATGTAACCATACAATTATAGGTGGGTTATAAGGAAATATCCAAAGTGTGGCCTAGTGTACTCGGAAAAAATAGTATCACCCCCACGTTCTATTATGAACAATTTCAAACCTAAAGAAAATTTGCAAAACTTGTACAATGAGCACCTGCATGCCCACCACCTACATTCTAGCAAGTATTATTATTTTATACCTGAAAGAAGCATTAGAAAACAGAGAAAAGAGAAGAAATCATTCAGGGTGGCAGTTTAAAAAAGTATAATGAACAACTATCCTTATATCAAAAATAAATAGTAAGAAATAAAATTAAATATAAGATCCCATTCACAATAACAGCAAAATATTAAAATATCAAGAAATCAACAAGAAATGTGAAGGATATATATAAAGGGAAATACTTATATTTTTCTGAGTCACATTTAGATAGTAAATAGAAAAGCATACAATCTTGATTTTAAAAAAATCACTCAACATCATAAAGATGTGAATTCACCTTAAAATAATGTTGTAATTCTTTGCAATCTTAATTAAAAGTAATCAAATTACCTTTTACAAAAACGCTATTAAAATTTGTTTGAAGGAATGAATACACTTGTGTAAAGTGAGGAAAAATATGAAAACATCTAACAAGGGAGAAAAAATATGCAACATATTAAAATGCTTCAAAAAGCAATGTTCAAAATGGCGGTACAAGAATAGACAAGGAAATCAATGGAGGAATCTATAAGAGCCAGAAATACATTCCTAGAAAAACTGAAAGTTTTGTGTGTTAAAATGGGGTTGTCAAACTGTTGGGGAAAGATGTACTATTTAGTACATGTTGTTGGTTCATACGTGTAGCTATTTGGACAAAACGCACTTACTCTTTACTTCATAATAAATTCTACACGGATTAAAGGTTTAAATATTTTTTAAATGTAAAATAACCAAAGAAAAAACTTTTTCGGTAATCTTGGACTAGGAAAGACATTTCTCAGTATAACAAAAATCTGTAAGTAACAAACTAAAATCTAGACAAGTTTGTTTCAAACACTTATGTTTAATGCAAAGCATTATAAACAAAGTGAAACAATAATATCAATGGCAAAGAAAAAATAGAGTCGTTACATATATGACGGAAAAGATTAATTTAATACACAAAAACTTTCATGTAAATCAATAAGAATAAGGAAAATTACTCTGTAGGAATTTGGGCAGAAGATATGAGAATGGAAAGAAATACAAATCAACAAAAAAACACTAAAATTGCATGGCCTTGCTCTTCAATAAAAACAAGATACATTGCTTAAGTCTTTTAAGAAAGACTTAAAATTTATAAATAACACTGTGCATTAATAAAGCCTAAAGAAAATGCATGCATTAGCTAAGAGGTTAATGAACTATATCTAAATTATTCGTGATTAAGAATTAAGAAAACCTAAACATACGGATATAAATAGGTGCCCAAAATATATTGTGAAGGGAAAAAGCAAGTCATAGAACAGCACATAGTATGAGATGATTTTGTTAAAAAAAAAAAAAAATACATACACACATGCTCTGCATAATGACATTTTGGTCAACGATGGACTGCATAGATGATAGTGGTCATGTAAGATTATAATACTGGGCCGGGTGCTGTAATCCCAGCACCTTGGGAGGCCGAGGTGGGCTGATCACTTGAGGCCAGGAGTTTGAGACCAGCCTGGCCAACATGGCGAAACCCCAACTCTACTAAAATATACAATAAGAAAATTAGTGGATCATGGTGGCACAGGCCTGTAATCCCAGCTACTCATGGCGCTGAGGCACGAGAATCGCTTGAACTCAGGAGGCAGAGATTGCAGTGAGCCAAGATAGCGCCACTGCACTCCAGCCTGGGCGACACAGAGAGGCTCTGTCGCAAAATAAATAAATAAATAAATAAATAAGATTATAATACGATAGTTTTACTGTACCTTTTCTGTATTTAGATATGTTTAAATACACAAGTACCACTGTGTTACAATTGCCTACAGTATTTAATACGTAACATGCTGTACAGGTGTGTAGCCTAGGAACAATAGGCTATCCCATCTATTGTAGGTGTGTAGTAGGCTATACCAGCTAGGTTTGCGTAAGTGTACTCTGATGTTTGCACAATGAAATCACCTATGATCTGTTTCTCCAAAAGTATCAAGTATCCCCATTGTTAAGTAACACATCACTGTATACTCATATGTATGTATGTTCATATATTTATATGTGTAGATGTCCATATACCAAACTATTTTCAATGTCAACTTCTCAGAAGTGAGATGATAAAGAATAGGAAAAAGAGTCATAGGGACTTTTATTTTTCTCTTCTATAAAATTTCACATTTTGAGATTTTAAAATTTTAACTATATAAGAATCTTTTTTTCGATAATCATAGGCTAATAATTTTTTTTACAAGGAGCATCTATTTTATAATTTAAAAAATGTAAAAGAGTAAAACACTTTAAGTAAAAAAAAGATAAAAATACTCGACAAAAGAAAAAGAAAACCAATTCTGCAGTTTCTTTAGTGAGAAAAGACTGGATTTCACAGCCCCATGCTTAATGTGTCTTATTATATCTGAGTTAACTGTGTAGTTACACTGTTATCTCTACACTTGATACTTATAACCTATATATAATTTTCATTCCATTAGGTGGGTCCAGTGGTTTTCAGCTAATAATGTTTCTATCTTCACAAAGTCCTTACTTAAGGAGCATGCCAAGCATTATTATAGATAGGTATCAGGAATAAGAGAACTCCACCTGCCAACTGTGGTCTAGATTATGTTGCTGGAGAGAGGCAGAACAGATGCAACCCCCCACAGCTCTGAGAGCCTCATTTATGCCTGAGTAGACCACAACTTTAACTTACAGCAGACATTTGTTATAGCTACCTTTTGTTCTATACTTACTATGTGCCAAATGCAGCTCTAAACTCTTCACATTATTAACTAACTTGAATCTCACTAACAATCCCATAAGGTTATTATCCCTTTTATTATTTTCAGTGTACAGATAAAAAAAAGCTCAAGTCTAAAAGGCTCAGTAACTTCCTTAATGACACATATCTGGAATGATGGTCATATGCTAATTCAGGATTTCCTAATTCTAATGTTCATATGGCTATGCTATACTTAGAGTAGTGGAGTATCTAGTGAAGGGAATTTTGGGGGGAAGGATGGATAAGAAAACAACTATTGATATACAAGCTTGTATTGTGGTTAGAGAGAGCTTGGGCAAATGTATGCAAGATCACAGGCCATCTGAAATTTCTGCTCAATTTTCAAAGCTACTGTGACCTGTCAGGGTGGTCTTTGCCGATGCCCAGTGGCTGGGAAGGACAACAAAAGCTCCAAAGATAAAATTTTCTTGATGGCAAGAAAAAAATAGAGTTAGATCTATGTTATGAGTGTCTGAATACCAGAACCTGACCTAGTTTTATTTATGTTATCAGAAAGGGTTTCTGTGAATATAAAGACTTTTGTAGAAGAGGCTGTCTTAGAATGAGATGCCCTTAGATGACATTTCAAGTATTAAAATCTCCAGGGCCAAAGTCCTGCACTAGTGGAAGTGACTAAAATATGAGTTTCAGACTCAAGCAATCCTGCTTCAGATATGAATGACATGCAGAACATGCTGCTTGAATAGCAGCAGCAGATCTCTTTTGTCTGGGTCTTTAGATGCTCAGCAGGTTTCTGGCTTTGCCAGCAACAGTCATGATGAAAGGGGTGGGATCCAGTCTGTTACAGCTGGTCTGTAGAATTGGTTATGATGTTCCCATCCTGAAGACAGTGTGTGGGAGTCACAGTCCAGGGCAGTTGGGAGCAAAAAGGACCATCCCTTTGCACAAGTATAAGCATCCTAGGGGAATTCCTAGAAATACTGGAGAGGAGGGGTACCCTTCAAGGAGGGGTGCTGGGTTTCCTGTTACTCTGGGCTGGAGATTACTGAGTGATGTACTCTGAGGCAAATTATTCACAAACCACATTGTGAAACAGCATTTCACCAGATGCATTTTCATGGCAGGATTGTTGAAGGCAGAAAAACTGCCCAAGACTGGGACATCTTCAGGAAGTTTTGAAAGAAAAAATATGGTACCTGATGGCCAGGAAGTATGACTATCAACATAATTCCCAAGCAGTGAAATGGGTTTCTGATTTGGTAGAAGTTCTAGAATATTGATCATGACTGACACATCACACACAAGCAAATCTAAGTGAAATTTAACTATGGCCACTGGCTCGTGAGCAGTGAGTAAATAATGCCCACTGTCCACCATACAATAGACCTTAATGGAGTTAGAGCAAAGTGGCAAGTAATTAAAACCCACTTCTAACAATTAAGTGTGAATGCCCCACGGGAAGGATATGTTCTGGACAGCTGGCCACAAAAGACTGGGGACCTCTTTCACTAAATGACAAGCCAATATACTTACTCTATAATAAAGGTCTTCCTTCCTAGCCATTTCCATGGAAATACAATCTGAAGATTTCATGTGGTAATCTCTGATTCAAAGATTTCCTTAGTTAAGCAAATTACTAAAGCAAAAACTTTCATGACCTGGAAGGAAAAAGGAAACAGAGCAACCAAGGATTCTGCCTGTATATGGCAGGATTGAGCCTATTCCCTCATGACTGTGGAAATCACCGAGTGTGGACAATCAGTGTTGTGCTTCACACCTTCACAAGCATGAAGAGTAAGGCTAGTTTGTTTCCCAAGTTGACTAATGTAGATTGCAGCCATCCCAAATACAGAAGGGATTAACTAATTGGACTCACTTCCTGCTATTACCAAGCACTGAAACTTGCAATTGACCTTGATGTAAGGTTTAAGGGGTGGAACACCTAGCCTTTGTCTTCCACATATTACCTTCTTCTAGTCCCAGCCCTCATCACCAACATGAAGATGTTGTTCACTGAGTGTTGAACACCTCCTTTTGTGGTAAGTACAATGACAAGTACACCCATCACATTGAATGCAAAGTGGCCCATTGTGAAAATAGGTCACACATGCTGTTTCAATGTCATGAATACCAAAGCTACCTGGACATTGTTTTTAGAAAATAGTGTCTATTGTCATTTTGCTTGTGTAAGTCTTTCTTGAAGCCTTGATCATTTTCTGCCCTCACCTCTTCCTCAACATTTAGAGGAAACAGCTTCCAACTACTTCTCATCTTTTCCTATTTTCTAACACCACCACCCCCAGAGACTTTCTTCTACCCCATAGGATTATTTTATGCCTGACATCTACCCCTACTATCTTGAGGCTCCATGTCCTGACATAACATGAAGCCTGTACTATCATGTAGGCCCACACTCCCAGGCTCCTCTTCGTGCAGCCACCATGGGAAATTTAGCTTCTTTTTTGATCTCTGTTTTCTCATGAAAAATTGACTTTTAACCTTTCTTGGTGATAGGCAAAATGAAAGGCTCAAGCAGAGGTTGGGAAAGGATGTGAACCCTATCCAGGCTAATAATAATTGTTATTCTATGGTACCTGTTTGCGATCTTTAGTGCTATTTTTTTTATTTTTCATTTTTTGCTATTGATGTTGTTTGTTTCATTAACTGTTTTGTGGCCAGGTGCAGTGGCTCACACCTGTAATCCCAGCACTTTGGGAGGCCAAGGAGGGTGGATCACCTGAGGTCAGGAGTTCAAGACCAGGCTGCCCAACATGGCAAAATCCTGTCTCTACTTAAAATACAAAAAATTAGCTGGGTGTGGTGCCATGCACCTGTAATCCCAGCTACTCAGGAGGCTAAGGCAGGAAAATCGCTTGAACCCGGGAGGTGGAGGATGCAGTAAGCCAAGATCGTGCCACTGCACTCCAGCCTGGCGACAGAGCGAAACTCCGTTTTAAACAAGAAAAATCAAAAACAAAACAAACACAAAAAACAAAACAAAAACTGTTATTTAGCAATTATTAGTCTGTAGGTTTTCTCAGCATATTTGTCTTTTTACCATCCTACCCTAAATCTTTAGAAACCACATCATATCACAAGAGTACGAGATTTTGCATTTGTCTTGTATAAATGTTTTCAAACTGGTTTTAGCCTTTGAGTTATTTTGGTTTCAAAACAAGAATTGTGGTTTTCTCTCCTTTGGAAATATCCCTCGCAATCTTACTGTTCCTTTTGACTTTGCTGGATTCCATGGTTGCTAACTTACTGCATGCTTAGGGTGCAGAATACAAATCATTCCCTTAATGACTCCAGATTTCACGTGGAGAACTCAGACACATGTTTCCCATTTTTCTCCCTTTTATGCTGCATATTTGTGCTGAATCATTTTATTGCTAATGGGGGAGATGCCAGAATATTTACAGGATCATGGTCATGGGAGTGTGCTGTTATTTGTATATGTCTGGATAATACCAACATAATCAATCAAAACGGAAACATTTGGTCAAACAAGCATTTTCAAAATCATTAGTGTAATGCTAATAGCTTTGAGTATTTAACCAAACTTACAGTTATTTGGACATGATTCAGAAACAAACTTAGCAGAGTACCTTGTAAACACTTCTATTTCCAAAAATGAAGAAATTTTGTTGGAATTTTGTGTAGATGCAGCATTGCTCAGGAAAATAGGACTCCATCACCAGCACCACCACTGATATTCTGAAGGAGACATAAGCAAGTTGCTTAACCATGCCATGCCTCAGCTTCCTCCTTTGCAAAATGAATGTTACTAAATCTTATTTATTTTGGGGGACCTTTGGGAATATAATGAAAACTGTGAACCCTCATGGATAAATACAACATGAAATTTGCAGGCGACTTCTAGAAGTTTACAGATGTTCTAAAATCAATTCACACACCTCGTAGGGGGTTGTTAAGAACTCTTACAACTGATGACCTTTGAAGTTTTGTTAGTTGAACATTTTATGATTCTGTGAATTTTCTGCTGTAACCTCAACCATTCCTTTACCATGAACTCCTACAATGCATATCATGTAGAAGTCGTAGATGTGCTAAAACATGCTTTGTTGCCGATATAGTAATGCTTCTACATTCTGTGGCTTCTTTTCACGAGGAAAGATTCTCACAGAATTAAGAAACATGAAGAATCAGGATCTATTCCAGTCTCACAACCATCCAGGCGTGACTGACAAGCACCACCTTCTGGAGGAAACAGGTAGTAAATGTCAAAGTTGATGATCCTTGACGCAGCTATGCTTTTCTCAGGTACCCAGGGCCCAACCTCTGCCTGACTTCAGCATCAGTCTTACCCCACATTTCTCCAGCAATCTCTTTTTCCTTACTCTAACCAATGATGAAGCTACCTTTTGCCTGGGGAGCCTACAGGATGGTTTGAGTCTAAAAATTAATTCTATCAGTTGAAAGAATTCTACCTTTCATTAGAAATCTCATAGTAACAAAATTCAGATCATTTGGAAATACTAGGCTAGAGATCATATTAGAGGCCATATGTCAAGGGACTTTCATATGACTTGTCATTAAAATGTGGTGAAGTAGTTTAAAGTACTTAGTGGAAATACAGAAGGTACTACGAAAATAACAAATGATCTTGGATGTAACAATGATGAATTAATTAAAATAATGCTCCACTCTAGTCCTATGCATAATAAAGCATCAAAAGAGTGATTGATTCAAAAGATTTATTTTAAACATGCAAAATAGTTTTGGATAAATAGTTATTCTTGTTTTTTCATATGCATGGTAACTTTTTATACATACTTTGGATTAATTGTAAGATACAAATTTATTAAATAACAGAATTGCCAGAAATTGTTTGTGGATATCCTCATTATGACTCAAAACACTTAATTTTCTGTTACAATTTTTATAGAAGGCTTTTTTGGCTCAAAAATTTTTCTCTGGTTCACTGGGATCAGATCAATGTTTAGATGAAACCATTTGCCCCATGGGAATTCCTAGGAGTGGCAAGTTCTATAAGGGTTTTCTCCACTGTCAGATTGAAAGACCCCATCCCATTTATATCTTTTTTTTAAATCTAAGAGGCAGGAATGACTATGTTTCCTGAGAAATGATCCTTTTCTTTAAAATAAAACAAATTATTTAAATCCCATTCACAAAGTATCTTAGAAAACTTTTGAGAATTGAGTCAGATAATGAAATGTTCCTTGAGGCCAATCATATCCCAGAACAACATTGGTTTTCTAGGGAGATAAATTGAGTACAATGAAGTTTACCGTGAAGGAATTGCAAAAATGGAAGCTTAGAAATATAGACTCTAGACATATTGATATAGTTTTCCTGGAATTTAATGAAAAAGTAGGCATTGATTGTTTACTCCTAGGCAAAATTTCTCTGACCTACCTAAAAATCCTCAGTCTGTGAGTGTTTTGGTCTTCCCAAGAGGCTATTTCATCATTTTGTGGAGTTATATTTATTTTTTGAACTTACTTTCCAGATGGACATATGTATGGTTTCATTAAAGCCAAATGTGGTTTATGAAATACGAGAATAATAGCTAATCATGCCAGTGAGAGCACCTGAGTGAGGCAGACTAAGGGCATTTTCAGGAAAATCAATAATAAAGTTAAAGTGGCTACCATTTGGGGGGTACCTAGTATTTTCCAAGCACTTTTTATATAGGGATGTATCTTAACTGCAATCTTGCATAATAAATATAGTTCCTATTTTATAAATGGAGAGATGAGGCCCTGAGAGCTCTTATATGGTAGAACCAGGATTTGGATCCAAGTTTGTCTGGTCTGGAGTCCATGTACTTTCTATTCTGCACTACTGCTTCTGAAGGTAAGTGTTCAAACTTGACAAACTTGGGGGCTTGCTAAATTGCACACGTTCTCTATAACTGATAACTGGAAAATGAATAATTATGAAAATTCCGCATAGTCCATCCATGCACAAAATTTTGTCTTTAAATAATATGCCTTGTTGGTAGATACTTTTTAATTGGTACTATTCATCAAGCACCTCAGATGTTTGTTTGTTCAGCTGCAAAATCATCAACACAAACATACACAGAGGTTGAGCCTACCTTCCTTTAGGAGCACATTTGGGACAACATGTTTGAAAAGCATGGCAATATCAAGAAGAGAATTATTAGGGCAGCTATGCTGCCAGGGTCTTATGCATAGACAATGAAAAGAACAAGGCAGAGACTGATAAATCAATCCAAGACAAAGCATTGGTGCAAGACAATGAAAGCGATGATACAGATACTTCAAACTATTTTCAAAGAAAGGGGAAAAAGCCTCCCATGTATTGGGGAAGTAAACCCAGCAGAAAGAAATCTCTCCCACCCTCCTGCCCTCATGCTGTTGGGAGGTGTTGATAATGACCTCGAGGAAAATCTTGGAGGTTGTACTGTTTTAAAATAGGCACTTGGCCAAAGAGAAGGAAGTCTGCAGCATGCCAACATCCAGTCTAGTACAGGGTGCTCCTGATAAGGAACAGATGTAAACACAGACAACTGTTCAAATTTGCCAGGAGAACTGATCATCCTTTAGCCAGTAATCAAAGTCTAGAAAGTAACCAGAAATGCTTTCCTATAAACAAAGAGAATTGGAAAAGGAACGGGAAACTAACATCCAGGTTTTGAAATTGCCGAAAAAGGTGAGGATGTGCTACATGTTCAGACAGAACAAAGACACGCATGTCAAAGATGCAATGTGGTGAATGTTGCAGAGAGGGTCCAGGTGCAGTGCCCTCTCTGTGACGGGACTTGGGGCTGGGACCTAACAGCCCTGCAGGGAAGGGCATGGGAAATTAATGGGCGTTGATGCTGGAATTGTTCACATACCTCATCACACACAATGGAGAAGTTTTACTGAAATGCATCCCTGGGAATGGCCTGTAAAACCTCAGCGTGTCTGTTTCCAAGTTAAGAACACAGGAAGTTCAGAAACTAGAAAACAAAATGCATTTTGTTGGGATACTTCATGTTGCAATCTTGAACATTTGGGTTTCCAAGATCAAGGCTCAAAGGCTGCCTTTTTCCTCTTAGGTATTTTGCTTTAGTTCTGTCTACAAGTTGGAATTGCCAGGATTCCAACAGAGCCTGGGTTAACTGAGAAAAAGATTAACAGCCTTTTTACTCATCATTTAAAACTCAAAAGAAGAATTATTTAATAAAGTTAAACAGCAGCACTAAAGAGCACTTTAAAAAGATGCTATAAAAATATAACCCTAGTAAAACTGGGCCTCTCTGTGACCTACCTCAGCAAGAGTCCTACATAAAAGAAACACCTACCTGACCTCCAAAAAGGTATTGAAAAGCAATTTAAACCATAGTGACGTCTATAGAGAGGCAGCAAAGAGGTCTGCCATTCACAACACATAGCAAAACCTCCTAAAAACTGTTTTCCCCTTTCTCTCTCAAGAGTTCATATAGCAGAATCACTCTCCTAAGTATGGCTCCGCACACATTTAAACTTGGTCTCCCCCAGTTGAGCCTATGTTGACTTTCCTCTCTCTCCTTTCTACCCCATCCTCTCTCAAACATTTGCACTCAGGAGCAAGAAAAGCAATTATTCTGTATAACAAAATGATACATGCCTTTTAATGGAAATTAGCTTAGCCCTTCACCAGTCAGCTCTGTATTTGTCTTTCATGTCAGATTAGAAAAGCAAACACTGAAGAACCAACATGATCTCTTCCTTCACTGGAAGGACGAGGTATGGATATGCATTCTTTAGTGTTTTTGTTGGTCCTTGTCATATTAAAAAAGGCTTAAAAGGACCCAAATCATATACAAGTCTTAATACTTTCATTCCTGTAATCTTTAAATCACCAGTTATTACCTAATACACATCCTTCGTTCTTGTTGACCCTGAATCTTTGGGTCAAACCTTGAGAAAGACAGCTGTACTTGAACAACATAGATTCAACTCTCTGGCTTTTCTTATGATATAAAATTGTTATATGCACTTCCCAAAAGCTCTCTCACATTTTGGGAACTCTATATATATTAAAAGATAATGGGAGACTTCTAAACAGAGCCCAGATAGTCTGGTTTTCAACTCAATGCTGGTTCTATTTAGAGCTAGCTGAGAAGAAACGGCAGTGACATAAAGGGAAGAAGGAGGGGTAATAAATCAGTGACCTCTGAAGGAGTGGCCTGAGCAAAAAAGGTAAGTGTGTCAGTCCCAGACGTGCTTGTCTCACACCCATTTCTAGCCCTTCCCTCCTCCTCTCTGTGTCCTTGGGAGGCTTATTCCACACACTGTATTTCCGAGGCTTTCTCACCTGCTGGTTCGTGGCCAGTAGGAGCCATCAGTAGAAGCCTGGAGAACAGAAAGAAGAGAGAAACCAGAGTATATCTCCTACTACTACTTATTTCATCCAAGCAGCAAGTTATTTGGTGGCTGACCTTGACCGGAACTAATAAGAGGCCATTTCTTATCTTTATTGATCTCACTTTGGGTGACTATGTGCATATGTTGCTGAATTTTGTTAGGTGGTGCTGACCCTAAAATACTGGGGGCCGTGGCATACTCTATGATAGATGTACTATATTTCCTTTCTAAAATCTGAAAAATTGTGAGTTATGAGACTTATCTACCCCAAGAAGTTTCACATGAGGGACTACAGATGTATAACTTACAAATTCCATATGATTTTTAATTCATAAAAAATTAGACATGTAATTGGACATTAAATTTGACTTTTCCTGTTGCCTTGGATTTTCAACAACAACAAAAACTGCAGTAGTTTCTCCCACAGCTTAAAGAAGATGCTCTACCACCTAAGTGGGACACACTTAGAGATTATGTTGGCTATTCTGCCAAAGATAGCTCATCCTCCACCTCCAGACTACAGAAGATGTGGCCAAGAACTCATCCTGGGGATAGACTGATGATTAGATTTCTTTAGAGAGAGAGTTGTTGCTGTGTTGGTCACCCATCCCTCTCCACTCGTGAAGCATCTAAGGAGTCCTCCCCTCAATCCAAAGGAGGGATGGCTCCAGGAAGAACCCTGAGGGAAGGACCTATGAACACCTAGAAGATGCAAGGACAGGAATCTGGCTCATCCCTGAAAGAAGGTCAATGCATGAGGCTGTATATGAAGTTTCTGTTGCTTGGTGGCAGAGAGAAGGGACAGGTCTGATTTGGGACAAGCCTGCACTTCCACAGTTTAGAAAGGCAAAGGGAAAATTTTCATTTGGTCCAGATCCAGCCCATAAAAGGGGTGCCTTTGAGAGGGATTCTGCAGAGGTGAGGAGACCTAAGGCTAGATTGCTCAAAGCTTGAGGGGTCTCAGCAGGTGGGAAAAGTTATAAAAATGCCCAGGTGAGACTCATCATTGGATATGATTACATCCAGAAGTCTCCAGTGAAAGGTTATAGCATTCTCAGTCACAAAAGACCCTTTCATATCCTATGCATTACAACTGAGATAAACTCTGGGTATGTGGTAGGGTTATCAGAAGAGAGGATTGAATACACCTCTCTTTTGCACTGTAAGTTTCCTAGCTTGAAGGAGGCTTAACCAAGGGAGAACTTTAAAATTGAATGACAGTGTAAATTTTTAATGAATGATATTTCTCTGGAACTGGCATTCTGATGCTGGGAAGAAGACAACTTGTTTCAAGGCAGACATGCAAATAAGCAACAAGAAGCAACAGCTCATAGGCTCCCTGTAGGCAGTGTATGTGGGATTGCCTGCGGTTCTGGGCAGGGGAGGACTGTGAGCCATGACTAGGCCGAGTGGGAAGATGTGCCATGACCACAGGGACTTGGGAGCTGAGAGCAGAGGCACGTAAGCCAGGTACCTGTCATCTGTGGGTTAGGGAAATGGTGATAGTAGACCTGGTATTCTCTCCACACCATGAGAGCCCTTAGGAGTGAGTCTGAGATAGGGCCAAACACACAGTAGGCACTCGGTAAATTTTTGTTGAATGAGGATAATGTAAGTTGTGGGGCAAATCTACTTTCCTCATGTTCTAGAGGATTCTTTGCACATTTGAATGTGAGCTTCTGCTAAAGAAAAAAAGGCTTTGATCCCTTACTTGGCTGTAAGAATAACTACTGCCACCAATAGTATGACATGCCTGAAGGTCAAGCAGACCCCCATCAGTAGAGACCTACAACTCTCTTGAGGAGCTGTCATTGAAGGATGACTACTAACTTTCCAGCTACAATTAACCTATAAGGCTGGTGCTGCAATTTATCAGTAAGACTGGCTTATTATTTAGACAGCGTCTCTAAGAGGATGCAATCAGGATAGAAATAAGATGGAGTAGTTGAGGCACCTAAAGACCTTAAACCCTCTTCTTTTATAACCTCCATCTTTTGGAAGCTCAGAAGTCTCTCTTGAGATTTTTCTCTAATTTATGCACTGACAGACCAGTCTCCTCTGCAATGCTGGAATTACTTAAAGGGATAATTTCCCTCCCTTTAATCCATCCCCTACCCAGTCATCACATTTGTCTTCCTAAAATACTGCATTATCTGTATTTATTCTTGCTTAAGAAATATTCAGTAGCTGCTTACTGCTTACCAAATAGAATCCAAATTCTTCGGTCAATTATTCAAAGCACAACATTGATTTAAGCAAAGATTTTGAGTGGAGTCATTTCACAGAGAATGACACTCCAGCCACCATGAATGATCACCCTTTGAATGCTGATAGAATTGATGGATCCATGGTTTCCACCTGCAGTCTCTCCCTGTTCCAATATACCCACCAAAATGTCACCAGATTTACTTTGTCACAGAAACATTACTAGCTACTCATTACCTACCAAAAAAATCCCTAACGTCTTAAGTCAATGGCTGTTAACCGTGAGTGTATGTTGCAATTAACTGGTGGGTTTTGTGAACATGCCAACAATGCTCGAGTCATCTGAATTAGAAGTGATAACCAGTGAGGCCCAGGGGTCGGCATTCTTTTCAAAGCTCCCTAAGTGAGTCTAATGCATAACCAGAATCAAGAGCCACCATCTTGGATGATCTTTCAGGAGCTCTGAATAGGAAATGGCAAGGACAGAGGCGTGAGAGGTAGGATAAAAAGGAGAGAAATGAGGTAATTGAGATGTTGCTTGCAGATGCCCTGGGGATGAGAAAGCTAGTTTTTCATCTCTGAGTGCAAATGAAAAATGAGCTCTGCAACCAGCCCTTGCCAGTGACAGTTCCTGAGCCACTCTTCAGTCTTTTATATCTGGTTCTGGCAGAAGTGTAGCAGTGCAGCCTTTTGCAGGTTCCCAGTGGTGCTTTGGTAGACCGCTGTCCCCATTCTGTGCCTATATGTCCCAACCCTGCCCCTTCCTAAGGGACAGGACTCTGAGAGGCACAATTGCAAAAGTAAGGCTTTATTGGCTGATAATTTTTCCCACTGCATAAAAATGAATAGGGAGACAGAGTTTTGTCTGTTACAGCTACTTATAGGGTACTTATAGTTCTTTTCTTCCTGGAGTAGAATTAGGTGCAATTTATGTCACATAGCCTACCTGCCAGGATTTCTGTCCCAAAGTGAAACAGAGAATCTTGAGGGACATAAATGATAGTACTATGAGTGAACAGAGATAGCTGTGCCCCCTAACTCCTATTAGGAGGTATTAATGTCTAGGTTTTGCTATGAGACCTAGGGTGGGCTTTATCGAAGCACTTTATGACTGTGCTTTCGAAAATGTTTCCCTCTAGTCATCATTATGAGGTAATGTATTAGGTAATGTCTTGAAAAATAGCCAGAGGGCTGAAGTGTCAGCTTTACAGCTCACATACCTGAAAATAACAATTTTGGTTATTATTTTTACACTACAATATATTTGGAATGCCTCATAAATAGAAATTAATCGTGACAACTCTGTCTCTGGACTTAAACACAACCTTGCCAACAAAAAATGCTCGGAGAAGCCTAAGCCATGAACTTAATACTTTAGGGAAGAATTTCTCTCTTTTATCCCATCTAGGGAACATTCCCAGCATCTTTTGTCTCAGCCATAAGAGCCAACATCCGTTACCCAAGGTTCACTAAAATCCACAGATAATCTCCAATCAACATGTTTAAAGAGTTACAACCTCTGTTTCCGTCTTATCTTCTACCAGAAACTCCAATAACCGCAGAGAAAAGACTTAATATATTCAGCTCTAAAGACAAAAAGGCTGGCTTGAAAAGTGAGAGTGCTAGCAAAGAAATGACCAAATCATTTTGAAACCCCATATATATGTATATAACTCATCTCATTTTTTTTTCATTTGTTTAGCCCTGTAGGTGTGATTCAGTGCTGTTTTTGTTTTCTTTTGTTTTGTTTTTAGAATTTAATACCTTATAAATAAATGAAAAGAAAGACAACTTAGTGTCAGTGAAGTCTGGGCCAAAAAAAAAGCATTGATTTGTGAGGGTCCTATGCAGAAATCACTCCAGCAAGTATGACCTTCACATGCAAAGTTTGGTCACTACTCTGGAGTAATACTTTTCAGATTATTGAAAGAAAACCATATTAATGAATTAAATATGAACTAAGCATACACTATGTACAAAACAATATTCTATCTGTCGGCAAAATGCAAAGTAGTATCTCTACAGTCCTAGCTTCTAGGAGATTTATATATAATTGAAGAGATATATACACTGTCCTATACAATTACCTTGGACTCTCAATAAAACTGATAATTTTCTCATACTGCACTAATCAAATTATTCATTTCCATGAATGTCCTTCTGCTAGAGATTAGGGACTAGGTTATACTTGCTTTGTTGTTGTTATCTCCAGTGCCTCATAGATATTCACATGAGGTAATTAATATATGTTTGCTGAATAAATGACCACTTATAGAGAATGTGTACACTAATATATGTACATGCAAATACACATATATGCAATAAACACTTATCCACACTTAAAATTATATATATATATTCACTTACATGAAATTTGATGTATATTTGTGTGTAAGATTAGAAGAAAGGAAATAACAAATGAGGAAATAACAAATGTATTACAATATTTCCATCATGCTGGTGTTATGAAAATGGAGCTATGCCTAAATTGTCCTTTAATATCATAGTATAAGTGGTGGCCTACAAGATATATGAGTAGGAACTGGTTTGGCCTTTATTTTAACTGAATCTCGGGCATAACAATGCCCTTTAGCACATTTTTCCGGACACATTCTCCAAGAGTTTTCCAATAAAGCAGATTTCGGCATTGCTGCTTCTTAGTGAGGTCCTGAAAAAACTGCAATGAAAAGGAAGATAACTTCCTTCCAAATATGCATCTCTGTATTATATGGAAATAAACAATAAAACATGTGATATGATATTTTTATTACCTGAATTATGTATTTTGAGGTCCAAAGACTGAAAAAGATGTTCCATTTTTTTTCTTCCAACTTGCTTGGAGGCAAATGTCCTTTAAAATTTGCACATCATGAGAATGGAATGTGCTCAGAGATCAGCTGAAAGTTTTTTTTAAAAAGTGAGGGCTTTGCAGCTGTGGCTGTGTGCTTAGGCTCGGCAGGAGAGGACAGGTCCCCTTCTGGTCATCCTACGAGGAGTTTTGACAAGCTCACCAGGAAATACAGACAATGCTGTCTGTCCTGACAAAGCCCCATGTGGGCTCTAAGCCAAACAAATGCAGGTGTATTATAATAATAATATCTTTTCTAGTACAATATAATCTGTTTCCCACTAAAATCTTTTGAACTAGACAGAAAAGATAATTATCCCCAGGTTATAGACAAGAAAGCCAAACGTTAGTGAGGTTTAGTGGCTTGGAAGTTTCTACAGTAGAAAGAGGTTCAATTGGAAGTAGGACCTAGTATCAGATTCCCTATAGATGTCAAAGGATATAAATGTTTGCAGTCTTATTATTTCCTGGCTTTTTGACCCTCTGCAAGTTTCTCAAGCTCTGAGTTTGACCAGCTTCTTCAATAACATAGAATAAAAGTCTCTCACATGGTTACTCTAAGGGTGAAATAACATATGAAAATAGTTTTATCAACAGCAAAGT
The DNA here is from genome assembly GCF_000001405.40 of Homo sapiens. Lineage (NCBI taxonomy): Eukaryota > Metazoa > Chordata > Mammalia > Primates > Hominidae > Homo > Homo sapiens. The sequence goes on from NC_000002.12 coordinate 150,620,669, forward strand.
AGTATTCAGAGTTCATGTCTCCTTAATCTTTTATTCCTCTCCAAACAGAAACTATAGTTTCCCAGAAGCATACACTTACAACAACACAGATACACAATTCTTTATATACAATTCTGAAATCCCCAAGAATCTAAATCCAAAAGTATTTGTAACTCATTTAGAGGCAAAATCTTCTCTGAACTGACAGGCCTATGTATTACCTTGTTTTTCTTTATTTAGTATGAATATTCATTTGTTTCACAGCAGAAATATCAATGTAATTGCAAGGTCATGAGTTGCTGACTCATACCTGTAGGAGGTATTCTGCAATAATTGCTAACATAACATTTTATCTTTATTGGGATTACCAAACATCCTGTATCCCAATAAATATCTTGTCTTAGGGATTTTGGAGACTTGTAACATGAGGCTTGTGACATAGAATCCGATTGACCCAGCTTCGAGATCATCTGACGATGCGATGCTGCAGTTCTAGGTGAAGATTGTTTGGTTCTCACAGGCTGAGTGGTTCTGGGGTCAGCCATAGGTTGGGTCTACTCCAAAGCAGACTCGGGACAGCCTTGGAGATGCCAAACACTTCCCGTCCTGAGCTTAACCTTGATTCCTGTGGCCCTTAGAATGATTATTCTTACAGCAACACACCCAAGTGCTAGAACCAGTAGCCACGTTAAAAAATGGATGAGCACTGGCCAATTCGATCTGAGTTTGAATCCCTGACCTATCACTTACCAGTTCTGTACCCTTGACAGGTTTATCAAGTTTTTTAAACTTCAGCTTCTCATCCTTAAAGTGGGAATTTTAATAGCGTTTTTGAGGGCTGTGTAAGTTTTAAATGGCACAGCATATGTAAAAGGGCTTTCTGTGGTGACTTATTCCTACTAAATGTTCAGTAAAAGTCAGATTATTTTCCCCTTTCATTTGTTGGCATTTCCGTACTATTTCCATCAACAGAAATCTCTACCATAAGGCTATTTGTGAAGATTTTCTTCAAATAACTGATTTATTGTGGTGGTGGTTGTTAATTAAAATAACTGATGATTGTTATTGTTTTTTTATTTCTGAATCTCAGTCTGGATCTGTGCCATCTTAAAGTCCAGAAAGTTGAATTGGTTTAATTCCAATAGTATTCTGCCAAGATTTTTTTTAAGAAAACAAACTCTGTTAATAATGTATGAGGTTTATAATGCACATGTATCACAGTTTACAGGAAACAGAGAAAAATACCCCTAAGTGGTAAAGTGTGTTTATTGTAGGTCAACTAATCACATTTCTTAAACCTGGAATATATGAAATTTGATGCTTGGCTGTAGTCTGTGAAGAACTGCTGGGCATGGACTGTACCTTGGCTGTGATTCATTCTGATCTTATGAAGGCTGGAGCTCATGACTATAGAGTATGAGGCTGGCATGACTAATTCCCTTATAATTATCAAAAGGTCTTGAGTCAAAAAGTTATCTCCCGAGTTTGATCACAAGTCGTAAATGCACAAGGAGAGATTCCCTCCAGTGTTCAAGTTTCTCTCTGCTGCTGACTTGGGCGGCATGGGAGCCCCTTCTTAGGCCACCAGAGAGCCTCACGGTGAGGTGCTGGATGATACTCTCAGACCCTTCTCCTCAAGTAAAGGAGGACATGCTACACAAGGAAGGATTGCAAGTTTATGGAGGTGGCTTTATAGGTCAGTGGGGAAAGGAAGGACAATTTAATAAACAGTCATAGGACAGATAGACATTATAAAATAAAATAAGCCTCCCTAATTTGGATCTGAGGAAATCAATGCCAGGTGATGTGAAGACTTGAACAGAAAAAAATTTATAAGAAAATACGATATGACTTTAGGAGAGTGATACAATTTAGACGTTTGCTCCTTTTGAGTCTCATGGTGAAATGTAATCCCCAGTGTTGGAGGTAGGGCCTGGTGGGAGATGCCTGGTCATGGGGGCAGATCCCTCATGAATGGGGGTTGGTGCTGTCTTCGCACAAATTAGAGTTCTCTCTCTAATTTCACATGAGATCTGGTTGTTGAAGTGTGTGGCACCTCTCCCCTCACTCTCGCTCCCTCTCACCATGTGACATGCCTGCTCCTGCTTCACTTTCTGCCATAAAAGTTTCCTGAGGCCTCACCAGAAGCTAAGCAGATGCTGTGCCATGCTTCCTGTACAGCCTGCAGAACCATGAGCCAATTATACCTCTCCTTTATAAATTACCCAGGCTTACATAATGCTTTATAGCAATGCAGAAACAGCCTAATACAGATAGGGAAGGAGTCTTTAAAAAGACAAAAATGCACAAATCATGAAAAGAAAATGTGGCCAAATTTTACTAAATGAAAGTTAAAACTTCTGTAGAACAAAAGGTACCAAAAGTTACCATAACACTATTTTTATAAAAGTTGGAAATGTGCAAAATAAGTCTATATATTATTTTTTATATTATGTATATAACATGTATGTATGTGGGATGTGTGTATATATGTATGTATATATAAATATATATATAAACAGCATAAAATACGCTTAAGAAAAACATGCATTAAAATTCAGAAATTACTGGAGTTACCTCCAAAAACACAGTGAAGGAAATGAGAGAAGAGAGTGATACATAGGGGGCTTCAACTGTATCTGTAACATTTTATTTCTTTAAAATTTTCTTTCTTGGCTGGGCACAGTGGCTTATGCCTGTAATCCCAGCACTTTGGGAGGCCGAGGTGTGTGGATCACCTGAGGTTGGGAGTTCGAGACCAGCCTCACCAACATGGAGAAACCTTGTCTCTACTAAAAATACAAAATTAGCTGGGTGTGGTGGTGCATGCCTGTAATCCCAGCTACTTGGGAGGGTGAGGCAGGAGAATCGTTTGAACCCAGGAGGCAGAGGTTGCAGCCAGCCAAGATCGTGCCACCGCACTCCAGCCTGGGCGACAGAACTAGATTCCATCAAAAAAAAAAAAAAAAATCTTTCTTTAAAAAATGACACACATATGGCAGATGTCTTAGTATCAAAAATATGCACAGTGGATACACAGGTGTTTGTTATTTTAGTAATTCTTCTATGCTTGAAAGATTCTATATTTAATGTAAAAAATACTATTCACTTGATAAACAATTCACTATAGGCAAACATTTGGAAGAACTAGCAAGCTTCAGAGTCCCCGGGCCTTTTGCCTTTCCTACAACATGGATCAAAGACTGCTTGCTTCTCTGTCACCTCACTTATTTTTCCTAAGTTTGACTTGAGAGAAAAAGTGAAAAGTTTTCCACCAATGGACTGCAGTTGTCCTCTGCCATCAGAGTAGCACAGTTTTCGCCTCCTTGCAGCTGTCTTGTATGGCTCTATAATATGTGTGTTGTTTCCCTTCCTGCTCCAATCCCCACATCCGGGAAGGGCTACAGTTTCCTCCTCTGGGTTCTGGGATGTGCTGAGGCATAGCAGAGCGGGTGACTGTCATTGAAACTTGGCTGCAGCTGCTGCTGCTTCTGACACTGGAGAATGTGCACTTTAGCATCATGTCCCACTCTCTGATGCTAAACAGCCCTTTTCAGTCTTTTAATAGATTCTTGGGGGAAGAGGAAGTGGAGGCTGAGGTTAGCTTTGTTCGCTTGTGTGCCTGTCTCAGTCAGATTGGCATCTGGCGCAAAGCCTACTGTTTAGTCAGATGGTATTGTTTTATGTTATACACACAGACACAGACACACACACACACACACACACACACACAGCACGAGCTCAAACCATATGTCTCTATGTCTTCAAGTTACGTTGCACTGACCAAAATCATATTTATCACACACTGAGGTATAAATTCAAAATACATGTTCTTTGGCGTCTGTAACCATGACAAGTGAGGTTCTGTTTTTTCAAGATGGCAGTGGGTTGGAGGTAATAGAGAAAACTCCCTCCAACTGATCTCTACTCTCCTTAGTGAAAAGAATGCATAGAATGTGATGAGAGGATCAGTTCAACCAATTATCCCACACAGAGAATTTTCAATCTTTCTAGGGAAGCCTCAGTAGACAATTAATGTTAATCAGAATTCCCAAATCTTTTCCACCCAGACTCCTAAAGATGGCTAGAATTCATCTAGAATTCATGTGAAACCCTGCCTTCTTATTCCATCTGGACATGGTTTTCTTCCAGCTGAAAGCTTCCCAGAGCCCCTTAAGACCTGCCTTCACTTTCTAGAGTGAGTTTAGAAACTTCAGAACTATGAAAACAGAGGTCAGCAAACTATGCCCCCATGGACCAAATCCAACCAGCTTCCTGTTTTTGTAAATAAAGTTTTACTGAAACAAAGCAATGCCCACCTGCCTTTTTTTTTGTTTTGTTTTCCAGCAAATTGTCCATGGCTATTTTCATACTACAATGGCAATGTTGAGTATTGCCAGCAGAGGACATTTTGCCCACAAAGCCCAAAATATTTACTTATGTGGCCCTTTACTAAAAACATGTGCAAGTCCCTGGGAAATAGAATCCTATGTCCTGAATGACTGATTGAATTAAACCAAGAAATAACAGGTCAAAAATATGGTCATATTCAATTCATACCAGGTTCATACCAGGGAGCAGTGAAACTAGCGGCCAAATGTCCCACCTCAATTAATTCTTATTCAAATATTACAAAATCAAAGAAGTTTTCTCCAAAAAGTAGGCCTGCCATTGATTAGAAATTATACCCTGCTGCCCTATTATCACTCTCCTCAACACAAACTATGGAGTAGCACAGGGCTTTAGTTTCTCTGTGACTCATCCTCTTTGCTCAAGCTGACATTGCTCCCCATACTTGTCACCCCACACCTGATAGCCAGGCACCAAGATGACCATAACATTGGCATAGCCAAGAGTGCCTGGGGATGTAATGACACACAGTGAATTAAATGTCCTAGAAAGGAAAACACTAACAAGCTTCCTCATGCTCTGGGTCATATATTCATCACCAGCATGTGACTACTATTGTTCCTTTTGTCTTAGAAGAAAAGTCATGCAGAGGCTGACTAGGCATAAAAGGCAGATTTTATATATATTTACTTAATAGCTCTATGAGTTCCAAAACCGCCTGAATAATTCAATCCACAGGAAAAGGACCATTCCAAAGAACTCCCAACCATGACTTACTAGAGTTAATGATGTTGGTTTCCAGAAAGTTTGTAACTCCTGATATTATATGCATAATAATATATTTGGTGAAGTTAGTTACCCTAAGAAAATCTGCTCTGGGTACTTTTTTTTAGAGCTGTCTGCTTTGTGGTGACTGGACTGAGAGCCAAGAGACTGAAAACCATGTGACTCAGGGCAAATCACTCAACCTCCCGGTTTTGACTGGACTCTAGAAATGAGGAGTTTAGACAAATAACAAGAAAATCACCCTCCTAGCTTACAAAGCACTTTTCTAAATGTTATCGTATGATTTTTAGATGAGTTGTATATCTCCAACATACATAAATGCCACTGAAAATGCTGAAACCAGCTTGGCAATTCTTCAATAGTCTAGAAAAAGCAGGTCAAAGTGTGCAGTAGTTTGAATGTCCCCTCCAAAACTCATGTTGAAATGTAATTGCCATTGTGATGGTATTATGAGGCAGAACCTTTAAGAGGTGATTAGGTCATGAGAGCTTCAACTTTCTGAAAGCATTAGCGCCCTTATCATGAGAGTGGGTTAGTTATCACGGGGGTGGGCTCAGGATAAAAGGATGAACTTGGCTTGATTTCCTCTGTGTTTCGTGTGTTGGCTGTGTGATGCGTTCTGTCATGTTATGACACAGGAAGAAGACCCTCACCAGATGTGACCCTTCAGTCTTGGACTTCCCAGGCTCCAGAACCATGAGACAAATATCTCTGTTTTTTTTTGTTTTGTTTTGTCTTTGTTTTTGTTTTTTTGTAAATTCTCCTCTGTGGTATTCTGTTATAGCAGCACAAACAGACTAAGACAAATTGTGATTCTCATTTTTCCACCATGACCTTCTTTATAACAAAGACATTGCTCAAGAAATAGAGTATTTTAAGGGTTTGAATTTCTTTTTCCAGTGCTCACCTATGCCCACTTCTTACCTAGTCCTCTTCAGATACTTTTTCTAGGTAACTGGCCTCAGTTGTGCCATAGGCCTAAGATTAGAACAAAGCCAAGAAACGCTAACAGGTAACATAAAAAATGCAAGCCTGTGTGCACCAGCATCACTCAACTAAAGCCTGATCTTTAGAACTAGAAAATATCCAGTGAGACATTGTGGCATTCGTGTGTCTTGGGTGTATTCCTCTCCTTCCACTAGTGATGCTCAGTTAAGTTTGTGGGGAGTGTTTTGCCAGACTGAGCTCCTTTCTTTCCCAGGCATCTGTGCTAATCCTGGTGGAGTCCTTGTGCTGAAAACCTCAGACTCTGGTCTTTGTTTTCAGAATTCCTATGCAGAGGAAATTCTCTGTTTCTGACTGTGTGTGCACAAGGGCACAGTTTTGTGGATTACAGTGTGTATTTGCAGGGGCAAGGTTTTGCAGTGTATGTATTTGTACCATGGTAAAGCAGTGGATGGAATGTGGAAGGGTTAGGACACATTTTCTTGAGGTCTTTCCAAGTTGCTAAATGTTTTCTGTAAAGCTCAAGAGTACAATCAGGCTTGGATTTCCTCTTCTGACATTCTCAGCTGGTGGCATTTGTACCTCTGGGAGTGCACTGGAGCGACTGGAACTGAATGGTTGGCATAAAAAACTTCTGGGACAATGGGTAAAGAAAGATGCATGATCTGTCTGCCCAGTAGCTGAGAGTTTGGTGTGAAAAGAAAACAAAATCAACTTCCAACTCAGTTTCTTGCCCAGTTACATTCTGCTAGTCAATCAAGTCATCCAATCACAAATGCTTAGGAATTTTAATGTGATTCTGGTGGTTTGGAAATTAAGTACACAGGCCAAACATCAGAAGGCTTGGTGGGATGCTCAGGCCTAGGTAAAAACAAGAATTAAACTAGAAAAACATTAATTGTTATAGTATCTCTTCCTGATGGGTTAGTTTATCTTATATGCCCTGAAAAAGAAAAAATGTTGCATTTGAGTAAGAAAATAAACTGAAGTGCCCATGTGTCTGACAAACATCTATTTTTAGGACATTTTTGAGGTCTTAAAAAAGAATGTTAGTAGCATGGAAAGATTTTTCAAGAACAACATTTAAGTTGACATAATTATATTGGTTTGGTAGACTATTACTTTAGGGTAATGGTTTCCTAATTTGTTAGGACCCAAGCAACACTCATCTGTTTCAACCAAAGTAGCTACCCTTTCGTTTTCTTAGTGCCTTCTGATTTTGAGGTTCTCTGTGTGATTTCATTTGAAGAAAAGTTTCCACTGCAAAAGAACTGGAAGAGCATTGGTTAGGTCATTTCTGAGAATCCTTATAGCTTCTCTAGCTGATATAATGGAATGAAAAGGGAGATAAATTATAGAGAAAACAGTGTGACAGACACTGCTAATTTTCTACCTAAATCCTCCTCCTCCCACTATTCTACCCTGATTTTTCCTTACTTGCTGAACCCCAACTTTGTTCTAATACTGGGAGCTACCATGAGTTCAGGGATGGAGACCATCTTTGACCCAAAAGTGAACCTCTATTGATCTGTATCAATCAGAGTAGTCTTAATTGCTGGCCAGTCATTGTCTCAGGCATGGACGTGTGCTCTAACTCTGAGCTATGTGGAACTAAGATCTCCTCGAAGCATCTGAAGAAGACTTTTCTAGACAGAGAAAATCCTTTCAAGGTAAAATCTGTTTTCTATGCTGGATTTCTGAACTAGGGTTAGCCACATAACTTGCAGGCCCAAGTGAAAACTTAAAATGTGAAGATCCTTATTCAAGAAGCAGAATCAAACATTTTCCTTTTATCAATGATCTCTCCTTCTTGACTTGTCATGGTGGTTTTTATTTGTGCTTTGGGTTTGGGGTACCCTCACAGACACCTAGAGCCTCGTCCTGCAACTCAGCATGTACAGCACACATTATTCTGACCCCGATCCCCTGCACTTATACTCCAACCTCTGCTGGAGGCAGAGGTGGGCAGCAGCTGTTGGGCAGTGGCTGGGAGCAAGTGGCCTAGAACTTGTCTCAGCAAGGAGGTCAGGAAGGACTGCCCATGAGTTGGGGCTCTGAACCCTTGGTACATGCTTCTTTGTTCCATCATACTTCACTTACAAAGCACACATTCTAAATAGAATTACTAAGAATTTCAATACAGTGACCACAGAGCATTAGCACCCAAGCAGGACCTGCTGAACCTGGGGCCCTATAGGAGAGCACTGATGGCCCACCCCTGATTGTGGCCCTGGTCTTCATGTCTGCATCAGCCTCAGCCATCTCAAGACCACAACAGGAACATAGCCAAGTCAGAGAAGGAAGACCAAAAGCACCAGGGCCCTTCATATTATTAAGCTGCTAAATTAACTAATCTTGGAAACTTCTAGACTCTACAATTCTTGTTGTATGAGGTAATAAACCCCTCGTTTTATAGGTCATTTTGGGGGGTTCTTTTATTAATCACAACTAAAGCATTTTAACTGATAGGAAAGACCACATATTGGTGAAAAAGGTCTACAGAGGGACCAGCAGGAGATGGTAAAGCTAAAGGAGTTTTGCTCTAATGTTCAAATCCATGTCACCTGCCCTAGAGAATGCTGTTCCTGCTTTTCCCTAGCCACTGTGCTGGGCATGAGAGGCCCCCTGTCCTCCTTGGGCCCAGAGAACAGAAAATGTCTTCACTTATACTCTACTCCCTCACATTCCTCCACTCTTGGAAGGTTTAACAAGTTCAAGAGAGAAGATATTGGCCAAATACAACACAGAGGCTAAACACAACACCTATGTTGATTGTTTGGTGCATAAGAATTGAGATGATGGAAAGAGGTCACTGTGAGCTTCAGGAATAGCTTGAGGCTAACTGATAAAACAGGTGAGATTTGTTTTGGGCCCTCCTACCTCCCTCATAATATATTCTTCTATCCTTCAGAAATCATCTACTACATAAAATTCTGGTTTCATACTTGGCCATTCCTGCTTAACGGAGCTAACAAAGAAATTTAAGGTACTATCTTACATAAAGGGTTGGCTGCCCAGTGCCTCAATTTCCTTCAAATGTTTGTGATTTCATGATTCTTCACTGCTTTATTCCTGCCCTTCCTACCTAGAAATCCTGGGAGCATGGATTTTGGGGACCTTGAGAAGTTCTAAATTTATAAAAGTCTACTCAAATTTATGGGACTAAAGGAAGACTAATAACGTCCTCTGGAAAAAGTACCTTCAGAGAAAAGTCATATGAAGAAAGGCCCTTGAAGAATGTGGGTTTGGTCACATATGTATAGGGAAGCCTTTGGTCCTAAGAGGCCGGTAGTTTTGCACACGTGAAGCTGTCTCCCTCTGGTTGAGGAATGGAATATGATCCTTAGAAGCATCTTTATCCACATTTTAAAAATGGTTAGGCACTAAGCATGCTTCCCAGATACTTCTAGAGATTAGCACAGGTGTCTATAAATTATGGTTCTTTATTCTTATAGGTTGTACTAGGTTGAAAAATATCCCCACAAAACTTATGTCATCCCATAACCTCAGAGTGTGAGCTTATTTAGAAATAAGTGTAATTAGTTAATATATAGTCATACTGGATTCAGTTGGGCCTTAAATCCAATGGCTGGTGCCCTTATGGGAAGACAGATGAAGACACACAGAAAGGAAGGTCACTTAAAGACAGAGACAGAGATTGAGTTCTGTTGCCACAAGCCAAGGAACACCAAGAGCCACCAGCAGTTGGAAGAGGCAAGAAGGGATCTTCCCTTGAAGTTTCAGAGACAGCATGGCTCTGCCAACATCTTCATTTTGGACTTCTAGCCTCTAGAACTATGAGAGAATACATTTCTGCTATTTTAAACCACCCAGTTTGTGGCAATTTGTTACAGCGGTCCTGGGAATAATACACAGGTGAAAAATAGAAGTAGACCCCTCATGGGGCACATTGACCATCATGGACTAAGAAGGCTTGAGAGCTGGCCACTGACTGGGCCCTCCGTTTCACAAGAGGACATGGAGGAGGTATTTCTTCAACACAATGCCTGCTCACTGTTGTGCATCAGAAGTTGTGTTTACCTTTCCATCTCACATGAGCCCATGAGGTAAGAAATATTGAATTGGATGCTGTCTCAAAGGTCAGCATGCCTGTCTGTCTGTGTGCAATTCACACTCCTCTGGGTTTCTCTCACTCCTACCTTTTCATCAAAAACCTTCTACCAAAGTCTGATCACAAGGTCTTCCTGTTTGAACTGGTGAGTTTTTCTGAGTGGCATCAGACAAAAAGGCTGAAAGCTGTTGGAAGCTTCCTCCATAGTAGATTAGCAGCACATGGGTGAACCAAGCTCATACATTATTCAGAAAGGAAAAATGTGGGCTTTGACTGAACTTTGAAGGAATCAGCAGCTATTCCAGAGGAGAGTGCCCTATTGTTCTGCCTCACAGAACAAAAAGAGCAAGTGGCATTCCTTACAGCATAGCTAATGGAGTACACGCAGACACTATGATGAACTGACCAGTGGACATCTTTCATGAGCTCCGAAATCCTGTGCAGAATGACCTATTGCTGATCAGAGAGAAGATGTTCACACTTTTTTTTTTTAAATTTATGTAGCGTTATAACTCATTGCTATCCAGAGGAGGAGGTTTCTGGAAGATAAAATGCTGCCATCTGTGGAGCATGTATTTATCAACAGTACCAAAGTCCCCTTGGAAGGGTTACCAGGAAGATTAGGTTGACCTTTCAATCACTGTCTGGCAGGTCTTTCCCAAAAACATGGGAAGCATTTCCTGTGTCATGAAGCAAGAAAATAAATTTTTTAAAATTTCAATTTTTAAAAAAATAAAATCCATACTACACATGTTTCTTTGATACCAGAAAAAGATTTTCCAAAATGGGAAGAAGAAACCCTGCCAAAATGTTCAAGTGAAGGCTAATAGGACCTTCAGCCAAGAGCATTTACAAGAATTCTGAATTAATTCCTGGTGAAGTATCTATTTCAAAAAAAACACATAAAATGCTGCTATTATAGTCCTCCCGAAGTCCTACTTTATCATCAATGTATCTGAGTACATCTTGAAGTCATGATTAACTCATTTAAAAGTTCACTTGTGTATGCTTATAACTCCTGTTCACAGAAGCTCAATGCATTTTTCTAGTATTCACTTACTGGAAATTTTTTCTAGCAAAATATAAGCTCATGAGAATAATCAATCCCAGAGACAGAGGAGACAAATAAAGAAAAAAAAAAGGTGTTGGAAGGTAGAGGAGATAAATGGATCTGAATAACAAATGAAATTTTCTCTCTGGTCCCAGTACTTTTCTCCCAGATGAAAGATGCTGGATGCTGGCATTGCTGACACTTCTGATGTGAGGCCAAGGAGATCAATGCAGGAGGAGACCTCTTAAACAGGGGCTTTATCAAGAATGGCCTACCACATTCATCCATTGGCCCGCTACCATCTTTGATGTCCAAGCCAGCTAGATCAAGACATGATTGTGTTTTTAACTAGCATTCAACCTTTAGGTTTTACAATAGAATTATTTCCCCAAATCTGCCATGTGCTGTTTTCTAGAGTGGATTGACAATTATTCTCTGGACTTTTTGGTAACCAAGAACTTCTAGCAACTAACCCTGGCATGACCACCAGAATCTGCAGGGCTGAGAGAAGAAAGAAAGGCAAAAGTGGATGAATGCAGCTGAAGGTAAGGATTATAGAGCTGTTATTTGATGTAGGGCAATGTTATCCAAAATATAACTTGAGGTGCGTTAAAGGCTTGGCAAATAAAATATCAAAACAAGACTGACCTTTTTTTTCAGTTTTAAATTATTGGAGAAAATACTAATAACCAATAAAAGGAAGCAAGCAATAACACTGAAAATTGCTCTTTCAATATTTGTAAAACCTGGTTCTCTGAATATAATTCTTAAGCAAGATACTATCATAGAGACAGATTAATTAGTATTAAAAAGACATCTAAAAAAACCCTATTATTTGAAAGTTAATAACCTTGTAATTAATCCAATTGCCCAGGATATTAATGAAAACAAGAAATGTTTAGTTCAGCCAATCTCAGTAACTCAATAAACTATGCTGGGATCAAACTGGTTACTTAGTGATCAGCAGTACTTACAGATTAAGAAAAGTAGGTCAGGCACGGTGGCTCATGCCGGTAATCCCAACACTTTGGGAGGCCGAGGCAGGCAGATCACAAGGTCAGGAGATGGAGACCATCCTGGCTAACACGGTGAAAACCCGTCTGTACTAAAAATACAAAAAAATTAGCTGGGCGTGGTGGCGGGCACCTGTAGTCCCAGCTACTCGGGAGGCTGAGGCAGGAGAATGGCGTGAACCCGGGAGGCGGAGCTTGCAGTGAGCCGAGGTTGCGCTCCCGCACCCTAGCCTGGGCGACCGAGCGAGACTCCGTCTCAAAAAAAAAAAAAAAGAAAAGAAAAAAAAGTAGATTACATTCAATTTATTACACCACTTTATAAAAACAGTCAGAAACACAGAGAACTCTACTTATAAATACAATTCCCACCCAATAAGATTTTTTTTAAATCCCATTATAATAAATTTGCTGAACGCAAGTTTTGTTAAACTTCGTGTTGCTTCTCTTCCTTCAGGCGATTTATTCAGCAATTAATTATATTCAGCCTTCATAGTTAGCTTTGCCTCAGGGTTATTTCCCCAACTGGATTACAGACATCTAAAATCACATCCTTTCAGATTGAAAGGACTCTTTAAAGGTCATCCATCTAATGCTTGCCCTCTACTCCCCACCCACCCAATGAAGGGAATAATTTTTATTTGGCTTTAACAATTGCTGGAGAATCTAAAATAATTATTATCTTATTGAAGATAAAGCATCTCAATATTATTGAAGGAATAAATAATATGTTTGAACTATTCAAAATATCCAGTAGCTTCTCCAATGTTGCACAGCTGTAGGGCACACCTTACCCCTGTGAGCTGGGCTACTCTTCTCTAGCTGGGTAAGCTGAGCAGAAGCAGGCTGCCTTGTTACTTAGTGGGAGATCACCCAGCACTGCCATATAACACAGGTCTTCTCTGTAAAATAGTGCCTAGAATACAAAGGCAAATCAAATATTTGAGCTATATGGAGGCTGAATATCAAATTTCCCCAACAATTGAGTTGACTTGACTAGAATTCATTCTGGAGAAAAATATCAGATCTGTTGAGACATTTTATTTTTTAAATAGCTAATTAAGATGGTAACCAATGTACTTGAAATAGTCTTATATTTTGAGCTTCCTGTAGTATAAAATTTCTACTTCTAATGCATCTATTTTCCAATTATCTTTCTATAGTATTTAAACATATGTGTTGCCAAGGTTACTGAGTAGATAATTTCTGTTGAGTAATGAAACTTTAAATATCTGGGAAGACCAACATAAAACAAATCCCAGTAAATGAATTAAGCATATATTTATTTGCCCACTATGCTAACCATTGTGAGATTCAACAAACACCGAAAAGAAAGTATTATTTTGTTTATATTTTGCTTGGCAAGTATTCCTAAATATGCGGATTAAATCGATCTTTCATCATTACACCTGATTGATTATAAGGGAAGGAAAGTGATTTGTTAGGGGAATAAATAATTATGTTGATAGTCCAAATTTTGATTTTTAAAAACTGCCATTATTTTGACATTTTTCTGGTGTTCAGATTTTAAAAGCACAATTCAATTCATATAGTACTTAAAGAAAAACAACAAAATTTTTTATAAACTTATTTAATAATACCTATAATGCTTAAACTTATTATGTAATTTGGTAATTTAAGAAATTTGTTAATATTGAGGAAAGCTACATGAATCATTCCAAGTCACCAGATTTGCCCTAATAAAGTTCTTTAGCATTTTTACACATAAAAATTATTTGCAATTCAATAATTCATCCCTTCATTCATTTCGTAGATGCTGTGGAACTCCTATCACATTCCAAGTGCTGTGTTGATATCTGGAGATATAGACAAGATCGAAGCAGATGCAGTCTTTCACATGAATATTTGAATCAGGCAGTATGTTCCCCAAATTAGCAAAGTATCTCCCAGATTTTTTCTTTGATGATATATTTGAAATCCTAATGCTGAAAGTTAAATTATCAGGGTTTTAAAACTAGAAGCAGTCATTATCAGAATTTTATATACTATTTATTTTTAAGAACGTAATTTGACTGTTTAAGTCTTATTATAATTTTAAGTGAAGTACTTTGGGCAGTCATAAATAAAGTAATGGGCAGGTATTTAGTATTCATATTGTGTGGATTCATATCCATACTCTGCCACTCAGTATCTCTGGGATTTTGATGAATGATCAAACTCTCTGAGCCTCAGTTTTCTAATCTGTAAAGCAGAAATGATAATGGTATGTAGTGATAATTAAACAATTTACTAGTTGTAAGTGCTTAGAACAGTTCCTGGAATAGAGAAAATTTGCAGAGAGATTTTTATTGTTTACAATTTAGTTAATGGAATGGCTTCAATAATACAGTAAAATTAAGATATTCAAACAAGCAGGATGCAGGTGATGGGTATTGGCCTCAGCTTTAGAGACCAGAGGTTAAATCTCAGTGCTGCCTGCCACAAAACGATCCATGTAAGTCAATAAACAATGCTTTTTAAAATATTATTATAAAGATATAGTGTGTGGATCCCTCTCAATTGTCCATTCTTCCCTGTCACAAAAATTTGCCTGCTTTTCGTTACCATGTGAGAGGCAAATGAATTGAACTAAATGGTTTCTAATGCCCTGTCCACCTCTAAAATTCTATAGAACTGTGATTTGATTCCAATGGGCCATATCAGGACTCGGCATTATTTTCATCAGTGAACCATTTCATTAGAAATTTATTTTTCCAAATGATATTAGTAAATATTGAAGGAGGCTTCTCCCACAGAGCTTCTTGTACAAATTAAAACAGGGCAGTAGAAGGTTTTCAGGTTGGTGAAGTCAACTCTGGCTTTTAGTCAACCATTCCAAAAAAACATTTTCTTTAGAATCCAAGGGCTTGCAATTGTTCTGAATAAAGCATAAAGAAGCTGTTCTGATTTATTAAATAAAAAGAGTACCAAATATATGATTTTTAAAATGTTTCAAAGTGCTTTTGTATTTATTTTTTCTACTTTGATGGTAATTTTTCAGAAGAGAGCTGCACTGGAAACCTGATATCCTAGGCTTTGCATTCATTATATGATTTACCTATAGGAGCAGATTACATGTCTTTGAGTCAACTCACTTATATGGTGCCTTTCTCTTGTGAACATTTAAATTTATTTCAAAAAGTTACTTGGGAAAAGTTAGTCCTCAAGCAGTCAAGTTATAGTTATAAAAAGAAAAATGAATTACACATCCAAACACAGTCTTGAGATTTAACAGCTTTTGTAAGCGACAGTTTTATTTCCATACATAGAGTCTTAATCATTGGCACATCCTACTCAAAACTATACATTGGGGATTAAATAATTATTTGAAACATTACCATGACATTTGCAAAAGCAAACATACTGGACTAAAAAGAAATATACTTGTGGGAAGAAAAAAATGTTCAGCTATCTTATATTGCCTTGAGATTTTCTTATTAAAGATCCTTACAATATTGTGACACATAGGGGACATGTCCAAAAACTGAAAAATGTTAGGAAATTTCAGTTTAGTAGTTTGGCTCATCTTGACTGAACATCGTGCCTGGTAAACCAAACAAATAATTGTGCAGGTGTCCATCATGAGACGAAGAGAAATAGTTAACAACAAAAGCAAATTGGTCAATTCAGTCATATACTATCAGTCTTCTATTCCTCAATTTTTTAAATAAAGCAGTGGTACAGTGAAATTCAATTATTTTGCCAACAGATATATATGGAACATCTGCTGTGTGCTTTTACCTGTTGAATATTTCATAGGTTAAGATATGTCATCTGTCTGTGGTTTTTTTTTTTTTTTTTTTTGAGACGGAGTCTCACTCTGTCGCCCAGGCTGGAGTCCAGGGACACAATCTCGGCTCACTGCAAGCTCCGCCTCCCGGGTTCACGCCATTCTCCTGCCTCAGCCTCCTGAGTAGCTGAGACTATAGGCGCCCGCCACCAGGCTTGGCTAATTTTTTGTATTTTTAGTAGAGATGGGGTTTCACCGTGTTAGCCAGGATGGTCTCGATCTCCTGACCTCGTGATCTATCTGCCTCCACCTCCCAAAGTGCTGGGATTACAGGCGTGAGCCACCGCGCCCTTAATAGAGCAGGAGAGGTCACATGTAAACACACGAAATGATTCCTCCAGCTTCCTTCCTATCACCTTAGCCCAAGGCACCATCATCTCCTCCCCAGATTTCTGCATGTCCTGTCTGTTTCTTCATTTGCCCTTTTATAATATTTCTTCTACACAGGAGTCAGTGATCATCCATTGCATTTAAAATGAAACCTATACTGTTTAGCATAGGAGGAGGAGAAGGGTGAGGAGGAAAAGGAATCATGCTATTTTCCCTATCCCATAGCTTTCAAATTTCTCCACAGTCTGACCCTATCTCTCTTACCACATCTCCTGTCACTTTTCACCTTGACCAGGCTGCAGTCTATCTTTTTCTGCAGTAATTAAGGCCGATGGGAGTAGCTGTCCTTATCTGTCTTGCTCTTTGTATCTGCATTGTCTAGAACAATGTCAGGCATGTAGGAAGCATATAATAAATATTTGTTTAAAATAATAAGGAATAAAAGAGTATTATGTACTTTCTATATATTGGTAGGCTAAATTTGCAAACTGTTTACAGACATTAAAGAACAGAATGATAATTTATATTTATTATTTACTTATGAGACGGAGTTTTGCTCTGTCACCAGGCTGGAGTGCAGTGGTGCAATCTCGGCTCACTGCAACCTCTGCCTGCTGGCTTCAAGCCATTCTCCTGCCTCAGCCTCCCAAGTAGCTGGGACTACAGTCATGCACCACCATGCCCAGCTCATTTTTGTATTTTTAGTAGAGACGGGGTTTCACCATGTTGGCCAGGATGGTCTCAATCTCCTGACCTCATGATCCGCCCGCCTAGGCCGAAAGTGCTGGGACTACAGGTGTGAGCCACCACACCTGGCCCAGAATAATCTTTTATAAAATCATAATACGTACCAAGTTCAAAAATAAAATAATTTTTAAAATAAGTGGGACAGTAAGCATAAGGTAGACCTCATGGGAGGTTAAGACTTGAGATGGGTCTAGAATAATAATCTGAATTCAATAGGTGAACAGGAGGGATGAAGTACAGCATTCTAGCACAGTACAAAACCAAACGTGAGCCAGGAGTGGGAGTAGATGTGTGAATATGTTTGGAAGAGGACATTAAGAAGGCCAAACTGACAGACCCATGGATTCAGACTAAGGAAGACTGGAAACTAAATGTGGATAAGAACAGCCAAACTATTAAAAGACTTCGGCAGATCAGCAAAGGAGATTATAATTGATTAAGTGGGAAAGCAAAATGGATTAAATGTTTTTGAGGAGATTGCCATCATAATAAAAGTAGTGCTTTAGGAAGATTCATCTTGCAGCACATGGAAGGTGGAATAAAGGAGGTAAATAACTTTAGGCCGGGATACCTGCTGGCCAATGTCAATCTTTGACAATGAGGTGATAAGGTGAGGGCCATAGTATGAAGTGACAAAGATAGTGAGAGAAAGCGGACCAAATCATAGAGGACAAAAACAACCGATGGTGTGAATTTGGGTATGCGAGAAGGGAGAAAGTTAGTCAAAGCTAATAAGACTCAATGTGTACTAGAAAACTCCCTTTCCAGCAGGAGACTGGAGACAAAGGAAGCCATATTGCTAAAGGTCAATCTTCTACACCCCAAACATAAAGGTTATCTGTGTGCCTTAATTTTCTATTTCTTTCTCAGTATTTGAACAAATTTAAAATATGTCATTCTAGAATCCTATTATTAGAATATGGCTCTTTCAAAGTCTCTCAGTGAGTTATACATCTATATTTATAGCTTTCTTATCATCAATAAATCAATCAATAAAGTGTTTCGGTAGAATTTATAGGCTGTGTGTCATGAACATCCATTAAGGTGTCTTCCAGAACACCCCTTCTCTGCCTACTCCATTCACAGAAGTAGATCTGGCTGGCAATACCTGATTGGACCTGACATGGGCACCTGTTTTAAGCTGGTCCAGTTAGAACCTGGCCTTGAGAATTTTAACCAGTAGACAGCAGGAAAAAAGGAACAGACACATGTTCCTTACAGAACTCTAGAGAAAAAAATCCATGAGTTTGGAGTAGTTTTGTCTCCATCCCTTCAAGTGCTTCATTGTTCAAGTCTTTTTTCATTTCTTTTGTCCCTTTTTATCATCTTCTGGTTTCTATTGCATACAACTCAAAGAAATTTAATTAGTACCTAGCATAAAATACTTATGGAACTTGCATCAAATGCAGATTCAGATGTTTCTAGTGGAACTGGAAATGAGAGCAGAACAAATGCAATTGTGGAGCTTGGAAAGAAAGCTTGCACATTAATAAAACCTTTTGCAAAACTCATCTAAAACAGGCGAGCAACATTTGACTCATAAACACAGGATTAGGCTTCTGTTTGTCTTTCTCTTCCCAGAAGAGTGATGTTTTTGGTAGGAGGTTTTCCTATGTTTTCCCAATTTACCATCTCCTTCATCAAAGAAATAAAAACTTTTAAATTTGGAGGGTATAAGAACAGATGAGCTGTGGTTTCATTTTAAAAAGACAGAAAGGTATAAAATCTAAATCGCCAGAAACAAAATGTAAGTTAAGACATAACAGTTTAAACGGTGATGCTAGCTTCCCCTGGTAACTGGGATTCTAACAGCACAAAAGCTTAACAGGGTTGAGACACCCACTCTCTTATAGATGGAGAGAATATGAAAACAGCAGAGCCTGTTTTTGTTAAGTGGCACCCAAGGATGTTTCTACTCGCCCAGAATAGCACTTCAGTTCATTAACTAAAATACTTTTGTATTATGGTTGATTGGTTTTGTATTCACTTTACTTTGGAATATTTTATGAGATGCTTTCAGAAGTAAGCTTAAGAAAAACTGGGCTTTTAAAATAAGAATCAACAGGGTGGGAGGCGTTGGTATATTCTTTCATTTATTCATTTATTCAAAATATTTCTTATGCTGCCAGGTATCATGCTAACAAAGTGATTTCATAGACTGTTTGTTTGTTTGATTTAAGGATTTGGTTACTGCTTACATAAATCTTGCTCCGATAGAAAGGCAAACATTAAGCAAAGAATTGTATAATAATATGATTACAAACTGTGACAAGTAAACTGAAAGTAAAAGAAACTGACAGAAATATAATTTAGTTAGGAAAGCCTCTCTGAGGAAGTCTAGATAAGTGTGAAAGAATGACTGCATCTTAGCCAAGAATTGAAGAGAAATGGGATGGGTTTGGAGTCAGGGAAAGGGCATTCTGGAAAAAGTGAAAAAACTTGTACGAAGGTTTTATGGCAGGAAAGAACTGAGTGCCTTTGAATAAATGAAAGGGGCCAGAGGGCTGGAGCTTAGTGAAGCAGGAGTAGCATACAATCAGAGGAGGCTGGAAAACGGGAAGACAAGATGACATAGGTCCTTACAGGGTAGGTTAGGGATTTGGGGTTTTATCTTGAGTGCAACAGAAAGCATGTCCTTGAAATGCTGGAAAGCCTATTCGGCCTGCTGTGTTGAGAACGGGTTGTTGCAATGAATTAATAGTAGAAGCAGGGAGAACAGTTTAAAGGTCGAGGCAGTACTCCAAGGAAAAGATGAGATGCCATCAATGGAGCAGTGATGGAGAAATGATAGCTGAGTTTTGGGATTAATGCACTTCTAATCCTCTAGATCATGCCTACTATTTGACTTGGGAAATTACTTTAAAAAGACATTTAAGGCTAGCCATATGGCATCCTTCCATCACTATTCCATCTGAGGTGTTTTTGCTTGAGTATTTTATTTTGCTTTCTTTAAAAACAAAGTTTTCTATAAAATGTTGAAAAATAAAATATGTATAGAAAAAAGAAAGTCGTTGCTACATCATTTACATGCATGTACACACACAAACATATATTTATCTAAAAAATAAAATTATATGAACTGCTTGTCACTGCTGTTTTTCACTTAGCAATATGTCAAAGATATGTTTGCTTGTTAGATTCTGCAAATCCTGTTTCCTTCTAATGGCTTATTAGTCTTCTTACTCTATGAATCAACCATAACATATTCAATATAGGCATTTAGTTTATTTTCAAATTTTTATTACTACAATAATGCTGCATTTCTATTATTACAAATTATCCTTTAGGGGACATCTTTATTTCTGAACACTTTGATAAACACTTTAGAAAATATTTCTGTAAGATTAATTACTAGGAATAGAATTGTTAAGTCAAAGGGTTTAAATACTACATAAATGTATAAGTATTGGAAAGTTGCCCTCTCAACTGTTTTGTTTGAGATTCCAGCTGCTTTAACAATACTTTCAACAATACTGGACTTTTACTAATCTGATAAGGCTAAAATTATATCTCATTGTTGATTTGTGTTTAAATGACCGCCAGAAAGGTGGAACATTATTCTGCATGTTGATAAACTACCTGTATCTTTTTGTCTGAACTTTCTGTTATACCCTACTTCCTTTTTGTGTTATATTGTTTGTCTGTTTCTTACTGTATTGTAGCAAGTCTTCAAATATTTTGGATATTAGCCTTTGATGATGACATTTGATGCACATATTTTCTTTTACACTGTTTTGTCTTTTCACATGCTCTTATAGGCTGTTTTATAGTGAAGCGGTTTTAATTTCATATTTAGGGAGTCAAATTTGTCCCCTTTATAAATATTTTGACTATGAGGTTTTATATCTAAATCTTTCCTACCTACTATGTATCATTAAGTGCTTCAAAATAAGGAGAAACATGTATAATGTGTTCACTGACCTAGAAACGATGGGCTTGAATTTCTAATAAGAAATTACACACATCAAAACATGGAGTCTGATAATATCATGAACATGCAATTAGTTATCTCTCACTGATATAATTCACTAAATACTATCTAGGTGCTAGTCAAAAAGTTTAGGTTAATTGTTACCTGATAGTCCTAAGATAACCTACTCTTAATTAATGAGAAAAATTGCTTCCACTTTTATAGGATGTTGTCAATTCTGGCCTGAGGACACAGCCTACAGTCCCTCTTTTAAAAGAATCTAGTGATAAACATTGTTTGTGACTTTTGTCTCCAGTAGCCAGTTCCTAAGCTAGTTATTACTAGGATCCCTATATACATTTAGACTAGAGACAACTGAACAAGTATTACCAAATCTGTGACAAACAAGAAGTAACTCAGCTTGATGATAAGCTATGATTAACAAAAATCATTTCAACTACCTTCATCTTGATGTATCATAACTGAATGCATTAAAAACAATACACAACATTGAACCATAATTGCATTGCAGTTCTTTGAAGTGTGATCTCTCGGGTTCCTGATTTCATGCTCCTCCATGTAAAATGCTTCTAGACGGCATAATGTATTCTTTACCACAGTTTTCCTTTTGATGATTCAGTGCAAACTATAGCAAATATATTCAAAAGATTATAGGAGCTTGTTTGATAAAGGCAATCAGGTCCTAAATGTTTTTGAAATGAAATAATCCTATTAACTTGACTCAAAAGATTTTTTTTTAAAGATAGGTTGATGAACAAGATAGAAACTTGCAAGTTCCTAAGGCCATTGGGAAAAGTATTTCCATGGTTCTCCTAGCAAGGAAAAAAGGAAGATATATGTACTCAACATCATCTTTGATAATTCCATTCTATTTGCTTCTTCAACTGTATCGTAAAGATTCCTACAATATTCCTGGGACAACAAAAAGAAGCCCTCCTAATCAAAGAATGTTGGGAAACATGGAACTAAAATAGCTAGAGTTAAGAGAGCTGTATTGCAGAAGAATCTTCAGGGCCCTTAAGATGTTGATATTCTTTGTTAATCTCTAAGAGAGAATATTGTTTGTTGCTTTCTGAAACCAGAATTTATTTTCCAAAAAATAGAAATACTTCTGAACATTGCATGGATTTTGAGAACAACAATCTTGGATAGGCTGCCCCATGGAATTCATTTGTCTTAACTACACTGACTTCATGTCTTTCCCCTAAGACTAGAAAAATATTAGGTTTTCGTTCATCTCTTCTAAGATTTAATTCATCTCTTCTAAGGTAGCATGTCAGGCCTGACATGCTACCTATGGTCTTCTTCAAGTTATCCTTTTAATTTATGCTTCTTTACCTTTTTCTTCATATGAAAATGTTTAGGATTGCTTCATACAAAAATGCCAGTATTGTCACTGTACTGGTTCAGTTGTTTATGCATATATTTTATTGCCCATTTTATTTGTATGTACTAGTAGACTTTAATTTTATGTTTCTTGTTAAACCATCAATACCTTCAGATTACTAAAACATATTCTCTATTTTCGGTGTAATTACCCTCCATCCTCCCCCAGCACACACACCGTCTAGAATGGTTCTCTGCCCAGCGTCGATCCTGGAAGATGTAGCTGCCTGACCTTATCTAAGAGTAATGTGCCGTTGCTGTGTGGGATGCATGAGTATGAGTTTACATGCATGTTTGTGGATGGTGACTGCCTCCAAGGGCAACACCTAAAGCAGGACAGAATCAATATTCAGCAGAGTCATTTCTTTGGCAGCTGAAATGAACCTGAAGGAATCTTGCTGTCACCAATACATTCTTGAACGCCTGCAACTGTAAATTCACCCACCCACCTGAACACGCTCAAGGGAAATAATTTTCTCAGCTTTGGAATGCATCCCCCTCACAGTGGGTCAGATAAAAAGCCTCGAAGCAGTAACCGATGAGTAATGAGAGACTGTGAGAGTTGAGTCCAAGTGATATTTGCGGGAACCTTCATTAGTCAGGGTGTAATGACAGGATTGAGGCTTAAGTGCTGCTCTTGAATATTCACCTTCTGCTACTTCATATATCCTTCCTCTGTCTTGTCATCAAAAGACAATAAATTCCTTTTATTTGAGGGGCTAGAGAATGGGATGCTTTGGTTCATGCAATATTCTGGTTCCTGAGTACCGTCCCAATAGTTTAATAGTTAATTCTCATTAGCAATCGTTCTGCATTTTACTGGAAGGCTTTGGAAATAGTTATCTGGATGAATCAAGGATATTCAAGGTCTTGCAATGACAGGGGCATCATCAGGAAATTTCCATGCAAAGTACTGCACATACAAAAAACAAGCTAAAACTGTTCTGACCATAACACACACCTTAGATGTTGTTGATTTGGAAACAAACCTTATTTCCATTATTTCCATTGTCCATGTCACCCACAAAAATGAACCATGAATTAATTTTTTTCTATGCCATTTAGTTGATGTTTCTTTTTCTATGCCATTTAGTTGCTTGGTAGTAAAAAAACAGAGTTTATTCTCTATTAAGCAGTTTTCTGTGACAATAATGAGCCTATCATTGCATTTTAATTTTCAATTGAAGTGTTCTCATCAAAGAAGCAGGCTGTTGTCCAAAATGAGAAATTGCTGACCCTTTCTGGGCTTCTCTCCACTGGAAGTAGGCCCCTCCAAACATGGACACAGCTCAACCCCACTTAGTTCCTCAGAGCAGATGAGGTCATATCCTGGTGCCGTGGCGCTCTGCTCTGTACAGTCCCAATAATCTGACCATTGCTTGTGTGAAAAGTAATGCTCAGAATTTTAGATTGTACAGCTAGCTAACAGAGGAGGGTACTGTCTGTGTGGGGAACACTACGTGATTCATATTTTCTTTGAAAAATTAGAGTCATATTTCTCTGGTGTGTCAACAGTGATGACTGAAAGCAGATTGCAGATTCTTTGTACTAAACTAGAGGGAAAAAGTTGAGAGAGAGAGTGCACAGGACAGCAAATGAGACTTCTCTTCAAGCAGAGAGGACTATATTCCTAGCAAATATACCTAAATCAAGTGCATAGTCCTTGGAATGTAATAGTGTAAACTCATGATGTGAGAGAGGCCATAGTAAGAGGAAAATGTGAACAGAAATAATTATTCTTGGCTAGCTAGGAACAGAAATGAACTGAGGGCATTGAGGACATCTGAATGTTTGTGTGAGGCAAGAAAACAAGGACACACATTGAGAGAACAGTCAGGAAGAGGAAGATACTGTTCCCGAAATAATTTGGTGCTGGGACTTCAGTGCTATACTAAGACTCTCTTGTCTTCTCTTTCCTTCCTCTGTTGTCATACTGCTTTGATCCCAGCAGCATCTCTTCAAAGATGCAAGACCTAGTTTATCCCCCTGCCAAACATATATTACACCTGCCAAAATCAGACGTGAGAATATGAACCCTATCTTCAAAACAGTTTCTCTATATTTGTTAAAAATACCTGATTCTACAGTCCTCCAAGGGAGGTGGGTGGTGGGTGGTAGGTGGCCGGTGGCCGTCATTCTCTAAAGAAAAGAGAAGCTTGGGGAGGATGTTGTAAGAAGGAAGGAAAGTGATCCATCCTCTTCCTCTTTAGGAAAATAGCTCTGTAGATGATCTCACATCTCACTGATTCCCATAGTGTAGGGCCCTCATGGTCACCTGATAATTCCTTCAGGCACCGAATCACGTACTTCACTCCCTTGCTGACCTTGTCTTCCTACCAGGCTTCTGGAAGCTTCAATAGATGTGTCTCCCAGTCCCCACCTCATCAGTGATTTGCCCTCAAACCAAGGCTAGGACAGAATCTAGGGGCATTCCAGGGAAACAAGATCCACTCAATCCTGCATCAAGAAGCACATGTTAGGAGAAAGAGAGATTAACTATTCCTTCTGGAGCTACACAGAATTCCAGTCATTCCAATGGAGAACTACAAGATGCATTAAGCTACTGCTGCCCCACTCCTAGACAATGTGCACTTTCTCTAAGAAGACACATCTAGCTCTCCAAAAATGGCCCAATATGTGCAATCAGAATCTCAGGGGAGAGGCTACAGAACTGAGAGAATGGATGAGGCTGATTGTAGAAGTTGCAACTAGGGTGGTGAATTTGGGGGCACTATATATAGCATTAATTTCTACGAATTGAATCAAATGCAATTTTCCATGCTGAGGCCTGTTATTTAAAAAAGAAAAAGCATGAATGGATGACTGGATGCCCCAGCGCATCAGTAGCAGAGCTGTTCTTACTGAAACCATGAAATACTCTATTAAATGAAGTTAGAGAGAATATCCAGCAAGGTTCCTCCATTGCTTTTCAGGAAGCATTACAAAATGGCAGGGGTGGGAGTCATTCCAAATTATAGACTATCAGGCTGACAGCCCTAGCATCATGGGCTCACAAAGACCTCATTGAATGTGACAGTCTGGAAATCTAGGTGGCATAATGAGGCACATAAGCAGTATTTTCAAGGGTGCTAGCAGCTATTTCATACCTCTTTTCCCCCAAAGGCATGTAAGCTTCCCAAAATCATCTGTCTATTTTCATATATTTTCTTTTTCTTCATTGTTCTTCCCCCTATATCTAATGTACTGACATACAGTGAGTTGTGCCAGATTTCAAATATATACATCCCTTCAGGAAATAAAAGATACTCAGACTTCTTGACCATTTGAATTAAAAGTGAACAACTTGCTAGAGGATATATGATCACAATAATTGTTTTCTAAAGATAGTCTCATGTAAGATTTCTGGCTTGCTTTATTCAGGAATTGTATTCTGTTTGAAATCATCAACGTTGTCTTGCATCAACATTTTAAAATTCTTTTAATTAAAATAACAAATCATCAAGGTTTATATATGACAACTACCTATGATATTTATTATTTTAGAGATGGGCAATATAGAATGAGATTGACATTATAAATAACAAGGATGGTGTGGACTGGACTGGGATTATATAATTGAGGTGTCCCAGTTTTCTGCAGAGGTTGATCTCAATTATACATGGAATGAAGTATCTGGATTTACAGTTTCCATGATGCACATTTAGGAAAACATTATAGCTTAAATGTAGAAAACTTTATGTACAGATATGCAATGTATAAGGAACAGATAAGCCGTGAAGTTAACCTTTTTATTTTATAGACAATCTTTCAAGCATATTTAACCATACAGTTTTGGTGTTCAATGAATGAGTTTCACTTGTAACATGATACTACATGAGACTGTAACTATCATTATTTTTTCCAAATAAAGCCTTTACTCATCTAAGCAACCATGGTGGAGCAACCACACAGCCATTTTCAACTACCACGAGAGCTGGTAGTTGAAACAGACCCATGCTCCATCTGGCATTCTATGTATTCCCATACTTTGTGGGGGGAAAAGCAAGACTTAGTACAATTTCGAATTTGTAGATCTGAGTCGATGATCCATTTCCTGACCTTTTCAGCAGCAAGTCCTCAGAAATATTTCAGTATTTTCAGCTATGAAATTTTCAGCTATGAATATTTCAGCCCTTTCTCATGGAGTTCTGGCTATGAGTATCTTTCTGAGAGATGTCTGATTTATTGAATTTCTTCCTCTCCTCTTTTTCTTCTTTCTCTTTTCTTCCTGTTCTGGCTCTCTCACTTTCTCTTTCATTCATGTTGGTACCAATATTCCTGAGGGTGGCAAGCAGTTCACTATGGGAGACAGTCACTAATCTCTGGCCCAGAAAAGGGGACTTCCATGAGTGTGTGTGGATAGGCAGGACAGGAGAACAAAAGAATGACAGGAAATGTTTCCTCAGAAAGTCCTGCTAACCTTTGACCCCTAGCTCAGCTTAACGGCATTGCTCTGCTCACCTGAAGTTCTAATGGAATCTGTTTTCACTACCTAAGGCACTGTCTCTGTTAAGTCTTCCTGAGTACTTCCTAGAAAAGGTCAAATGCAAACAATGATATTTTACAGGAATATTGCACCTTCTAGCCTGTCACCTGGAGTGTAAGAGACACAGTCACAATTGCAATGCACATAATGTCTCACATTAGCCATACAGGAATTATTTTAGGGATAAAATTCTTCCTCCTCCTCCTCATCATCATCATTGCTAGAACTTTACTATGCTATGTTTACTGTGTCCTTGGTAGAGTGCTAAGCACATACCCTCATAATGTTGATTTAATTCATCAACATTATGAGATAGGGAGTATCAAGCTTCCCATACTGCAGCTAGGGAAGTCAATATTCCCCGAGGTCATACAGCTAGAAAAGATGAAGGCAGAGTGCAATCCTGGCAATTTGACTCCAGATCAGCACCGTAAACCACCCACCATGATCGCAACAACAATGGACTTCTCTTTCATGCAGAACAAACATCTTGCTCACTTCCCATTTCTAATTGACTACAGCAATTGCAATTCTTGCTGAACCATTCTCAGCGTGTTTGAGTTACTTGAGGCATCTGACTGTAGGCTCTACCTATACCCTGATGCCAACTCTACTCTCATTTCTTGCTTTGCTGTTTTCTTGTAAAGCTTGTTCTTTGAGTCACCCTTTCTTCGAGTTTTGCCTGCCTCTCTGGCCCTGAGAAGTCACTTAAGTTTTGCTTTACCTGCTTTCTTCGAATGAAACCTTCTTTCTTGTAGCTCTTTTGTCTCTGCTTGCCCTCTCCTTCACCTCAGTCCTCCCTTTCTTTCCCTTTTAACCAGCCCAAGGCTTCCTCCACAGGAACATTAAAGGCTGGGAAAACATTTTACAAATTATAGAATATTGGAAGAATGTTAATTATTCATAAGAATTAAAATACCATTATTCTGTAAAGCAATCTAGTGTGGAGTGAAATGAGCATGTATATTGCCATCAACCTGAACTAACTTTAAATTCTGGTATCACCACTGCCTCGATGCTTGTACTAGTGTGTATATAACCCAAGGATGTGAGTCAAGCTTTCTGAGCATCAGTTTTTTTTATGTTTAAAAGAAGGATAATAATGCTTACTTTACAACATGGTTGTGTTAGATTAGGCATCTGATGTTAGTAATAACCAATGTTTAGTAGTGCAACTAAGAGTCTGGCACTGTGCTATGGACTGAATTGTGTCCCCTCTCCCCAACACCAAATTCATCTGTTGAAGCCCTAAACTCCCATGTAACTGTATTTGGAGATAAGGCCTTTGAAGAGATAATGAAGGTCAAATGAGGTCATGAGGGTAAAGTCCTGATCTGATAGGATTAGTGTCCTCATAAGAAGAGAGCTGTGTCTGTCTCTTTCTCTCTCTCACACACACACACACACACACACACACACACACACACACAGAGAGAGAGAGAGAGAGAGAGACAGAGAGAGAGAAGAAAGAGGCCATGAGAAGATACAGGGAGAAGTCAGCCATCAGCAAGCCAGTTCTGGAGGCTAGGAAGTCCAAGGTCAAAGGACTTCTGGAAACAATTCAGTTTCCAGAGCCCTTACTGGATATTGAATTGGCCAGCACTTTGATCTTGGATTTCCCAGCCTCCAGAACTGTAAGAAAATAAATTTCTGTTGTTTAAACCACCTAGTCTATGGTATTTTGCTATGGCAGTGTGAGCAGATTAATGCAACCCTTAAGTGTGTTACTTTCTATACGGATAGAAGGTAGGACCTGTAATTATTTTTACTTACAGAAGAGAACATTGAACTTCAGAGTGACTAAATAACATATTTAAAGTCCCATGCAGTGGCACACCTGGGACTCAAGCTTAGAGCTGTCCAGCTCCAAATAAGGTTCTTTATCACTATGTCCCTTTGCATCCTTTAGCAATAAAATACACAAGTGGCCTGAGCAGTTCTGAGAAGATGTCACCTTTCCCCATAATATTTGGTCCAGATGTGTCCACTGGCCTTTTATCAGAATCAGGGCTGGCCGGGTACAGTGTCTCAGGCCTGTAATCCCAGCACTTTGGGAGGCCGAGGTGGGTGGATCACAAGGTCAGGAGTTTGAGACCAGCCTGACCGACATGGTGAAACCCCATCTCTATTAAAAATACAAAAATTAGCTGGGCGTGGTGGCGTGCACCTGTAGTCCCAGCTACTTGGGAGGCTGAGACAGGTGAATCGCTTGAACCCAGGAGGCAGAAGTTGCAGTGAGCTGAGATCGTGCCACTGCACTCCAGCCTGGCAACAGAGTGAGATTTCATCTCAAAACAAAACAAAACAAAACAAAACAAAAACAGAATTAGGGTTGTCATTTAACCAATGCAACCTCAAGCCTTCCCATAAGAAATCCTTACCTCTTCTTGAGTTCTCTATCCAAATGTTAGGTGTGCTGAAAGTATTCATTGAGATTATAAGAAATGTTGTTTTTTACTTAAGAATACTTTAAGAGATATTCATAACAAGTAAAATTGCTAATGGTTTCTCTAAATGTTTACAAGGTTTTCCTAGGAAATGTGTGGCAAAAATATTATTTACTACTATTATTTTTTGACATAGTTTTTTTTCCAGCTATAATTTTATACTGTGGCTAATTAATCTGCCAACTAGTGATTTATAATGTAATTTAACTGAATGTCAGACATTGTTCAGATTGGCTGGTACTCTTTAAAAGAACTGTTCTCATCAGATAACTCAGAGCACCAGCTCTCAATCAATATTGCACAGTACACATAATTTTTAAAAAGAAAATAACATCACATCTATATTATAAATAAAGAAAATAAATTTACAATAATATAGTATTTCAATGTGGTTTAAATAGAAAATAAAATGAAACAGATATTTTCTTCTCTATGTAGAATTTGAATTTAACAGGCACAGATTGCTAAATAGAAGGTCAAGTATCATAGGAAGATTACCATCAATGACGAAATTTTCTAAAATGGTAAAAAGCTCTTAATAAAGTTCCAGAATAAAACAAACAAACAAATAAACAAACAAAAAACAGTAAAACTATAAAATAGTTCATTCCTTAATAAGGAGATAGGGATAAATTTGCTCCTATCCTCTGCTCAGGTTCCCTCTCTGCGGAAGCTGGTCTGAAGTTTTTGCTTTGTTTGTTTTTGTTTTTTTGAGACGGGGTCTCACTCTGTCACCCAGGCTGGAGTGCAGTAGTGCGATCTCAGCTCATTGCAAGCTCCGTCTCCTGTGTTCACACCATTCGCCTGCCTCAGCCTCCCAAGTAGCTGGGGCTACAGGCGCCCACCACCATGCCCAGCTAATTTTTTGCATTTTTAGTACAGAAGGGGTTTCATCTTGTTAGCCAGGATGGTCTCGATCTCCTGACCTCGTGATCTGCCCAGCTTGCCCTCCCAAAGTGCTGGGATTACAGGCATGATCCACTGCACCCAGACTGCTTTTTTTTTTTTTTTTTTTCCACCCAGGCTGGAGTGTAGAGGTGCACTGCAACCTCCCACTCCCAGACTCAAGTGATCTTCTCACCTCAGCTTCCCAAATAACTGGGACCACAGATGTGCACCACCATGCCCAGCTAATATATTTTTGGTAGAGATGGGGCTTTGCCATGTTGGCCAGCCTGGTCTCAAACTCCTGAGCTCAAGTGATCCACCTGCCTCAGCCTCCCAAAGTGCTGGGATTACAGGTGTGAGCCACTATGCCTAGCTAGTCTGAAGTTCTTATTGCGATGAGAGTTGAAGACATAGATATAAGAGCAAAGCCAGGCAGGCAATTTCATCTAGGGAAATATCAGGGGAAAAGTGGACTGTTCTACTGGGATCATGAACCAATAACCAACTAATCAAGAGATTTCTGGAATTGCTGCTGTTGTTTTGGAAGTTCTAGCCATCCACAGGACCCAGAATTGTCCCCAAAGATGTAAAGCCAGAGAAGACAACTACTTGAAGGTGGTGCGACACTGCACCTGGGACGTGGACACCTAATTGCCTGTGGGCCACTAGAACTATTATTTCCCAGCTGGCTGTGCAGGTTTACTCTGCTCATTTCATCAGTTTGTGATAATATCACCTGACATTTTATCCACTGTTGGATTTTTTTGTCAGAATTTTATGGATAATCTTCTTTTGACTTACATTTCAGTTTTCATTTCTGGAAAATTTAAAAAATATTAAAACCACGCAAAATTTTGTGTATATATGTCAGTTTGAGTTACATTCTAAGTTTAGATAATTTTTGTCTATTTCTGACATGAATATCTGGTAGTAATCTCAAAAACTCTGTGGGACCCAGAACAAGTCCTTCTTGCGTGAGATTGTCCCCACGCATTGCTGGATATGTAGTATCTCTGGCTACTACCCTCTAACTTCCAGCATCTCCCTACTCTTCCACTCCCAACCCCTCATGTTGCCCCTATTAATTAAAATTCTCCCTAAAATGCAATCTGTCTTTCTTTAAGAGTCACTAATAGAGGTTGAAACATGGGATTTGGAGTTAAGAAGATGTGGATTCTAATTTTAATTTGCATGTAGGGGAAATTATTCAAAATTAAGACTGGCTTGGAGTTCAATCCTATACTGAATTCTTAGAAAGTTCCTTGAAACACTTGAACCAAATATAAAGCCTCTCTTACCTAGAAATTGAATAACTTTTTTCATTTAGTGAATGTTATGACTATCTATTATATCCTAGGGTTTTCAACAGACAATGGCAAAGGTGGAGGTAAATAAAATATGACAAAATATATCTTTGCCAATGGGAAGGAGCTGGAATCATAAAATAATTCAGGATACCCAGTTAAATTTGAACTTAGATAATCAATTAATAGTTTTTTTTTAAAAGTAAAACTATGACCCATGCATTGGGACATATTTGAATTTTATGGGAACTATCAATGCATGGGAATATTTATAATGAAAAATATTTGTTTATCTGGAATTCAAATTTAACTGGGTGTTCTGCACCTTGCCTGGTAAATCCATGTTAATTACTGGTGTGAGCAGACCAATATATTAGCATGAACCCTCTCTTTGTCCATGATAAGTTGAAATACTTTGAAAGAATTTAACCATTAACATATCCACAATTTTTTTGTTTTGTTTTGTTTTTGCTTTTTGAGACGGAGTCTCACTCTGTCGCCCAGGCTGGAGTGCAGTGGCGCTATCTCAGCTCACTGCAATCTCCGCCTCCCGGGTTCACGTCATTCTCCTGCCTCAGCCTCCTGAGTAGCTGGGACTACAGGCGCCCACCACCAGGCCCGGCTAATTTTTTGTATTTTTAGTAGAGACGGGGTTTCACCGTGTTAGCCAGGATGGTCTCGATCTCCTGACCTTGTGATTTGCCCGCCTCAGCCTCCCAAAGTGCTGGGATTACAGGCGTGAGCCACCGCACCCGGCCTAACATATCCACAAATTTTGAAGCCCAATATACCTTCATATGTAGATGAATGATTATATTTAAGAAATCATCCATCAAAAAATAAGTCAGCTCTCCAGGCAATTGGTAGAAAAACAAGATTTCTACTTCTAAGAAAATATGTAATTTTATAAAGACACTAATTGTAAAGAATTTAAACTCTGTTTCTGAATCTGGGGACCCAAGGCTAGGCTTCATCATTCCTCTGAAATAGTAGGTAATATTGTATGTATCTCCACACTTTTCCAAGGAAGAGGATCATTGCATTTGTCAGATTCTGAGAAATTTTTAAAACACAAAACTTACTAAGAATAACTTGACTCAAAACAAAGTTCACACTTCAGGATTGATAGAAATGTTTTGTATCTTGATTGTGGTGGTGGTTACATGTATGTATTTATGTACCAAAAGTCATAGGACCATACCCAAAACTGGTGAATTTTAATCATATCTCAATTAACTTAACAAAAATTTAAAAAAATTTATATTAAAAAATCAAAGTTCAAAACAACTCAGAGAATAAACCAAGTACTACTTATTATTTTTCCCAAACATATATTTTGCAAGAATTTCACTCCCTCTGTTGAAATTCTTCATTCCAGAGAGAGGTCACTTAAGTAATATAACTCCTTGGGAGAACCAGATAACATCATTCAATATGTTCAAAAAGGAGCAGTATTTCCAATACAATTAAAGCATTTTCTCTCCAGATTTCCTTTTCTTATCTCTATGCGAAGTGAAATAAATTAGAAAGACAACAGAAACTGATGGACAATTTTATTTTTTAATCATTATGCCACATATGCCCTCTAAAGTGGCTTTACTTCTGTCCCCAAATATGTTTTTCTTGCCTTGCTAGGAGCAGCATCACTATTGATTTAATCAGCATGATGCCTGGCCTGCCAGGGAGTTATGCTCTTAGACTAATTGCCATTCACTCCTTGCCATGGTCTGAATGTTTGTGTCCCCTCAAAATTCATATATTAAAATCTTAACCACCAAGGGAATGGATTAGGAGGTAGGCTCTTTGGGAGGTGATTAGGCCATGAGGGTGGAACCCTCATGAATAGGATTAGTGCCCTTATAAAAGAGACTCCTCTCTCCTTCCATCAAGTGAGGACAAGTGAGGACACAGCAAAAGGCACCATCTTTGTATGAGAAAACAGGCCCTCGCCAGACACTGAATCTGCCAGTGCCTTGACCTTGGGTCCTCCAGCCTTCAGAATGTTGAAAAACAAATTTTTGTTGTTCATATGCTACCCGGTCTATGATATTTTGTTATAGTGCTCCAATGGACTAAGCCACTCTTATATACTCCAATAATAAAAATTATCTCTAGTAAAAATCCTATTGTCCTAGTCACCTTTTATTAATTTTATTCATCTGAAAAATGGAACTAATATTGCCTGTTTGCAAGTTACTGTGCTAATTAATTTAAAAGGGCTTTATAAATTCTAAGGAACTCTATCAACTGAAAGTGCGGAAGCTAAAAGGCAAGAATAAGTCAGATGCCTAATAATCATAAAAAAGAACAAACCTTCACTACATATGAATCACCGTATACATTATCTCATTTGATCTTCAGACAACTCTGCTGCATCATTGTTATTATTATTCCCAATAGAAAAATACAAAAAAAGTAGATTGATTATACCCAGATCATGTTCTTTGGTAAAGACAATGAGGTAAATCCATTTCTGACACGTCCACTCTAAAGAGGGTAGTGGGAATAGCTGAGAGGGCAAGATCTACAACACATTCTGCCCTTTATGCATTTGCACTCTGACTTTTACAAGACATCTCATCAAAGGCATGTGTTCAGATACTAGTATTCATCATACAAAGAATTTGGGTTCTCTTTCTCGCTATCTCTCTGCACACATGCACACACACTTGTACACACACATATATAATGCACATATATCTCATATATTGTATATATGTTTTATATATATATATATGTAGGCACTGCTACATAAAGTTTTAGCTTCATTTTACTTCTAGGAAAGCTGTGAAAATTCTTCAAAAAAAATTGCATAAGTGAAAATGACAAATAGAAAAATAACATAGTTCACATCTGAAAATCAAATTAATGCCTTTTTATTAATATTTATATTATGTGATACTGGGAAACCATTACTTTGTTTTGATCATCTGAATTATGTCTGTCTGAAACAAGTTCGTATGTTAAAACATTCTTTGGTGAATAGATAAATTCCTCAGGGTCTTCTGGCATTTGCAGCTCTGGAAAAAAATCATTCTGTGCTGAGAATCGTTACTTAGTATTTATATGTTCCTTTTTCTCACATTTGCAAAATATAATTTATGATCGCTTTCTAAGATAAAGAAGAGTTAATTGCATATTGACAAGGTGTCTTCAAGAGAGGTCCTGAATTCCTCAGTTCTTTCTCAATCATAATCACCATCTACTTCTGATAACTGCAAAATAGCTGTTTATTGTAGTCCTTATATTTTACATTTTTCATTATCATTCACTGTGACAAGAAAAAATAAGTAGTATCACTTTGCGTAGGGTTTTGGGGCTTATGTGGGGTGGAGAGAGAGATATCTTAGTCATAGAGTTCACATAACCCTTTTGGGAAGACAGATTTTCCACATTCATGATCAATGATAATCCAGGTAATCAATTAACCTGCAGGAACTAAAGGACATCAGTGTTCATGGGGGCCAGAGGATAGTTAGGCATTGATACTTGAGTAATAACAGAGAAGATATTTAACACTTACTATGTTCCAAACACTTTATGTGTACTTTCTTACTTAGTCCTCATTATAGTCTACTAGAAAGGACTCCTTTTTTTACAGATAAGCAAACTGAGGCACAGAAAGGTTAAGAAACTTGCTCAAGATCACCTAGTCAGTAAGTTGGAATTTAAACCCACCAAGCAATCTAACTCCAAAATCTCTACTTATAGTTCTCAAATAGTCAGTATATATCAGAATAACACAATTTCTATTACATAGTCAAGGAATAACTCTTCATGTCCTGTATTGGATGCAGTTCTCAGTCTTCTGAAATGATTATATTGCAAAATTACAAGTTCTGATTAGCTTCAAAGAGAGTGAATGATGTAAAACATTCAGGAAAAATCAGTATCAGGTGACATGAATTGAGGTTCATGAGTTTTGACAGTCAACACAAGATCATATGTGAGGCGTTATCTTACGGGAATGTATGTATCAGCCTCCTGGCCCCTGACCATGCTGTATGTTTTCCATTTTGCTCACTTCATTTTAGATTGGCTTGTTTTATTAGGGGAGATGCCTGAGTATGTAATCAATGACATGAAAACAGAATTGGCAGCTGTCTGGGAGATTACAGATGTTCATATGTGGCCTGTGCACATGCCTACAGACACACAGACCCCAACTGCAAAATCATCAAAACACTATATACTGCCTAGAAAGCCAAATAATGGTATCACCTCTAAAGTGACAGTGAGCTGGAGGCCAATTTACATTTAGCTGCATTGGGTTAGAATGTTGATGGAGTGATTCATGTAAGAAAACCATCCAGGGTCCCAACACCATTCAAAATGCTTATTTTAATACTGATTTTTCTGGCAAAATGCTGTTTTAAGATGACAAGAAGAAAAAAGTCACACAAATTCAGACATAGCAGAATTGGCATGAAAACAAATCTTTTAAGTATTTTAGAAAACTTATTAAAGAAGATAAATTTTAAATTATGACTTAAGGTCAGTAAATCAAGGCTTTCTTTCCTAGAGAAGGTAAAGAACAACATTTCATCTTTTGTATATGTGGAAGCACTTTTGAGGTGTGTGTGGGTGTAACATGCATGCATGTGTATAAGTAAATCCTCCAAGAGGCGAGGAATAAACCTGTTGACCAACTCAGGGTAGCTATGGCATAAATATCAGAAAACTAAAGCTGATCTGATCAATAATTATCTGAAATAAAAAGAGTACATTTTACACTAACTTTTGCAATACAACCATGCTCCCTGAAACAAAGAACTTGTTTATAAATTCAACTTGGACACAATCCAAGGGAGTTTAGTTGTAGAAGTTAAAAAATAGGTAAATTATGAATTGGTTTGGTCTCCAAGTAAGTCTTATGGCATTATGATAAAAATGACAATG
Organism: Homo sapiens; assembly: GCF_000001405.40. Classification (NCBI taxonomy): domain Eukaryota; kingdom Metazoa; phylum Chordata; class Mammalia; order Primates; family Hominidae; genus Homo; species Homo sapiens. The sequence goes on from NC_000002.12 coordinate 150,657,070, forward strand.
CTGCTATAGTGAAATTTTGCACTTGAGGATGATACTGCTGTCATTTTAATGTGTGGAGATGGCTGAAAAGATGTTCCACAGTGCATACACACTTGATTCAAATTCCAAATTCTACCTATTATACCATGAAGTCTAGATGGTTCAGGCTATCATTTTTCCCTTGTACCTCCTACCTGATCTCACCTGACAATGAGCTCTGAAATTCCACGGGGTCTGACCCAGACCCATAAAGGAAAGTTCAAGGTTACTGCTATTTCCAATGCCAAGAAAATCCCCAGAGTAGGGCAGCCTAACACCCCTACCAGGCCCATGCCTCTAGATCACATCCCTTCAATCCATCTTTTATACTGGCTGCCAAAATGATAGTCCAAATATGAAAATCTAACATGAAACCTTGGTTTAAAGCCCTTAAAATGCTTCCCTAGTGCCTACAGGAGTAAATTGTAAATTCCTTTACTTGGCAAAGAACTTCAGGATCTGGCCACTGCCTAGAAGTCAAGTCTCATCTGTCATTTCTGGATTGCTGTTTGCAAACTGGCAATCTTGAACTACTTAGAGTTCTCTGAATGTTCCAGTCTCTCTGTTGGCACCCTGTCTTACACAGGCTCTTCCTGGAACAGCCTCCCAGCTTGGGTGCCTGACAACCTCATTCATTCTTCAAGCTTCTGTTCAAATGCTACCTCTTCTGAGAAGGCAATGCTTCCAGAGGTCTTGTTGGGTGAGTTCCCTGTGCTCTGCTCTCCAGTGGTCTTGTTGGGTGAGTTCCCTGTGTTCAGGGAAAGCTGATAGAGTTTGGATGTTTGTCCCTTCCAAATCTCATGTTAAAATGTGATCCCCAATTTTAAAGGTGGAGCCTAGAAGGAGGTGTTTGTTTCATGGGGGTGGATCCCTCATGTATGGCTTGGTGCTATCTTCAAGGTAATGAATTACCTCAAAGTATATTAGTTACTATGATATCAGATTGTTAAAAATAGTCTGGCACTGCCCCCGACCCTCTTGCTCCCTCTCCCACCATATGACATGCCAGCCATCTTACCTTCTGCCATAAGTAAAAGCTTCCTGAGGCCTCATCACAAGCTTAGCAGATGTCAGTGCCATGTTCCTTGTACGCCCTACAGAACTATGAGCCAAATAAACCTCTTTTCTTTATAAATTACCAAGCTTCAGGTATTTCTTTATAGCAATGCAAAATGGACTACTACAATAATCAACTAGAAAGAGCTTTTTATGAATGACTGACAGAACCATCCTAACTACTTAAAATACATTTTTCTGTGGTGGAGGTTTTCAAGACTATTATTCATTCTTTCAGTCTGTCCAGAGTCACCCAATAAAGTTACCAACAACTGATGACCAAAATCAACCTATGAATGCTCATTCTCCAAGTGATTGCTCTCTCTAGTACCTTGGTAAAGAATATGAGGCAGTATAGTCCAGCAATGAAGAATAAAGACTTAGGGGGACTGTCTTAGTTCATTTGTGTTACTATAAGGGAATACTGGAGGCTAAATAATTTGTAAAGAACAAAGGTTTATTTGACTCATGATTCTACTGGTTGAAAGACTGAGCATCTGGTAAAAGCCTCAGGCTGCTTCCATTCATGGCAGAAGGCGAAAGGGAGTCGTGTGTGCAGAGATCACATGGTGAGAGAGGAAGCAAGAGAGTGAGAGGGGAGGTGCCAGGCTCTTTTTAACAATCAGATCTCAAAGGAACCAACAGAGCAGGAGCTCACTCACTACCCCCCAGGGAGGGCATTAATCTATTCATAACATATTAGGCATCTCCCATTAGGCACCACCTCCAACACTGAGAATCATGTGAAATTTGGAGAGAACAAACATCCAAATTATAGCATTCTATCCCTAGTCCCACAAATCTCATGTTCTTCTTATTACAAAATACAATCATTCTTTTTTTTTTTTTTTTTCATTTTTTTGAGATGGAGTCTTGCTCTGTCACTCAGGCTGGAGTGCAGTGGTGTGATCTGTGCTCACAGCAACCTCTACCTCCTGGGTTCACACCATTCTCCCGCCTCAGCCTCCCGAGTAGCTGGGATTACAGGCGCCTGCCACCACGCCCGGCTAATTTTTTGTATTTTTAGTAGAGACGGGGTTTCACCGTGTTAGCCAGGATGGTCCAAATCTCCTGACTTCATGATCCACCTGCCTCGGCCTCCCAAAGTGCTCGGATTATAGGCGTGAGCCACCGAGCCCAGCCAATCATCCTTTTTTAATAGTCCTCAAGACCATGTCTATGGCTCATGCCTGTAATCCCATCACTTTGGGAGGCCGAAGTGGGCAGATCACTTGAGGCCAGGAGTTTGAAACCAGACTGGCCAACATGGTGAAACCCCATCTCAACTAAAAATACAAAAATTAGCCAGGCATGGTGGTGCACACCTGTAATCCCATCTACTCAAGTAGCTGAGGCGCAGGAATTGCTTGAACCCCGGAGTTGGATGTTGCCATAAACCAAGATCGTGCCACTGCACTCCAGCCTGGGTAACAGAGTGAGACTCTGTCTCAAAAAAAAACAAAAAAAAAAACAAAAAAAAAAAAACAGGCTCCAAGTCTTAACTTGTTCTAACATCAACTCAAAAGTTCAAAGTCCAAAGTCTCATATGAGACTCAGGGAAAGTTTCTTCCAACTATGAGCCTGTAAAATAAAAACCTAATTCTTTTCTTCCAAGATTCAATGATTATCAGGCATTGGGTAAACACTACTATTCCAAAAGGGATAAATTGGCAAAAAGAAATGGGTAACAGGCCTCAAGTAAGTCTGAAACCCAGCAAGGCAGACATCAAATCTGAAAACTCCAATATACTCTCTTTTGACTCCATGCCCTATATCCTAGGCACACTGGTGTGACTGGTAGGCCACATGACTGCTTTCACAGGTTGGCCTGTGACTAAAATATCTCTGGATTTTCCAGGCTGTTGTTGCATGCTGCCAGAGGGTCTATAATTCTGGAGTCTGGAGGATGGTGGGCTTGCTCCCACAACTCCACTAGCCATTGCCCTAGTAGGGGCTCTTTGCTGTGGCTCCACCCCTGTGATAAGATTCTGTCTGTCAAAAGGCACCCTGGCTTTTTGATACACCCTCTGAAATTTACACGGAAGCTTCCAAGTCTCCACCACTCTTGCATTTTGGGAGACTGTAGACTAAGCACCACATGGACACTGCCAAAATTTATGGCTTGTGCTCTCTGGAACAGCAGCCCAAGTAGTAACTGAGGCTGTTTTAGCCACAGATGGAGCTAGAGCAGTGGGGATGTAGGAAGCAGAGTCTCAAAGCAACACAGGGTACCAGCATCCCAGGGCTACCCCACAAACCATTCTGTCTTTCTAGGCCTCTGGGCTTATGATGACAAGGCAGAGTGGAGCTGCTATTACTCATTTTGTTTGAAAATTGAGATGAATAGAGTAGGGTTTTATTTTTTTCCAAAAACATAATAATAATATCTACACTTACTTATAGCTTATTATGTGACCAACACTATCATAAGCACTTGTTGCACATATACAATTTATTTAATCTTCACAACAATACTCTGAGGCTTGTACTATTAGTATTTTCATTTTACAGATGTAAAGGCTGAGGCAAAGAGAGTAGTGGCAGAATTAGGTCTCAGTTTAAGGTGGTCTGACCCCTCCTACAGTTTGGATATTTGACTGTTCCAGGCCTCGTGTTGAAATTTGATCCCCAATGTTGGAAGTGGGGCCTAAGTGAGAAGTGTTTGGGTAATGTGGGCAGATCCCTGATGAATAGATTAATGTCCTCCCTGGAGGGGTAGGTAACTTCTCATTCTATGAGTTCCCATGAGAGCTAGTTGTTAAAAAGAGCTGGGCACCTCCTCCCTCTCTCTTGCTTCCTCTCTCACCATGTGATCTCTGCACACCCAGCTCCCTTTCACCTTCCACTGTGACTGGAAGCTTTCTGAAGCCCTCATCAGAAGCAAATATTAGTCCCATGCTTCTTGTACCATTTTCATAACTGTGAGTGAAATAAACCTCTTTTCTTTATGAATTGTCCTGCCTCATGCATTCCTTTATAGCAATACTAAACAAACTAAGACAGAAAATTGGTACTGGAGAATAAGGCATTTCTATAAAGATACCATGAAATAAAATGCAGAAGAGGCTTTGGAACTGGGTAATAGACAGATGTTTGGAGAGCTCAGAAGACAGGAAGATGAGGGAAAGCTTGGAACTTTTTAGAGACTAAGAGGTTGTGACCTAGATGCTTTTAGAAATATGGACAGCAAAGGTCAGGCTGATAAGGTCTCAGATAGACATGAGGAACCAACTGGAAACTAGAGCAAAGGTTCCCCATGCTACACCTTAGCGAAGAACTTGGCTGTATTTTGTCCATACCCTGGGGCTTTGTGGAAGGCCAAACTTAAGAGTGATGACCTAGGGTATTTGGTAGAAGAAATTTCTAAGCAGTAAAGCATTCATGATGTGGTGTGTCTACTTTTAATAGCTTATGATCACATATAGTAGCAACAGAATGATCTAAGGTGGAATTTATAATTAAAAGAGAAACAGAGAGCAAAAATTTGGAAAATGTGCAGCCTGGCCATGTGGTAGAAAAGGGAAGCGCATTGTCAGGAGAGGAATCCAAGTGTGCTGTGAAACAACCACTTTCTAGGAAGATTAGCATGACTAAAAGGTAACCAGGTGCTAATTAATAGTTAAGACAACAGGAAAAAGGCCCCGAAGCCATTTCAGAAATCTTTGAGGCTGCCCTTAGGTCCAACCTCCCCATGTACTACAAACAACAAATAACGATGGGCCACTTATCAGGCGAAATTCACCTCCGATATTTCTTGTAGGTTCTTTTCTATTTTCCCTAAGTGTCAGCCAGTCTGAGAAATAAAGGGACAGAGTACAAAACAGAGAAATTTTAAAGCTGGGTGTCCAGGGGAGACATCACATGTTGGCAGGTTCCGTGATGCCCCCCAAGCCGCAAAACCAGCAAGTTTTTATTAGTGATTTTCAAAAGGGGATGGAGTGTACGAATAGGGTGTGGGTCACAGAGATCACATGATTCTTCACAAGGTAATAAGATATCAAAAGGCAAATGGAGGCAGGGCGAGATCACAAGACCACAGGACCGGGGTGAAGTTAAAATTGCTAATGAAGTTTCGGGCACGCATTGCCATTGATAACATCTTATCAGGAGACAGGGATTGAGAGCAGACAACTGGTCTGACCAAAATTTATTAGGCAGGAATTTCCTCATCCTAATAAGCCTGGGAGTGCTACAGGAGACCCGGGCTTATTTCATCCCTCTGCTATGACCGTAAAAGACAGCCATCCCCAAAGCAGCCATTTCAGAGGCCTCCCCTCAGGGATGCATTCTTTCTCAGGGATGTTCCTTGCTGAGAAAAAGAATTCAGCAATATTTCTCCCATTTGATTTTTAAAGAAGAGAAATATGGCTCTGTTCTGCCCAGCTCACCAGCAGTCAGAGTTTAAGGTTATCTCTCGTTCCCTGAACATTGCTGTTATCCTGTTCTTTTTTCCAGGTGCCCAGATTTCATATTGTTCAAACACACATGCTCTACAAACAATTTGTGCAGTTAATGCGATCATCACAGGGTCCTAAGGCGACATACATCCTCCTTAGCTTACGAAGATGATGGGATTAAGAGATTAAAGTAAAGTCAGGCATAGGAAATCACAAGGGTATTGATTGGGGAAGTGATAAGTGTCCATGAAATCTTCACAATTTATGTTCAGAGACTGCAGTAAAGACAGGTGTAAGGAATTATAAAAGTATTAATTTGAGGAACTAATAAATGTCCATGAAATCTTCACAATTTATGTTCTTCTGCCATGGCTTCAGCCGGTCCCTCCGTTTGGGGTCCCTGACTTCCCACAACAGCCACTAATGCTCAAAGACACGTGAAACAATTCCTTGGGATCTTGTCTCTTTTTCTCAATGAGCTGCTACTCTATTTTTAGCTCTACCTGGCCTCCAGGTCTTGGTCTTTCAACCTGTGCTCGATCTGGTCACTGGGCATTCAGGAGTGGTGTTTGTGTTGTATCTTTTAGAAATCTACTTTAAATTTTGCTCATAACTTTGACTGTGGCTTGCCCAATGGCTCTCCAGTCCTGTGTTAGCTCCAGTAAAATTCTCAGCAGTGGTTTCTCAGAACTCAGCCAAAACAGTGCCAACATTACTGGCCCCCCAAAATGGAAAGCAGTTGTGTGGAGGGGGAAAATTTTGACTTTGCAAGCAGGAAGTGACTCACAAAGAACAGCTTTCTTTAATCACTCTGTAGGTATCGGGTTAAAATGACTTATTTCCTTGGTATTCCCTCTGGATTAGACTTTCTGGGCTTTTCCTCATTATGGGAGTGGTAAAAAGCTGGAGAACATGGACCTGAGAGGAAGTTCCAAGGGGGTAAAGAGTTCTAAGGTTGTACCAGTTCTGCTGGAGCCTAAGCCTTCAGCCAGATGCTCCAAAGAAAACCCTGTGGCCTAGTCCAGACCACCAAAGGCCAAGGCCCAGTAGTTATAATAAAAGTATTCACTGTATTGATAAATATTCACTCTCAGAAATTGTTTCATGAATCTGCAGTAGTGGTAGTTCTCATGAAGAATTTGAGAGTTTTGAATCCCAGACAATGCAATTTTCAGATACTGATGTTATTTTAAAGTTTGAAGTTTCAATCATTTGATCAATGGATACTTTGTTCAGAAAATCATCTCATTTCCTAAGATTATAAAATCTTATGATTAGAAATTATCTTAAAGGTGTGCTATTGAATGCAGATCCAACCTCTGTTGGCTGCTGCTGCTGCTGCTACTACAACCTAACATTATAAGTGTAGGCTGCCTTATTTAACCTTTCTCTTCAAGATTTCCATATATACACTCCTTGACCTGGTGTGCCAATGCATAGGTGTTCAGTTACACCCCTTGACCTGGTGTGCCAATGCATAGGTGTTCAGTTAGCATTGCATAGGCATGTTATATATCCAAAAAGGAAGACCCAACATAAATTACAAATCTATAAATCCAATTACGACCCAGAGTGGGTATAACAATTTTACATTTAAGATTTTCTACTCATTTTCTGAGTTTCTACAGTCATGCTCCTGCGGAAAATATTCTTTTGTCAGTGCCTTGAAGAAATAACCTAGGATCTGAGTTTATTCACAACCTTCTAATATTTTGCCAGGGGAACAGCCTTCTGGTAATTTGATGAGAGTGTTGTCCATAATTTATTCCATCCTATTCTATTATGTGCTTAGGTTCAAATAACTTTATTGATATCCCTCTTGGTTGAATCTAAGGTACAGTCATAAAATCTAGGTGCCTGGAAAAAATTGAGTAGAAGTAGAAACTATAATCTAGCAATACAACACATTCTGACTGTTGCATACAATTACAACTAATATCAATTGGCCCAATATGCACACAACCATTCCAGAAAGACTCAAGTGTGAAAAGGACAGGTGGCAATCTAATTAGAATATGCGAACAAATTGGCTGGATATTGAATTGTACCTCTTAATGAACAGGGGAAATACAGAAGGAAGTTTAGCTAAATGTTAACATAAGATGAAAATGCTTCAGAGGATTGCAATCAGCCAATGTTCTCACTCAGTCCAATGCCAAATTGGAAGTAAACAGTCAATAACCTTTTTAGTTTCTTTAGGGAATGTTTTCATCAATAGGATTTTTTGGCTAAAACATAGTTTCTAACTTTTTTCTTAAGGCTAGTCTCATTGCTAACTTTATAAAAATAACTTTGTCAAAACCAAACCATACTTCAAAAGAATTCTGCCATATTACCATTAAATGAGGCTATATTTAAATAGCAGTGGTACCAGAACTGTCTATTCATAAAAGGTGCATTTCTACACACCTTTCCTTTACATAAAATCAAATACAAAAGGCCATGGATAAATTTTCTGCCAACTCAGTTGGAGCTAGAACCATTTTATTTTTCCAAATTGCAGTAGTGGCAAGACTGAAAGTCCCTGCCATAAAAGACAAATCATATGGAAACTGAAGACAGAATATTTGGGGCAAACTGGGGGGTTTAACAAGGCTTTTGTGACTGCAGTTAAATTCCTGTGAAGGCCTGGTTTTAATCCCAAATACCAAGTGGACCCCTTCATTTATTTGTCCTAAATTTAATTCAAACAAACATATCCCAAACTAATCCATTATTCCTCCCCCACCTTATTTTGTACAACTCTGATCTTTTGTCTGGTTTCCCCTGGCTCAGTTACAAAGGACTTACAAACTCAAATATATATAAGAATTTAGCATACAAAAGTGGTACTTCCTGTCAGTAAGAAAATATGGGTTATTTAACAAATGGTGAAGAAAAGTAAGATCAGAAAGTAATAAACCATTTGGAGGAAAAAACCCCAAAAATTGGATATTTGCCCCATTTCATAAATTACTTCAAAGACTAAAAAGAATTAAAAAGAAAACATGGGTAATTTTTAAAAATTAACATAGAATGGGAAAAGCCTTTATAAGAGAGACAACTCAAACTATATTTAATTTTTCATGATTAATAGAATGACAACTGGAAAAATTACATCCAGCATATTTAAAATATCAAATAATTATTTTAAATCTAATAATTGCTTAGCATATAAAGAATGTTGACATACAATCCATTAGGAAAAACATAGGCAAACAGCAAGAACAAAGGGTACACACACACTCATACACTGCTATAAATAAATTTTAAACATATAAAAACATACTCAGCTGGGCATGGTGGCTCACACCTGTAATCCCAGCACTTTGAGAGGCCAAGGTGGGTGGATCACCCGAGGTCAGGAGCTCAAGACCAGCCTGGCTAACATGGTGAAACCCTGTCTCTACTAAAAATACAAAAAACTTAGCTGGATGCAGTGGTGTGTGCCTGTAGTCCCAGCCACTTGGGAGGCTGAAGCTAGAGAATCACCTGAACCTGGGAGGTGGAGGTTGCAATGAGCTGAGATCGCACCACTGCACTCCAGCCTAGGCGATGGAGAAAGACTCTGTCTCAAAAAAAAAAAAAAAAAAAAAAAAAAAAAAAGACAAAACAAAAAACATACTCAAACTTCTTTAAAATTACATAAATACAAATTAAAAATGTAAGAAGAGAGTGCTTTTACCTAATAGTCTGCTAATTCAGTCTGATTATAGAGCTTTTGGAAATCAGGGCCACCATATTTCACATGCCACGGAACTCCAGGGGCACCATTCATATAGGATTGCATGTTGTCCAGTATGGGAACCATGAGGAAAACAGGCCCTCTCAAACACTCACTGTTAATGAGATTATCAAAAAACATACATTAATGTTTTAAATACTCTGAACTTAGAACTAGCATTTCACCTTTAGGGAATTGTCTTATAGTCACTGAGTACTGCCTTGCAGGGTATGCACTGTCAGAGAGTCCCATTCCCATAGTCCATGGTATAAATGCCATCTCCCTAGGAATTGGGTAAATGACTGACTTAGCTTCTCACAAATGTGTGCAAAGACATATGTGCAAAGATGTTAATTGCTTCAAATTTAGAATAGGCGAAAAACAGGAGAAAAAATATGTAATCCAGTAGGAAATTTGCTTAAATCATTCATAGTACATACAGAGAATAGCAGAAGATGCAGCCATTAAAAGAATGAAGCAATAGTTCTCAATAGGTGCTAATTTGGAGAGATCTCTAAGCTATATTTTTAAGGAAAAAGCAAAGTTCAGAGCAGTGCAAATTATGCTCTTATTTGTATTTTTTGGAGTATGTGTGTGTGCATGTTAAAGATAGCTAAACTTTTAAAAAGCAGATAACTTTTTCAGAAAAATGGCACAAAGGAATTTATTAATGATGAATGCCATTAAAAAGCTGAGTCAGAAACGGGACTGCTTAGTTGTCAATGTATACATTTTTTACGTTCTCTGAAAATATTATTCAGTTCATGTAGAATAGTTCAACAAAATAAACATTATTTTAAAAATTTAATTTTCAATATTCAAATTAAAAACAACTATGACAGATTAGTAACATTTAAAGATTCTGAGGAAAAAAAATAGCACAGAAAAGGGGAAGTCCCCTGCCACCTCCACTAGAACAAATGCTGGTAACCACAGGTGGGAGACCCATAGATGGTTCACAACACAGGACTCTGTGCAGACAACTTCCAGTACCAGCCTGGAGCCTGGTAGACTTGCTGGGTGGCTAGACCCAGAAGAGAGATAACAATCACTGCAGCTCAGCTTTCAGGAAGCCACATCCCCTAGAAGGGATTGGGGCCCTATCTTCAGCCTCCTCAAACAAAACAATTAGCAGCCAAGAATTTTGTATCCAGTGAAACTAAGCATCATATATGAAGGAAAGATAATCTTTTTCAGACAAACAACTGCTGAGAGAATTCATCACTACCAATCCACCACTACAAGAACTGCTAAAAGGAGCTCTAAATCTTGAAACAAATTCTGGAAACACATCAAAACAGAACCTCTTTAAGGCATAAATCACACAGGACCTATAAAACAAAAATACAATTAAAAAAGCAAAAACAAAAATATACAGGCAACAAATAGCACAATGAATGGAATGGTACCTCACATCTCAATAGTAACATTGAATGTAAATGGCCTAAATGCTATACTTAAAAGATACAGAACTGCAGAATGGATAAGAACTCAGCAACCAACTCTCTGCTGCCTTCAGGAGACTCACGTAACCCCTAAGGACCCACATAAACTTAAAGTAAGGGGCAAAAAAAGGCATTTCATGCAAACGGACCCCAAAAGTAAGCAGGGGTAGCTATTCTTATATCAGACAGAACAAACTTTAAAGCAACAGCAGTTAAAAGAGACAAAGAGGGACAGTATATAATGGTAAAAGGCCTTGTCCAACAGGAAAATATCACAATCCTAAACGTATATGCACCTAACACTGGAGGTCCCGAATTTATAAAACAATTACTAATAGACCTAAGAAATGAGATAACAGCAACACAATAATAGTGAGGGACTTCAACCCTCTAGTGACAGTACTAGACAAGTCATCAAGACAGAAAGTCAAAAAAGAAACAATAGATTTAAACCACAGTAGAATGAAACTAGAAATCAACTCTAAAAGGAACCTTCAAAACTCTCATACATGGAAATTAAATAACCTGCTCCTGGATGAGCACTGGGTCAGAAATGAAATCAAGATGGAAATTAAAAATTTATTTGAACTGAATGACAATAATGACACAATTTATCTAAACTTCTGGGATACAGCAAAAGTGGTGCTAACAGGAAAGTTCATAGCCCTAAACACCTACGTCAAAAAGTCCAAAAGAGCACAAACTGACATTCGAAGGTCACAACTCAAGGAACTAGAGAAACAAGAACAAACCAAACTCAAACCCAGCAGAAGAAAGGAAATAACCAAGATTAGAGCAGAACTAAATGAAATTGAAACAAATAAATACAAAAGATAAATGAAATAAAAAGCTGGTTCTTTGAAAAGATAAATAAAATTGATAGACCATTAGCAAGATTAACCAAGAAAGGAAGGGAAGAAAATCCAAATAACATCATTAAGAAATGACATTGGAGATATTACAACTGACACCACTGAAATACAAAAGATCATTCTCAAGGCTACTATGAGTACCTTTACACACATAAACTAGAAAACCTAGAAAAGATGGATAAGTTCCTGGAAAAATACAATGCTCCTAGCTTAAATCAGGAAGAATTAGATACCCTGAACCGACCGATAACAAGCAGCAAGATTGAAATGTTAATTTAAAAATACCAACAAAAGAACATTCAAGACCAGATGGATCCACAGCAGAATTCTATCAGACATTCAAAGAATTTGGTACCAATCCTGCTTACACTATTCCACAAAATAGAGAAAGAGCAAACCCTCCCTAATTCATTCTATGAAACCAGTATCACCCTGATACCAAAACCAGGAAAGGACATAACCAAAAAAGAAAACTACATACCAATATCCCTGATGAACATAGATGATAAAATCCTTAATGAAATACTAGCTAATTGAATCCAACAACATATCAAAAAGATAATCCATCATGATCAAGTGGTTTTCATACCAGGGATGCAGGGGTGGTTTACCATATGCAAGTCAATAAATGTGATACACTGAATAAACAGAATTAAAAACAAAAATCACATGATCATCTGAATAGATACAGGAAAAACATCTGACAAAATCCAGCATCCCTCTATGATTAAAAGTCGGCAAAATCGGCATACAAGGGATATACCTCAATGTAATACAACCCTGGGAGGAACAAGACAAGGATGCCCACTCTCACCACTCCTCTTCAACATAGTACTGGAAGTCCTAGCCGGAGCAATCAGACAAGAGAAAGAAATAAAGGGCATCCAAATTGGTAAAGAGGAAGTCAAACTGGCACTGTTTGCTGACGATATGATCATTTACCTTGAAAACCCTAAAGCCTCCCCCAGAAAGCTCCTAGAACTGATAAAAGAGTTCAGCAAAGTTTTCAGATACAAGATTAATCTACACAAATTGGTAGCTCTTCTATACACCAACAGCGACCAAGCAGAGAACAAAATCAAGAACTCAACCCCTTTTACAATAACTGCAAATAAATAAATAAATAAATAAATAAATAAATAAATAAATAAACCAAACTTAGCACTATACCTAAGCAAGAAGGTGAAAGATCTCTACAAAGAAAAGTACAAAACACTGCTGAAAGAATTCGTAGATGACACAAACAAACGGAAACCCATGCTCATGGATAGGTAGAATCAATATTGTGAAAATGACCCTACTGCCAAAAGCAATCTATGAATTCAACACAATCCCTATCAAAATGCCACCATCATTCTTCACAGAATTAGAAAAACAATTCTAAAATTCATATGGAACTAAAAAAGAGCCCACATAGCCAAAGCAAGACTAAGTGAAAGGAACAAATCTGGAGGCATCACACTACCCAATTTCAAACTAAACTATAAGGCCATAGTTGCCCAAACCGCATGGTACTGGTATAAAAATAAGCACATAGATCAGGGGAACAGAATAGGGAACACAGAAATAAATTCAAACAATTACAGCCAACTGATCTTAGACAAAGCAAACAAAAAGATAAAGTGGGGAAAGGACACCCTTTTCAACAAGTGATGCTGGGATAATTGGCTAGCCACATGTAGGAGAATGAAACTGGATCCTCATCTCTCACCTTATACAAAAATCAACTCAAGATGGATTAAGGACTTAAATCTAATACCTGAAACTATAAAAATTCTAGAATATAACATTGGGAAAACCCTTCTAGACATTGGGTTAGGCAAGGATTTCATGATCAAAAACCCAAAAGCAAATGCAATAAAAACAAAGATAAATAGCTGGGACTTAATTAAACTAAACAGCTTTTGCATGACAAGAGGAACAGTCAGCAGAGTAAACAGACAACCCACAAAATGGGAGAAAATCTTCACAATCTATAAATCTGAAAACAATGAATATGCAGAATTTACAATGAACTCAAACAAATCAGTAAGAAAAAAACAAATAATCCCATCAAAAAGTGGGCTAAGGACATGAATAGACAATTCTCAAAAGAAGATATACAAATGGCCAACAAACATATGAAAAATGTTCAACATCACTAATGATCGGGGAAATCCAAATCAAAACCACAATGTGATACCACCTTACTCCTGCAAAAATGGCCATAATCAAAAAAATAAAAAGCAGTAGATATTGGGGTGGATATGGTGATCAGGTAACACTTCTACACTGCTGGTAGGAATGTAAACTAGTACAGCCACTATGGAAAACAGTGCATAGATCCCTTAAAGAACTAAAAGTAGAACTACCATTTAATCCAGCAATCCTACTACTGGGTATCTACCCAGAGGAAAATAAGCCATTATGTGAAAAAGATACTTGCACACATATGTTTATAGCAGCACAATTCACAATTGCAAAATCTTGGAACCAACCCAAATGCCCATCAATCAACAAGTGGATAAATAAACTGTGATATATATGATATGCATGTCATATATATCTCACACACATATATATACCACATATATCACACATATATATCATATATATATATATATATATATATGATGGAATACTGCTCAGCCATAAAAAGGAACTAATTAGTGGCATTTGCAGCAACCTGGGTGAGATTGGAGACTATTATTCTAAGTGAAGTAACTCAGGAATGGAAAACCAAACATCATATGTGTTCACTGACATGGGGGAGCTAAGCTATGAGGACGCAAAGGCATAAGAATGATACAATAGACTTTGGGGATTTGAAGGGCAGGATCGGGGGGTGGTGACTACAAACATGCTGCAGTGGGTGCACCAAAATCTCACAAATCACCACTAAAGAACTTACTCATCTAACCAAATACCACCTGTACCCCAATAACTTATGGAAAAAAGTATTATTGATATGCGAGGCTTTGTTCCTGTCATATTGTTAATTTTTTTCTGGTTGTTTTAAATATTATTTGTTTTTTTATTTTCGTCTTGTAGTTTGTCATTGTGGTTTGGTAGATTTCTGTAGTGGTACCATTTGAGTCTGTTCCCCTTTTCCTTTGTGTGATTGTGTTAGTAGTGATTTTTATACTTTTGCGTGTTTCATTATGGTAAATGTAGTTCTTTCTCTTCCAAGTTTAAGATTCCTCTGAGCATTTCCTGTGAGACTGGTATAGTGGTAACAAATTCCCTCAGCATTTGTTTGTTATTTCTGAAGGATAATTTTACTGGATATAATATTATTGAGTGTCAGTATTTTTTTTCAGCACTTTAAATATATCATTCACTCCCTTCTGGCCTGTAAGATTATAATTTTAATCTTCATTGTTCTCCAGTAACCTCAGTGTGCATTAACATCCATTTCAGACAACTGCAAAAGATAACAGAACCAATGAGTTTGCTATTTTAAACTCAGGTTACTATTGTCTTTTTAGTTTAGGCAAAAGTATCACACATATAGCAGTGAAAGTTGCATAGATTATTAAATTTCTGAAATAAATATTTGAATAAATTTTTAGCAAATTCGTTAGCAACTGCTGAGAATCTATTCAACAGCAACATGAGGGAATATCCTCCTTTTTGATCTTCCTTCTTTTTGTTTTATATGAAAGAGCTTTCAAAAGAAGTGAAGCTTCTGATTTCCTTCAAAGATAAATGGGTGGCTGGCTACACATATTTCATTAAGTCCAACTCAAAATGGAGAAATTACCGAAAAAGGATTTATATCTAAAATATATCAAGAACTCCTATAAATCAATAAGGAAATGGTAAAAACCTCAACTTTTTAATTGTGCAAAAGACTTAAATAGGCTCATCACAAAAAAAAAGTATCCAAATTACCAATATTCGTGCGAAAGAGTACTTGACATTTTTACTCAGCAGGGAAATGGTGACTAAAACCACAATGAGATTACTATTCATCCACTAAAATGGCTAAAAATTTATAAACTGACAATAACAAACATTTCTTAGTAGGAATGTGAATGGCAAAATCATTTTTGAAAAATGTTTGGCATTATCTACTAAATGTAAACACTGTCTCTCCTACAACTCTGTACTTTTACTTCTACTTATACACCAAGATAATGAGTACATATAACCACCAAAAACATGTACAAGAAAGTTCATAATATATTTATTAATAAGATTTCTAAACTTGAAACAACCCAATTAGTCCTTATCTGGAGAATGGTTAAAAAATTTGTAGTATACTTATTAAATGGAATACTATACAACACTAATAAACAGAAAAACATGACTATGCAAAAACATGAATAATCTTACAAATAAGTTAAGAAAAACAGTTACAAAAATACATTCTGAATAATAATATTTATACAAATTTTAAAACAGGCAAAAGTAATTGTTAATGGCAGAAGTAGGAAAATTTACCTCTGGGAAAATAGAGTATTGAGTGGTATGAAGCAATCTTATAAGGTGCTTCAAGTAATCTATTATTTTAATTTGAGTGATGTTTACTTGAATGTATACACATGTAAGAAATCATTGAGAAATACATTTAAGATTAGTACACCGTATGCATTTTACTTCATGTATATTATTACTCAATTAATAAAATAAAATTTAAAAATTAAATCTGAACTGAAATCACGTTTTGTTCATTGCCTAGGAAATATTTTCCTAAAACTGAGTGACGAGTGCTTGGAAATACTGAACTGGACATTTGCAAACTGCTAAGATAGTCTCATGTTCACTTCACTCATTGAATAATCAAAGAACCAGCAGTTATTCTCTCAGATTCCTCTGAATATATTGGAGGACAAAAAAATCCACCAGAAACGAAGTCCCAGAGTATAATTAAAGAATAATAATCCACTACAATTATTTTAACACCAAAATTTTCCATATTCAGAGATACATTGCATGAAGTGCCTAGAATAATAACTATTCGGTAATAGAAATTAAAATGTTTACCACTGATAGAGCACTCTCTATGTGTCAGTCACTATGTTAAATGTTTTGCATACTTATTTGCTTTCTATAAACCCTGTGAGCTAGGGATTCTCAGCCTCATTTTATAGAATAAAAAACTAAGGCTCATAGCTACGTTAAAATCTGCCTATCGTGGCTGAGCACAGTGGCTCATGCCTATAATCCCAGCATTTTGGGAGGCTGAGGTAGGATGATTGCTTGAGCCCAGGAGTTCAGAACCAGCCTGGGCAGCATAGTGAGACCAGTCTCTTAAAAAAAAAAAATTAAAAATTAGCCTAGTATGGTGGCACACACCTATAGTTTCAGCTACTTGAGAACCTGAGGTGAGAAGATGACTTGAGCCTGAGTGACAGAGTAAGGCCCTTTCTCTAAAAACTAAATTAAATCAATCAATCAATCAATCTGCCTACTATGCCAGCCAGTTAGTGGTAGAAAGAGGACATTAACCCTGATTTTCTCAACACCAATTACCTCCTCTTGAATACTGCCTTTAAACCTGCCTCTGACTTATTTTGGGTTCTGTTTAGAATTTAACAACAGAAGGAGAGTAGAAACTTTCTGAATCTACTTTGTTAAAAAGAAAAATACCACAGTTGCTGGACAGTAAGAGAATCACTCATTTAATGGAAATTTTGAAAACACTCCATATTTTTATCCACGTTTAATTGTCGCTTTCTCAGGGAAGCTTTATTTGATACCAAATCTAAGCCCAACTCATGTTATGATTTCTATTTTATACTCTGATTGTATCCTGTATTTTTGTGTAGTATTTTCAGTAAGAATTAAATTTAAAAATACGGTTGATTTAATGTCAGTCTTTCTGATAGGAAACTTCTTTTTCTTGTTCTCATAGTATTTCCACACTCCAGTAAAATTCCTGGATCACTATAGCTCCTTGGTTTATATTTTTGAATTAATGACTCACTTAAAATGCCATCAGCTGCAAGAAAGAAAAAAATCTGAAGGAAATTGATTAAACCCATATGAGAATGAGTAATTTGATAGAATAAGAAACCCAGGTTGAGTACCTCTAATTCAAATATCGGAAATCCAGGATGCTCTAAAATCAGAAACTTTTTGAGCCCTGGCAAGACGCCACAGGAGGAAAATTCTACACTTCACCTCATTTGATTGGTCACAATCAAGATGTAGTCAAAACTTTTTTTTGTACACAAAATTCTTTAAAATATTTTATAAAATTACCTTCAGGCTAATGTATATAAGGTGTATATGAAACATAAATTTAGTATTTAGGCTTGGGCCCTGTCCTCAAGATATCTCAACATGTATATGCAGATATTCCAAAATCTGAAAAAAAAATTGAAATCTGAAACACTTCTGGTCCCAAGCATTTCAAATAAAGGATAATGAGTCTGTATAAGGCCCCTTCAGACACTGTGTGTTGGGACTTCCACCTCCCT
Source organism: Homo sapiens (assembly GCF_000001405.40). Classification (NCBI taxonomy): domain Eukaryota; kingdom Metazoa; phylum Chordata; class Mammalia; order Primates; family Hominidae; genus Homo; species Homo sapiens. The sequence goes on from NC_000002.12 coordinate 150,674,968, forward strand.
TCCTACGGTTATCTTGTTCTTTCTTCCATTGTTGGTTTTTAGCTTCAGGCTTGTAGTAATGTAGTTATAGTTATTTCAGAGATGACAATGTCCAGAGGCAGAAAAGTGCTATCTCTTCAACGTTTATCTCTTAGGATTAAGAAATATTTCCCCAAAGCTCTTAGTGGTTTTTTTCTCATGTCTCATTGGCTAGAACTGGAACATGTGCCCACATATAAATAAATCTGTGGTAGAAGTAATAGACCTATCATTGACTTTGGTAAGTTGGATTTTGATCAATCATTTTTAAACACTGATTTAATTTTAAATAAATGATTTTGAGAAATCATTTTTGGCTTTGATAGATCAGATTTTGCTCCTGATAGAAAAATGGCCACCAATTCTGGTAAAGGAGGAGTAGTGGTATGAATGGGTCAGGGGAACTTGATATGTGTTGTCCATTCATGCCCTGCATGACTGGTGGGAGTTTTTAGAATTTTAACTTAAGTGGAGCAGAGCTAAAGTAAAGTTGGAAAAGCCCTAGGGGAGAGTTCTGTGGATCTAGATCACAAATAAAAAATTTAACAGAAGGTTTTAGGGGTTTACGAAACAGTATTTCATTTTATATGGAGTTCAAATAAACTAAGGTTTGATGATTCTAAACTCTCTTTTAGAAAAACTTCAGAGACCACAGTGTAGCAATTATTGTCACAAGTAATTAGCAAAAAACAATGGGAAAGCCCACTGATCCACTCTTGAGAATTATTTTAAGTGTGGTTAGTGAGGAAGTGCCCTACAGAAAGGGCTTTAGATAATTGAGTTAAAAATCCACTCTGTGATCTATTTCCTCTAGTAAACTAGACCCTTATTCTAGAGTGGGATAAATAAGTGGGCCCCACAACTGTTGTGTGCTGATCATGGAGGGAAGCTATTGTTGTGGCATATGGAGATGATATGGGCTGAATCATGCCCCCAACCCCTGCCAAGATTCATATCTTGAAATCCCAACCCCCAGTATCTCAGAATGTGACTGTATTTAGAGATAAGGTCTTTAAAATTACTTAAATTAAGATGCGGTCATTTGAGTGAGCCCTAATCTAATCTGACTGATATCCTTATATGAAGAGGAAATTAAGCTACAGATAAACTCAGAGGAAAGACCATGAGAAGCCACAGGGATATGACTATCTGTAAGCCAAGGAGAGAGGCCTTCAGGCTTCAACCCCGCCAACACCTTGATCTTAGGTCTGTAGCCTCCAGAATTGTGACAAAATACATTTCTGTTTTTAAGCCACCCAATTGGTGGCATTTTGCTATGGCAGCCAGAACAAACTAATACAAATCTGCAGGATTCAATGGCAATTTCAAGGGGGAGAAATGTTGCACTTCTTAAATGACACTACTCAAAACTTCTAGATTGTGGTAACCCATCAATGAGAGACAATGTAATGTAGTGTGATAGACTACTGAAGGCTCCATGGACCACGGACAATTAATGTTTGGGCATAATTGGGCTAGTTAGGTGGAAAGTACTGGCTCTTCAGACTATATTACGTGAGAGGCCATAGGTTACATGAACTTTATTCCCTAAATTCACTTGAGGCAGCCACAGGGGAGGAAAGTCAATTACTGGATAGGGAGGTAGGGATAATAAAAAGTCTTTTAACTATAATGTCTCTACCAAATCATTCATTCATTTATCAAAAAGATATTAATTATAACTACTATATGCTGGGTGCCATGTGGGATATGGAGACTATAATAGTAAAAAAATGAGTATGTTTTTTTTTCAGGATATACACTCTAGTAGAAATACAGACAAGTAAGTAGATAATGTAACAATGTTATATGTACTTCATGGGGCACTTATCTCAGTACTTTTTTTTTTTTTTTTTTTTTTTTTGTAGAGAAGAGAATGTAGCTAACTGACCGTAATGGCTTAGGTTCCAAGTTGGTGTTTTGATTTGGGTTTGGCAGCTTCTGTAAGGGCTGCAATGGTTGAAATCTTGCCTCTTTTCCTGCCAGTGCTTCCTTAAAGATAAGACAGGACTTAATGACAAGATCGGGTATTACCATGGGTTAGAAGTAATACCCAGTCCTCACGGTTCCACAGAGAGTCAGGGAAAGGTGTGTCATTAGGTAGCAGAAGGAATTCTGGGCATTTGGCATTCAGCAGTCAGCAGGATACAAACTAGGTGACAGGTGAATGCCCCATTGGCTGGTCAGGGGCTGCCACTAGGGCAGTCTGACTACAGGTATTAGGCATAAGCAAGCATTTAGCTTCAAAGTGCAATATTAGAGACTTTGTTTGAGAATACCAATTACAGGGGTTGAAGGCAAAGTTCAAAAGAAATGGGAGAGAAATGGTATTGGCAAGTGACTTAACACAGTGACTTAGGGTTGACAGTCAGGAGGTTTGAAAGTAAATTAGTACAAGTGTTTGCATATGTTGATTGATATCCCAGTCTCCTATGGAGATTGTCAGCGTACTTGTACCTGGACCTCATCCCCAGAGATTTTCATTCAGCTATTTTATGGCTAAACCTGGACATTTATTTCCTTAAATAACTCAGCATGGGATTATGATGTGCACCAAAGATTTTAAATTGCCGGATTACAATAACAGAGGGCAAAAAGCAAGCAGGCATGTGCATGTGTGTAGATGTGTGTGTGTGTTGGGGGAGGAAGAAGATGAGCAGCAGGAAGATCTTTGTTGGGTAGAATAACCTCAATAGAGGCTTCTCTGCTGAAGAGGGGAATACGTTTTGTGTGATCAAGGGAAACTAGAGAGGATGTCAAACTGTGCTAAATATCTGCATGTAGAAAAGTTGGCTGCAGGGTTTCTTAGGGAAGTCAAAGGAAATACTAATTGTATCTCCATAGCAACAGGCTGCCCAGTTCTGCCTCTGCCTCTCCGCTTTCTTACACTTGTCCTGAACATTCAAGTCTTATATATCCCCTGTATAAACAGGCATAAGCCTCATCGTAAAATAATAACTATGCTTTCCTTTCTATTATCTAGTATTGAAATCTATGTAGAGTGCCTTTTAGGTTTAAAATCCAAATCTGTTCTCTAAACAAGAGCTAACTGATCAGGCACATTAAATCTACCTCTGGCCTGTAATCCCAGCACTTTGGGAGGCCAATGCAGGCAGATTGCTTGAACCCAGGAGTTCAAGATCAGCCTGGTCAGTGTGATGAAACCCCATCTCTACAAAAAAAAAAATTAGCTGGGCATAATGGTATGCACCTGTAGTCCCAGCTATTTGGGAGGCTGAGGTAGGAGGATTGCTTGAGCCTGGGAGGTGGAGGCTGCAGTGAGCCCAGATCACACCACTGCACTCCAGCCTGGGCAACAGAGCCAGACCCTGTCTCAAAAAAAATTAAAAAATTTAAAAAGTAAACAAATCTACCTCTGGTGGCATATTCTTACAAAAATCCCCTTGCCCCTGAGTGTTAATGATGTTATAGGGTGCAGTAGGCTATAAATATCCTCCCCAACCCATGCAAAAACAAAAAAGATATGTTTACTTTGTAATCCCTAGAACCTGTGAATATTTCCTTACTGGCTAAAGTATTAAAGTATACTTTATATTAAAGTATAAAATATTACCTTATACGAATAAAGATGTGATTACATTAAGGATCTTGAGAGGACAATCTCATTCTGGGTTATACCCAGGTGGGCCCTAAATGGCATCGCAAAAGTCCTTATGGGAGAGAGGCAAAGGCAAATCAGATAGACACACAAAAGAAGGGGAGGTGCTATGGCCACAGAGGCGGAGATTGGAGTGATGTAGCTTCAAGCCAAAGAATGCCAACAGCTACCAAAAGCTGGAAGAAACAAAGAATGGATTCTCCTCTCGAGCCTCATAGGGAATGTGGTCCTGGTAATACCTTGATCTTGCACTTCTAACCTCCAGAACTGTGAGATACTCAATTCCTGTAGTCATAAGCCACCCAGTTGGAGGTAAACTAATACAGATCTTGGTACCAGGAAGTGGGGTGCTGTGGTAACAATACCTAAACATTTTAAAGCGGCTTTAGAATTGGACAATGGGTAAAGTCTGGAAGAATTATGAGGTGCTTGACAGAAAAATTCTAAATTGCTTTGAGCAGATTGTTAAAGGAAATATAGAACTAAAAGACACTGCTAATGAGTGCTCAGAGGGAAGAAGCAGCACAGTAGAGAAAGCTTCTATTTTCTAAGCAAATATATATATTTTCATGAACAGAATATTGATAGAAATATGAATGTTAAAGGTACGGTTGGCAAGAACTCAAAAGGAAATGAGGAACATGTTATTGGAAATAGAAGAAGAGGTGGCTCTTGTTACATAGTGGCAGAAAATTTCACCAAACTGCATCCTACAGTTATATGAAAAGCAGAACCTGTAAGTGATAAACTTGGACATTTAGCTGAGGAGATATCCATGCAAAGTATTGCAGGTGTGCCCTGGGTTTTTCTTGCTGCATATAGTAAAATGAGAGAGGAAAGAGATAAATTGAGGAAAGAACAGTTAAGCAAAAATGAATCAGATATTGACATGAGAAATTATCAGCCTTTACAGGTTGAAAACAATGCCAAAATTAGAAGATTCACTTTTAGGAAAGCACGCTCTGGAGAGAAAGCCAAGGGTGTAGTTGGACACCTTTTAACTAAAGAGATTAGGCGTGTGACTCATGGATCCACTCAGTCGTCTCAGTGGAAGCCAAGAATCAAGATGAGATTATCCGGGGACGATTTGTGGAGAGTGTTGTTGTCTCATGTTGTGTATTCCTGTGAAATTCACGGAAGACCCACAGGTTTTCAAGAATATTATATTAGCAGAAACATTGTTAGTTCGATTGAGAAAGACAAAGACAACATGAAGAAATACTGTTGGACTCCAAAATACTACATGCAAAAAACATGCTGATAAAACTAATTAGCTAAAAATATGTGCTACCCTCCAAGAAAAAGAATGACTCTGAGAGTAGACATTAATGCAGAGGCATACACAGTTGTGAGTCACAGAGGATTCTCATGCCTTGAAACCTGATGGAATTTGTCCTGCTCAATTTTCAACTTACCTGGAACCCGTTACCATTTTATTCTTTCCATTTTCTCCTTTCTGAAATGAAAATGTCTATAACTGTCTCTCCCACCATTACATTTTGAAAGAAGATAACTTATTTTCTAATTTCCTAGGCAGACAGAAAGAATTTTGCCCCAGAATAAATCATATCCAGACCCTCACCCATACCTGATTTAGATGATGATTGCCTTAGTCCATTCAGACTGCTGTAACAAATTACCAAAAAACTGGATGGCTTAAAAGCAACAGGAATTTTTTTTCTTACAGTTCTAGAAGCTAGAAGGTTTAAGACTGAGGTGGCAGCAGATTTGGAGTCTGGTGAGGGCTTAGTTTCTGATTCACAGGTGGTGCCTTCTTGCTGCATCCTCACATGATGGAAGGAGGCAAAGCAGTTTTCTGGGGCCTCTTTTATAATCCCTTTCAGGAGGACAGGGCCCTCCTAACCTAATCACCTCCCAAAGGCCTCACCTTCTAATACCATCACCTTGGTGATTAGAATTTAACATATGAATTTAGGGAAGACACAAACATTCAGACCATAGCAATGATATTTGGGACTTTTGAACTGATGATATTTAGATGAGATTTTTGGACTTGAATAGATGCTTAAATCTATTGAGAATTTTTACAATGTTGGAATTAGGTGGATATATTTCACATGTGGGACAGATGTGAATCTTTTGGGCCAAAGGTCACAGATGCGGTAAGCTTAAAAAATGGCAAAAGGGCATTATATTTTATGGCAAAAGATGTGACAAAGTTAAGAATCTTGAGAGGAGGAGCTTATCCTGGATTATTCAAGTGAATCCTCAATGCTACCACAAGTGTCCCCATGAGAGAGGCAGAGGGAGACCAGATACAGACACTCAGAAGAAGAGGAGGTGATATGATTACAGAGGCTGAGATTGGAGTGATGTAGCTATAAGTCAGGACATGCCAACAGCTACCAGAAGCTGGAAGAGGCAAAGAATGGCTTCTCCCCTAGAGCATCAGCAGAAAATGCTTCCCTGCCTACACCTTGATTTTGGCCTTCAGAACCATGAAAGAATAAATCCCTGTAGTTTTAAACCACCCAGTATGGTAATTTCTTACAGCAGCCCAAGGAAACTTGTACACCAGGTAAGTAATAAAGAAATTAATTAATTTTTTATTGGAATGTGGAAAACACATATATAAGAAGAAGAGACTCATGCTCTCAACACATTTCCTCCCTCTAGCAAACTTCCTTTAGTTACAGGACCATCAGGTTTGCATGCCCACTGCACAGTAACATACCAACACACTGAGACAGCAGGACTTGCAGCAAAGAAAGCATTTAATGATCACAGGGTAGCTGAACAAGGAGATGAGAGGGACCCTCAGATGCATCTCCCTTAGGAGTTTTTAAGAGGATCATGGAGGGCAAAGGGCTGGAAAACTGGGATCATTTATCAGTCAGGGTAAGGGGATGAACTCGTCAGGATGTGGAAACCGTATTATTCAGTGAGTCAGTATGTCATGGGGTCCTTCAGACCAGCTGACATCAGTGATTTCATCAGTAGGCAGGGCCTGAAAGAATCTCTCAAATGGAAAATTTAATGTTTCACAATGCTTAAGATGTTATCTACAGAGCAGTTAAGGGGAACTATAATCCTAGGACAGGGTCTAATGTGATTCTGAGGTAATAGGCAGCAAATGACTATGAGGAAGTGGGTCAGAGAGCAGCTGACCTAATGATTAATGCTAAGTGTGCTGTAAGCTTGGTTTATTTTTTTCTCCCCCTCTCTTCTTCCCTGATTAATTTTATAAACTTTATAGGGATGGTTTCACTTTCCTGATATTCTGGTAAGTGGAAACTGATGAGTACATTACCACTGGGTATTGGTCATAGGAAGAAAAACAATTGCCTACAAACTACTATAATATACTCCTGAATATCATATTTTTATTTTCTGTTCCCAGGCAATGATATCAAGGGAGAATCTGCAGACATACCTTTATTAAGTTAAAATTTAATACCATGCTCCTGGATTTTAGAAAGAACAAAAGTGGGATACAGCCATACCTGAACTATTTCCAAGATTTCTAGCTATTTCTCCTTGATAAAGGCATTTTCCCTTTATGAGTATCTACTTCCTCATATTAAAATGAGGATGGTGGACTAGTCTCATGGGGTGGCTGGAAGATGTATGTTAGGACAAAGGTGTCACACAACAGGCAGTAAAAAATTATCATTGCCCCATCATCAACTGGAGGAGCTCATAGCTCATCTGCTTTTTCTTTGACTTCCAGGAGGCTCAGAGATAAATGTAATCTTTATCATAGTGGCTCATCAGGCTGAGTGATTAGCATATGGTGGTTTCTTTTTAATTCATATATTTAATTTATGTTAATTTTATCAACATTATTGTATATTTTTCTCATTATAAACTGCTTTCTGGAGACAGGTTAGATAGGCATAGTTAATAAGTGGTCAACTATGTTTGTTTATATTGTCTACGAAGATAATTGTCTTATATGGCCTATCCTGTGTTTGTTTTGGTGGAAAGTGATGGGGGCTCAAAAAAGTTAGCAGGCAGAAGTGTCTGGCTCCTTTAAACAACCAGTTTGTCTTGCGTCCAGGAAAATTATTTCCACCTTGGGAAAGAACATCCTTTAAAATGAACCTACTTAGAAAGGAAGCAAGGCCAAGCCCTCTCTATAAAGAAAAAACTTTGCCAAGGAACTACAGAGCTCCTTGAGGGCATGCAACACCCAGAATAAGTAACAGAAATGTGTGAGAGGCCTAAGTCAAGTCTGCATGCTACATATCAGCTAGCTGAGTAGAAATTGACATTAAAACTTCAGAAATTGCATGGAAGAGCCAGATGGGAGAACAGTACGCTATATATTCAAAATAGGATTTAAAGTAGTTTATCAAATGTGTTTACAATACCCCCAAACCAATGCTTATTTAAACTGGCCATATGTTGTAGTTTGTGCATATAAATTCAAATTAACTTAAAGAAACTGTGTTACGTCTCTCAAGTACGCACATTTGAGGTAAGCCTGCAGATTTGGTAAGAGCACCATGCTAAGCAATCAATGTGGACCACAACATTGATTGCAACAGGTAATACGGCCGCATAATTTTTAAATACAATTTTCTAAGAAGTACAATTTTTAGATATCAGTACTTAATAGGCAAAATGATCCAAGCACAATTATTTTTATAGTTTTATCACCTGACCATCACTGAGGAGATGGCTTCAATGCATCAGTGACTTGTTTTTTTTTTTTTCGTGACAGAGACAGAACTCTGGTACCTCTTCCTCTTATAAGAATACCAATCCTATTGGATTAGGGCCTCACCTTTATGCATTATTTAGCCTTAATTACCTTTTTAAATATGCTGTATCTTCAAAAATAGTCACTCTGGGGGTTACGGCTTCCACATATGAATTTAGAGGGAACAAAATTTGGCCTGTTTGGGAACACAATTTGGACTCGTCCAAGGGGAGAGTCTAGTGCTTGGAGAAACTAAAGTCCTGAAAGGTGTTGCCCTGCAGTGTCGATCCTATTGGTGGCTGACACCCACATGCAAGTGACATTACATCAAGCTTCTATTGCTTGAAGATCTCTTCAGCCTCTGAAGTCAACCATCATCCCTTCCAGTAGGTAGTACACTCACTGGCATTTTTGCATTGTTGTCATTGTTGTTTTTGAGATAGAGTCTCACTCTGTTGCCCAGGCTGGAGTGCAGTGGTGCAATCTCAGCTCACTGCAACTGCCACCTCCCAGGTTCAAGTGATTCTCCTGCCTCAGCCTCCCAGGTAGCTGGGATTATAGACATGCATACCATACCCAGCTAATTCTTGTATTTTTAGTAGAGATGGTGTTGCACCATGTTGGCCAGGCTGGTCTCAATCTCCTGACCTCATGTGATCCACCTGCCTCAGCATCCCAAAGTGCTGGGATTACAGGCACGAGCCATTGTGTCTGGCCATTTTGGCATGAGTGTTTATCTATGCTCTGGGAAGAAATATTTGCAGGTAAAAACTGGTTGCCACTAAACTCTTAAGTCGAGCTTGTCCAACCTGCAGCCCATGGGCCACATGCAGCCCAGGAAGGCTTTGAACATGGCCCAACACAAATTTGTAAACCTTCTTAAAACATTATGAGATTTTTTGGCAATTTTATTTCAGCTCATGAGTTATCATTAGTGTTAGTGTATATTATGTGTGTCCCAAGACAATTCTTCTTCCGATATGGCTCAGGAAAGCCAAAAGATTGGACACTCCTGCTCTAAATCTTGTGTCTTGTTCACTGTTGTATCCCCAGCCTCACCTAGTGGCGGGCATATTGTCAGTCCTCGTCAAGGATTTATGAAGTGAATGATCTTATACAGCAGCACCAGTTCCTTCACTCTTACACTTCTCAGACTGGGGCAGGCAGCACTCTGAAGGGTTGCCAAATTTACTAGGGGTTTTAAGACATGAGTTAAATGTACACATCTCAGGGAAGCACAAATTTTACTTGATTACAAGTCATTTAAAATGTGATGTAATATTAAGCTAAACTTTGGTCTGTTGCAAAAAAGAAAGCAAAGTTCTCATAAATGTCAAGGCCAAGGTGATTTCTTTGTGTACCATTCTCCCTCAGCTTCCCCAAGGATCTAGGTCAACTCTGTGTTCTCACTCTTGCGCTGGGTACTTAGAGATACCAAAGAGAAAACACTGAAGATATTTACATTTATCCACAGATCCATAATAAAAATGTGTATTCCAAGTTCAAGGATGATAACTATCACAAGATTATATAGAGATTCTTTTTACTGCTTTCTTTTAATTCTCTATGAGAATTAGACGATGTACGGAAACCATATAAATGCAGCTTTACAGAGACAATGAAGTACAAAATTCAAAGGCTTCTACTTCATAAAAAGAGATTAGGTAAAGTGCTGCTTAATGTTTCATAAAATTAGTCACAGATGGTAGGACCTCCTAAGGCCTCCTGGGTCACGTCTACTGAACCTGTACTGATGTTTTTAAAAAATATACCTTTGACTATGGAGGGCTAATATGTCAATTACTTGCTCTGAATTCTGTTCCAATGGTTAAGTACTCCTGCTAATGCTAATAGATATATTTCCACATTGATCCTCTGGCACTCTCTGAACACTTCTCCTTTATTATGCCACCTCAATGGATTTTTGCAAATTTCTCACTAAAAATTATTCCTCCAGCATAACCTACATAAAACACAGTTGGATTCTACTTTGTCTCTCCCTCTTCCACCAGATAGATTGACTCATTTTAGAAATTTACTGTGGAGCTCTATGTTTTCAAAAGCATTCAGACTGAATGTGATTTATAGCTATCATTCAGACTTCATCATTTGCTGTAGTGATTTTATAAGAGTTCTACTACATCAGAAGAACTTTGCCTATTTTCACAGCATCAATATGGTTATGATACTTAATCATTGGCCCTCAAGCCTCTTGAAGACACACTTTGGTTGTGTTACCAAACACAACCAAATTTATGTGTATTTGTATACACATAATTCATGTGTATTGTCTTCCTCCAGAAGGTGACTTTAAGCAGCTCCCTTTCTAACTATTCTTGATTTCTATGCATTTTACATTTGTCTCCAAAATGGACTCATACTTTTGCATCTGTTTCAAAATCTTTTCAATTTGCCCTCTCTCTGTTTTTGGTCATGCTTACTTTGGATTTGACTTCCAGTTATCCTTGTTATACATAAAATCCAAGGACATTTTCGCACTGATGCTTACTGAATTTATTATGCCTTCAAGAAGATCTTGATACTTGATACTGTCTCAAAATATATCTATAAACAAGCAACCTTAAATCCAGTTAATTGTACATTTATCCAAACTACCTCACTGCTATCTGACTTACATGCACAGCAGCAATGAACGGGAACTATGTCTGTGTCATTCAAGATGTATCAGGAAAAAAATTTGAGGTGATCTATGACTTTTTAAAGCTGAGTGGCTTTGCTGAAATGCAGAGTACAATTGAGAAACATGGCTTTCTCAGTCATGGAAAGCACTGCCCTACTCAATTAAAAAGAAAAAAGGAAAGAAAGGAAAAATAAGAAAGAAATTATCATCTGTGAAAAGATAGATAATTTATGATACAAGGAATGCTTTCAAAAATAATTATTGGTATAGAAAGAAGATGTCGAATACTTATAAAAAGATTTTTCTCCATCTACAATCCAAAAAGGTGTTCATTTACATAAGTAGATAGTGGATAAAATGTGTAAAATACCAGGAATACATCCAAGTGACTTTTTAACACAATTAACAAAGCTACATAAATCAGTCTCAGAGATTTTTCTTCAGAAATCTCCAATAGCAAACTGTGTAAAATATCTTAAATGGCCTCGAAACCAGTTTAAAAGATCAAGGATGTGTTAGCATATATGAAGAGAACTCAGTAATCATTTTAAGGAAACATAACCTGCAACCAGACCTATTTACTTTTTCATGTGTTCATGGCATCAAAAATGTATTTCTAAATTTTGTTTTTTTAAAGTCACTCTTTAAAGGACCTAGGAAATTGAGATGATGCCAGTGTGCATAGCTGGTTTATTGACATAAATATGTCATCATTTTGGTATTTAAAACTCAATTAAACTCTCTTAAAAACTAACAATCCAGGAGAAAAAAAAAAATTGTACAAAGGGTTTGAAGCAACCATTCAAAGAGAAAACCCAAAACAGACCCAAAGTGTTTCACCCATGATCAGGAAACTGCAAATTAAATCAATATTAAAATACCATTTTGTATCCATCAGTTTTGTTAAATAAAAACAGGAAATTTCACCAATAATCAGGAAAATGCAAATTAAACTAACATTAAACTACCATTTTTACATCCATCAGTTTTGTTAAATAAAAAACAAGTGTTAGCAAGGTTATAGCAAAACAACTTTCTTATAACCCTGGTAGGAGTGTAAATTGATATACTTTATTGGAAAGAACTTAACAAAATCTAGTGATATGAAAAAGATATATATCCCATTACCCAGCAGGAATTGCACTTCTAGATTTACGAGGTTCACAAAAAAACAAGTACAAAAATGTTCAATGCAGAAATATGTATACTAGTAAAAAAATAGAAAAAAATATATACTTGAAAGAAAATTCCACATGGTAGCCAGAACGAGCCACATATGAATTTTAAAGTTTGAAAAATATCATATATGTGATTAGTGAATCTATATACCTAATATAAAATCATGCACAAAAGTAATAAACACTAAATTTAGGATAATATGACCTTGGGGTGCAAAAGAAAATGTAATAGAGGAGAGACACATGAAGCGTTTTGTCTGTTTATTAAATGGATAATTTCTTAAACTGGGTGGTTGGGTACCTTGGAGTTTAACATATTATTCTGCATACTTTGGTGTGTATATCTATGAAGTAATCCATCACAATCAGTAAAATCCAAAGCTTAATTAAACTGGTGTTAGGATTAATTTAATAAAACTCAGTGAAAATATTATGTCTGTTTACATATTTCCATTAAGGTGCCAAGACTTGATGTCCTTGGTTTTTTGGTTTTGTCTTTTCTTACAAATTAGTGTTTCAGTAGAACTCTTTAATTCAAATGTTAAAAAATAAAATAAAATAAAATGGGTAATTGAGAAGACCTAAGTCCCACATGCATTGAGTTTTCTTCAGCAATTCTCTTTATGATATTTACACAGACAAATAAACACAAACACACCTTGACCTTCAACCCCTTATCTCTGTAGAATGATAAACTTTCTCTGGCTTGGGGCTGACTCAGTGTCTCAGATGTGGCTCTGTATCATCTTTTGCTTTCGGCACAATTCTTTTTCACTCTTTGCTTGTAAAGATCACACACAATGATTGTGTTTACTAAGAATCTGGTTATAAATGTTTAATAGCTTTCTATTCTAACTGAAGTCAATCCATGCCCCTCTGGCTTGTTACTCAATTGTATTTCTATCTTTGTGCAGATATATAGGCACAAAGAAAAGAGAGGTCTAGCAGAAGAGAGTTGCAAATTCAGATATCACAGAAGCCAGGTAAATAAATAAATGATGCAGGCAAGAGGTAAGGAAAAAATGAATAGTTTATGTCTCTTCTTTTGGCACAGACACTAGTCAAGTCCAGGCCGTCTTTGGAAAGTAAAAATGTGGATTCTGTATTGCCAAATCCTCCAGTTGCTCAAAGATGCAAGGAATTCAGATCTGTATGTGAAGTTGGCAACAAACTTTACATATAATTTTAGTCCCGTTTGGGTCAAACCAAACGGATCTGCAGCCATAATTAGCCCCTGGGCTGCCAGTTGGAGACTTCTGCTCTACATACTATGGAATCTGCTGATGAAGAGAAAACTCTTTGCCATAAAAAGAGGTGTGGGAATAATTCCAACCACCAAAATACCCTATTTTCCTAAACAAAGTGTGGGGCTACTCACCAGTTCCTTAGAGGGTACACATGGGCAAGAGTACCTACAGATGCCATTTGGAAGACAGCTCTAGGAAGCCATCAGATCCTCTGCCCCAGAGCTGTGTTGTCTGCATGATCCTTGTCACCCACTGGAAGTGTGCAATAAGAGTCAGGATGAGCCTTGACAAGAGGGACAGAGAAGTCCTTCTAGGTAAGTGCTGCCCTAGGTGACCCTGACACTTCTGTCATTAAATAAGCCTCTATTTTTGTTGCTGTTGTTTTTATTCGTTTTTTGTCTTCTGTTTTTTTCTTGAGTATTTAGGAATGTTCTTCACGGTCCCTAAAAAAACTTCTTTAGAAACAACCTAAATGTCCCAAAGTAGTAAAGTAGTTAAATTATATTATATATGTCAAATAGAATTTTATATAGGTCTTAAAATAAATTACTATGAAATCTATATTCAAGGCAGAAGGTGTTAAAAGTGTGTTAAAATAATTAAATAAGAGGTCATTAGACTGAGGTGACCGTAATCGCTGGGTTCTTATGTAAACAAACTGAAACATAACTCAGAATTTAAAATAAAAATAAACTCAAACTCAGCTGATTATAGGCAGCCGAGTAGATATTAGATGTATTGTCTCGAATTTCCCAGAACAGTACTACTTGGGAGGACCATTACCCTTATTTTATAAATGAAGAAACAAGATTAGAGAAGTCAACTAACTTGCCCAAGGACAAACAGCTAACATATGGCAGAAACAAGACTCAATCCCAGGTCTATCTGATTTTAAAGCTCATACATTTTTTATTGTATCAGTCTTCTTTAACTGAAATCTGTTGAAAATCTGCTCTAGATCAGGAAATCCAATTCTCTCTATTCAGAACTTACATGTAAGACTGATTGCTGAACCCTGCTTTGCAGGTCTGTCAATATTTTGGACAGTATAACATGCGGAGTTGTTTCTCCCTAAGTGCGATGATTTGGTGAATAGCCAACAAAAATTGGATGCCTATCTCGCCCACTGCTTTAAGCACTAGCTCCCAGAATAAATGTTCTTGAAATGTCCCTGCCTTTTTTGTTTTGCATTTTTGAAGATGTGTTAGCAGGACACAACACTTCAACCATTTGTGTTTGGTTACAAACCAAAGAAAATGCCAGTCAATTCAGTTTCAGAAGAATACTTTAAAAGCCAAGCAAACAAAGGAAGCTAGTCTGCTTAGCTCTGCCTGGTGTCTTTCCTTTCTTTTTTCTTAGTTTTTTTTTTTAAATCTTTTTACAGGAAGTGAGTATGTTAATACCCCTGGCAGAATAGACAAAAAATCCCTACAACTAAAATCTAGCTTCAAAATCATTACGAAACACAGATGTGGTTGTATTTCCCAGAGCCTGGTTCTAGTTGTAACGTTCCACTCCCCTCCAGAGAGGTCTCAGAAAAATGCATATTTGGCCAAAAGAAAAAAATGTTCCTCAGTTATCTCAAGTGGCTATAAACAACAACAGCTTTTTTTACAATCTAAAAACTACTGTAGTAGTATTGAAATTATTTTTATATAGTCATAGATATACTACACAAGAATCTAGTAATTTGAACTCATCTCTTGATTCCAAAGACAACAGTACTGGCATATCTAAACTACACAAGGCACACACTTGCTTTAATATAATAAAGGGTGATTCTATAAGGGTCTATAAAAGTGACTTCTGGATCAGTTATGGAATGAAATGGGCTTGAAATAAGGATCCTAGAACCTCAGTGAGAGGATGAGTTCCCCAAGTCTTGCCCAAGTACTTTGTTGGCAATTAGAGTGATAAAAATTACAAGAATGTATTTGACAATTATTTTTCATCCAATACTTCAAAAATCAAACTTCATGTTCTCATGATTGACAGATCACAAGGGCTGGTCATTCCCAGCCCCTTGCTAGATAAATGCACAATAGTAGGTTTTTAACCCTGAGAGATTTTATATAAATAGAGCTGGTCACCAGCTAAGAAGAATGAAAAGTTACTTGTCCAGAATATCTGGAACCTGACGTCATTCAGCATATGATTAGAGCAGAACCTGTACAGCCCCAGTATCTTGTGGATGCATTGTATCATTGGTATTTCTTTCTCATTATGTCAATTAAAAGATTTTCCAGTGTTAATCAGTGTAAAGCAGTAATTACTCTCCAAATTATACGAAGGCTTGAGGGCTCTGTGATGAATTTTTATGATCCTCAGAATCCTGTCTGAAGTCTTGGGATTAGGCTTTTGCAACATCACCAAAGGATACATACATTCAGATTATCACACCATGAATAATAGCAACCCATGATTCAAGTAATATTACTGGAAATCTCTTTAAAAATTCTTCAAGAATAATTCCACTGTTTAGATGGCTCTGGAGTTCAGACTCCTAGACCAATACTCTCCTATTTTAATAAGTCACTGGATATTTGGTATTCCTAAGTACCAGGAAATTACAAGCACTTAAATCTTGGCTTCCCAGTTTGGGGGAATTTACACATCTCTAAACATGCTTTAAAGTCAAAACCATGGCTCTTTTTCCCTGGTGACTTCAACCTGTGCAGATTTTGTTACCATCTTAATCCAACAGCAATTACTGTTAGTTCCATTTCTTCAGCTGGTTAGTCATAGATTGTTTTGTACTATTGCTTCACACTTCACATGTATGACTTGAGTTTTCCTGAGTTTGCAGCTCCTTGAGGGTCAACTCTTTTGACTTATATTCTTTTGTACCACTTTCTCACTAAACGCAGTTCTAATTTTACAGCATGTACTTAATAAATATTTATTAATGTTAATCTTCTGTGGTGGCCAAAAAAGAAATGCTAAATCCCCATCCCAGACTCCCTTTTCCTCACCTGAAAAAATCAGGGAAATGTGTAACAGGATTTTGAAAGGAACATTTTCTATTGCCTCTAAACTGGCCTCAGAGTAGGGATTAGTCAACTTTTTCTATTAAATACTATTAAATATTCTAAGCTTTGCCATTGCCATTGTCACTTTGCTTTTTCACAAACCTTCAAAAATATAAAACCCATGTTTAGCTCACAGGCTATACAAAAACAGGCCCCAGATTATATATGATTCTTTGGCCTTATTCCAGGGCCTGATAGTTTACTGACCCCTGCTCTACAGCACACAGACAAAACAACATGTGCTCAGTACCACTCAGTCAAAAGAACTACCAACATTGGGGCACCAACTCACTTCTTCGGGGCTTAATTGGAAGAAGCAAAACCCATGCAGTTATCTAGCTAGCTAGCTATTATCATTTATTATCTATCTCATCATCCATCCATCTGGCATCTACCCTCTATCAATCAATCCTATAGCTATGAATTTATGCATCTATCATGAATCATGTATAATTGAGCAAACCCTTCAATTGTCTGTCTATCCACCTACCTCTCATTTATAATCTGTCTATCCACACCAATCTATCTATTTAAAGACTTGGGCATGGAGAGGGAAAAGGGAGTCATCGGTATCTTTGGAATTGACCTCATAGGGATGCTACATGAGTGTCTCAGAAATTATTTTGTACCTTTTCTAAAGTTTAAAGGGTGGCTCGGCAAGGGACTCCAGAATAATCTCTCACAGAGAGTAGACAATGCCTTTGTATGATAAAAATGGGGCACTGTATCATATTGCCCATTTGGATATCTGTATAGGTAGTGGACCTGTTGATCTATGCTGAGCCTATAAAAACAGAAGAGGAGAATAAGGGGAAAAATAATAAAATTTCCATAGGCCAAGGGGACCTCATGGAATTTAGCGGAGTTTGAGCCATCATGTTGGCACCCCACCTGCTGTAGTATACTTCTGGTGGCAGGAGCTGAAGTAGACAAAGCAGTAGTGTTAAGGTCAGCTTTCCCATGGGGAACTAAGCAGTGAGAGGCCTTGCAATGCCCCCCAGAGGACTCGCCTATGTGCCCATGAGAGCAATCATTGAGGCGACTGCTCCACTGTGGGCATGACACCTGGTCAGGGCCACTCAGAGAACTGAGGACCACTCAGAATAAGGACTACAACAGGAGTTAGGTAGGTCTGAGAATGCTCACTGTCACAGGTTGAATCATGTCCCCTCAAAATTCATACGTTGAAACGCTAACCCACAGTGTGACAGTATTTGGAGAAAGGGCTTTTATGAAGTAACTAAGGTTAAATGAAGTCGTAAGGGTAGAACCCTAATCCAGTAGGATTGGTGGACTTAAGAGAAAGAGGCACCAGATCTCTCTCTCCCCCTCTCCACCCCCTCTCTCACTCTCTTTCCACATGAGCACAGAGGAAAGGCCAGGTGACGACACCAAGAGAAATGGCCATCTGCAAGCCCGGAAGCGAGTCCTCACCAGATCCTGGCCATGCTGGCACTTTGTTTTTCATGCTTGAAACCTCTAGGATTGTGAGAAAATTAATTTCTCTTGTTTAAGCTACCCAGTCTAGGGTATTCGCTATGGCAGCCCAAGCTAAGGCAGCCCTCACTATTTTACCTTACTCTCCTTCTCAACAGCATGAATACACAGAAAGAGCTACACTCTAAGAAAAGGGTGAAAGATACTTTTCAGAAACATCCACTGGCATATATAAGTACTCCCCAAACAGTCATCCCCTAGCTGAAACCTGTCCTGGAAGCAAGGGAAGAGATGCAATTGAAATCAAGTCTGAGATTCATTTGTAAACTAGACTGAGTGTTGATCATGCTGTAAGATGTTGTTAAGGGAAAAGAAAAAGAATTTGGCTCAGCAGGGTTGAAAGCAGAGACTGGAAAATAAAGATGTTTTATATCTATACCCTACTGAGTAGAGCCGTACATATTTTCTTTATTCTTTTTCTTCCTTCCTTTCTTTCTTCCTTCCCACCTTCACTTACTCATTTGTTCCTTCCCTTCCTCCCCTTCATTCCCTTCTTTCCCTTCCTTCCCTTCTTTCCTTTCCTTTCCTTCCCTTCCTTTTCCTTCCTTCCTTCCTTCTTTCCTCCCCTTTCCTCTCTTCCTTCCTTCTCTTTCCTCTCTTCCTTTCTTATCTTCTGATAGATGTGTCCATAAACATTCAACTTCAAGTATTTTCATAAAATCCATTTCTCTTTGCTGGACCTAAAGTCTGCAATGTCTCCTGGTTCCCAATTGGAGGACTGCTCATGGGCTCTTGGAATCCCCTTTTCCGGGGCTGAGAGCCAGAAGTGCCGAGTATTTACATCCCCCAAGGATGGCCCTTAACCAATGACTCCTAAGTATGGGAGCATGAAAACCTCAACCCCTTGACCTGGGTGGAAAGCACCTAAAGGCTGATCCATAGTGGCTGGTGATTGGCCCCCCAGACACAGACCTGAGAGGATTATTCCAGTTTAAGTAACCTATTAACCAAGTGCTCCCAGGAAAAAAACAGTAAGGAGTAGGACAGAGAGTAGAGGAAAGCAGGATGGGGAAGGGGAGAAAACCAAGCAAAAGGGTGATCTCAGGGAAAGTCATCCAGAGGCTGACTTCAGCCTTGATGGATCAGCTTGTGAGTACTTTCCACCCAACGCAAGGGCTTTGAGGTTTCATGTGCCCATACCTAGAAGACATTGGTTAAGGGCCACCCTTGGGGGATGTAAATACTCAGCACTTCTAGCTCTCAGCCCTGGAAAAGAAGACTCCGGGGGCCCATGAACAGTCCTCCAATGGGGAAACAGAAAATGTAAAAATGAGATCCCAAAGGATCTGGGCAGAGAATCAAAATTATTTGCTGCACATATTCAGAGAATGTTAGAATGGAAGAGTCCTTGGAGGATGCAGTGTCATGGCATGTCTTGATTATCGTAAGTCGTGACACACACACACACACACACACACACACAGAGTACCAAATTTTATAAAAGATTTTTCAAAATAACTTACTTAGAATGCAAGTTTATCCCTGTAATAATATTACTCTTGCTGGCAATCCCACGTGCATTCTTTATTGGGGCAGAAAGAGCTGGAGGTACAACTGGGACTCTGGGAATGGCACATTCCTCAGTGCTGCCTCATTTATGCTCCAGTTCACTCTACAATTCCATTACTATGGTTCTGATAATATTTCTAGCAATTAGAAATAATTTAGAGCTTATGACTTGTGGTTTTATAATTACTTTAGATTTTTAAAAAATCTGTGAATAAATTTGGGTTTATTTCTAAATAGGCCTATAGGAAAGTATAGCTCTTGCTCGAAACATATGCCAAAAGTCATTACTCTAGTAGAATCCAGCAGGCAGCCTAGTATAGAGGCAAGGCAATTTATGCTAATGATTAAAAGTGTGCAGTTAAGTTGCCTGGAGTGAAATACTGCTTTTGCTACTAACAAAATGTTTTTCATTGGACAATTTGATTAACCTTTTAAACCTAAATACCCTTATCTATTAATAGGAATAAAATTGGAAGCTGCTTTATCAGGCTGTTGGAGATTAAAGGAAATAATATGTGTCAAGTGCTTAGGTACGATGCTAGTACACAGTAAGTGCATTATAAATGTTCATTTTTGTTAAGAACATAGTTTCAGGAGTTGGAAATGTCTCTGCCTAATTCCGTCTCTCTGTCCTTGGGCAGATAGCTGAGCCTAAGTTTCTTTTTAGTGAAGTGGAGATAATATTAGCATGACTGGATTTCTATGGGGATTAAATGCAATATATGAAATATCTAGCAAACTTGAAGTGCATAAGAGATGTTAGTTTCCTGTCACTTTATTGGATACACAAATACTCTCCACAGAATGAAGGAGAAGTTGTACAATCTCAGGATGAATGCCTTCAGATTCCCCTGTTTCACTGAGTCTTTTGCATATATACAAATGGAAACCTAGCTTCATCTTATGATTTTGGGAAGGTGACTGCAGGGACTGTTTAAGCTCCTCTAAGTTCTAGTGTTGGAATATGCTCCCTTAAATTAAACTGAAATTTGCATCCATCTAACCTCAACCTTGTTTGCTCCTGGAACAATATAAACTTGAGCTGTTCTTGAGTTAATTCAGTTAGCCAATAGAGCTGAAAAAATTTCATTTTATAAATTAAAGATATACTCCCAAAAACTAAATGTTCCAAGGTTCAGTGGCACATTAGGTGGAGTATTTTCTATGCCTTGATTATAGCAAGGCTTCAATGCAAAACATGCCAAAGTGTTTACAGAACAGTCCAAACTGTTCTGTTCCCTTCAAAACCAATCTCGAGTCTGCTCTATAGCTTCTGGCATAGGCTGATCCCCAGACCTCATTTCTGGTGCTCAAAACAGAGTCTGGACTTCATTAGTGGAATAGAGACAAGGTTGGGATTGGATATTTGGATACTTAAAAAAAATTGTTTAACTTGGGGTGAAGGTTGTTGCTTGCAGTAAACAGCATGAAGAAAGTCTTTTTTACCCCCTCCTCAATTACATTCAGGGCTTAGAACCAAATATTACATTTGGGAACAAGTTCAGGTCTCTATTAGCATTGAGTGGATGCTTTCTGTGTTTATGGCTTTGAGCAATGGTGTGACAGGCAGGAGGGTGAAGATGTGTTCCCTGGTTCATAGCCAAGATGTGAAAACAAACTAAATGTCTATTAATAGATCAATGAATAAAGAAAACGTGGTATTACAAGCAAGGCCAGGCATGGTGGCTCACACTTGTAATCCCAGCACTTTGGGAGGCTGAGGCGGGTGAATCTCTTGAAGCCAGGAGTTCAAGACCAGCCTGGCCAACATGACAAAACCTAGTTTCTACTAAAAATACAAAAAATTAGCCAGTTGTGGTGGTGCTCACCTGTAATCCCTGCTACTTGGGTGGCTGAGGCAGGAGAATCGCTTGAACCAGGGAGGCAGAGATTGCAGTGAGACGAGATCATGCCACTGTATTCCAGCCTGGGTGACAGAGTAGGACTGCCTCAAGAAAAGTAAATGTGGTATATGCATCTACACATGCAATGAAATATTATTCAGCTTCAAAAAAAAAACAGAAGAAAATTCTGCAATATGTGTCAACATAGATGAACCTTGAGGATATTATGTTAAGTAAGATAAGCCAGTCACAGAAAGGCAAATAAATACTGCCTGATTCCACTTATCTGAGGTATCTAACAGAGTCAAACTCTGTTAGATATCTGTCAGAATCAAAAAGTGAAATCATGGTTGGAGGAGCTTGGAGTAGAGAAAAATGGACAGTTGCTGATCAATAAGTATAAGCTTTCAGTTATCCAAGATGCATAAGTCCTAGAGCTTGTGACTTTGAACACAAGCAAACAAATCCTTTTCCATTTAAGAAAACAATGTGCCTAGAGCTACCAATACTTGTTGTATACTTAAAATTTATTAAAAGAGTGGATCTCTGATCTGCAGATCTCTGATCTCCTGTTAAATGTTCTTGCCATGAAAAGGGAAAGAAGAAAGAAAGAGAGAGAGGGGGCAGGAGGGAGGGAGGAAAGAAGGCAGGCAGGAAAGAAGAAGGGAAGGGAAGGGAAGAGAAGGGGGACGGAGGGAAGGAAGGAAGGAGGGAAAGAGGGAGGGAGGGAGGGAAGGAAGGAAGGAAAGAAGGAAGGAAGGAAGGTAGGTAGGTAGGTAGGTAGGTAGGTAGGTAGGTAGGTAGGTAGGTAAAGCAAGCTAGTTCTATTAAAGCCTCAATGAGAGACATCAGAGGAGGTCCCATCAGGGACCCATGCTCTGAACCCACATGGCTTTCTTCTTTTAGACACATGGAGTGGTCTGACTTCCTTCCATCCATCCCCTCAACTCCTGTTTCAGACACCCACCAACACCTAAAGCTATATCATACATCAAAGATAGTCACATTTATTAATTCATTTTTTCCTTTCCCCAGCATTGAACAATAGCTTTGTTTTCTATCTCTATGGTAAGAACCAGGAGAAGGTAAATGGGGTGACATCTTAAAATTCTAAGGTTTCCTTGTCCAAACAAACAAGCAAATAAAACACATGTACACACACACATACACACACACCACACACACACAACCCTCCTTTGTGTAGCTCCAAATTTATGTTTGCTTCATCAGGCATGTAGCGGCCTCCAAATTACTATTTGCTGTCATCATTAAAGAGCAATCTTAGTCTGAGCAGCAACAAAATAAATCTTTCTGTCTCCAAGATATTCGTTGTGATAGTGCTACCACAGCCATTTGTATTTGTTTTTGTTTGTTCCTCATAATCCCCTCTCAACTGCTGTTTTAAGGCAAGTAGGGGTATTATAGACCATTAAGTACTGGAAAAAGTCCTGGAGACATTCTCATTCATGAAGGAGGAATCTAAAACTCAGGAAGTACAAAGATTTAGCCTGAACACAGTTACACAATTATTAGCAACAGAACTGCTTTGAGACTCCAAGGTCTTAGAATGTCCAGTCCTCCCTCCAGATGGCCCCCATTGTTTTAGTTGACTCTGGCACAAATTGTTCCTTTCCTTGCTGATACAGCCTTCTACGGTACTCCTTGATCACTCTTGAAGAACAACTCCAGGGAGCACAGAGTAACTAGGTTCATATTATGTTCCTGGACATCTATTTGTAAACCAAAAAGTGACTGAGACAGACCTCTATCGATTAGAGGTTTATTTTGCCAAGGTTGAGAATATGCCTGGGAAAAAGAATCACAAGTCACAGTAGGATTTCTGGCCTGTGCTTTTTCCAAAGAGGGTTTGAGGAACTTCGATGTTTAAAAAGAAAAGAGCAAGCAGGAGGTGAAGGAAGCAAAAAAAAAGGAGACAGGGCAGGCAATGAGGCAAGTAGTTACACTTGGGAACAAAAGGAAGGCAGGTTTTTTGTTTGTTTTTTTGCATGACTCAGTTCCCAAGCTTAACTTTCTCTTTGGCATAGTGAGTTTGGGGTCCAAAGATTTTATTTTTCTTTCACTATCTATCTCTTTTTCATTCTCCCTTGCGTCTTCACTGTCCAGGGCCTTCTCTTCAAGAACCACACAGACTATTCTACTGAAAAGAATCCTGGGAAACCCCAGGTCTCTGCTTTTGCCAGAACTGGCTACAGACTTCATCCCAGTATTTCAACATCCTTCACATCATTCCTGACTTTGAACACAAGCAAACAAATCCTTTTTCATTTAAGAAAACAAAGATGACAAACATGAGGAAGTATTAAATTCCAGAACCTTAAAAAGTTCTCCCAAGCCCTGTTTCCAATTAAGTTGAAGCCAGTTAGACTCTAGCTCTCCTCTTTTATCCTCAGGCTAGAGTTTCCCAAATTTCATTCTATTTTTCACCACCCTCTGCATTATAAACAGACATCTTCTCCTTCTTCAAGAAATCTCATTTCCCAATACATAGGCCCAAAGAAGAAATCAGGGCAGAAAAATCATGTGCTCTTATTAACAACCATTTCAACCATCTCAATGGGTACAGATGTTGTACCTTTTGATATTTTTCCCTCTCTTCACTAAAGAAAACTAGTAGTTTTTTCCTCCATCAATAGCATTTTAATAAAATATTTTTATTTTTAAAATATGGGGATGCAATATATTTCTGCCATAAAAGAACGTGTTTGAATTTCTTTAGACCATTATTTATTAAGTCTACTTAACTGACTCTGGAATCTCTGGAACCTAGGACATTAGAGTATATTAGCATCCTAAACCATACATTCTTGGAAATGTTTGTCTAATATAAGGCAGCACTGACTTGCTTTAAATGTTTCTGGAATGCAACTCCACTCATCTTACCTACTCCTTCAGAAAATTATATCTCCAGCTGAAATGCTTAGGCTCATTTGTTTCATGTTTGCTATACGCCGGGCATTACACTAAAAGAGATATTATCCTTTCCACTGAATAGACAAAGAAATCTGGATTAAGTAATATATTAGGGAGTTTTTTAATGTAAAAAAGAGAAATCTCAACTCACAGTAGCCTAAGCAACAAGGATTTTTTATTATCTCATAGAGCAAGAAATTTTGAGGCAGAGTGACTCTAGGGATGGTTAACTTATTAGCTCAATGACATCATCAATGATCTGGAACTTTTCCATCTTTTTGTTCTCCCATCTTCATCACTGCCACTTTGTCCAAGACCAGCTGACCTCACGAGCACAAGCATGCCATGCAGATATGACAATGTCCAACAAAACATAAGAGAGAAAGAGAGAGAAATAATGGGTCTTTGGCATCTATTCAAATGTAGTTTTTTTTTTTTTCTATGAGCCTCTATAAGGAAAAAAATCAGACCCTCTATATCAGTTCTCACTGGATCTCAGATCTCAATAAAATAAATGACTTTCTTTTTTGGTTGATTCTTAATATTTTACTGGAACAGTAGTCCTTTCAAAAGCTTATAATCATGTTATTCAAATATCCTTTTAAAAATCTGCTTAGTTATCACTATACAGTTGCTCTTCCCTCCCTTTCTATGATGTCCTCCTTCCCCCTACCTGAGCATCACAGAGCCTCTCCTCCCCTGTTGACCATAAGGCGATTCTTAGAGGAGGTCTTAGGATGTGCCAGTATATAAAAGAAAGTCTATAATTTTCATGAATTGAAAGAAGTGGGGCTTGATGGACACCTGGTCACCGGCTGGTTTAGCATTTCTCTTCCTCCTTCCCACAGTAAATTCTTAGTAACACAATAGGGTCTAATTTTAATTCTTAGTTTGGGGGCTAATTTTCCACAACATTGGCTGAATTCTTTTAATGTCGAATTAGACAGACTTGCATCCCAGGACTGTGCCAGTCCAATCACTGTTGGGGAAAATGACTGGGAGCTTGGAATAGGGTCAGCTCTCTCTGCCTTTTTCAGATAAATGATGGCACACAAACAGGACTGGGACAGTCTCAGCAAGGAAGAAGTGGAGAGTGGCTGTGCGGTAAGCATCCAATAAATCCTCTGTAAGTATCTTATTACCTGGGCATTAAGTATACCAAGTTAGTTGATTCTTTGAAGTTGCATGGCTGTACCCTTCCATCTACACTTTTGTGTACTATTTTGAAGTCAACCTGGGTATCTGGATATCAAAGGAGAAGTCTTACTCTTCTAGGTCCCAAGTAGCGAGATAAATTCCAAGAAGAACTGCTGCCCATTAGAATTAGAAATATCGCTAATAACTACTAGTATGAATTTATATTGTCATTTATTTCTTCAAGTTTTAAAGCATATCCCCATCTTAATTGTGCAGTTCTCAAAGGCAGTATAGAAGTGAGTAAGAGTTACATCAGGGACAAATATCCTAACCCAACTATTTGTAATTTAAAAAAAAAAAAAAGTGACCTAGACCAACACCATTTTTTTCCTTGGTTCAATTCAAATGACCTGAAATGTATTGGCAGGATCCACAAAGATTTTGAGTTTTAAATATATGAAAGTCCCAGATGGTTTTATTGGCTCGACATTTTTCTATGATTTCATTTTGTCAGAGCAGCCACCTAAGAGCATAACTAACACTGATTTAAGTTGGCCCCTTCCAAACGCATTGAAAAATAATGGAATAAAAAAGAACAAGGCCTTAATATGCTGATGTCTCATTATGAATTGCAAAATGATCCACATAGTTCCATAAAATTTCAGGGCCAAAAATAACTCACACAGCAGTGAATTGCAGACATTGATACACTTTATGCCCAAAAATTACTGGGTGAAAGATGGTTTAGAGATGATTTCCCCCACCAAAAAAAGAGAGAGAGAGAGAAATGATCCAGACATCCACTGGCTTCCAAATACTTTTACTTAGAGAAAAGAAAAAAGTATATATACATTAGTTATCTCTCCAGGTCCACCTGGCCATCTAAAACTGACAGTCTGAAAACCAAAGGGGAGTATTCTAGTGATAGCAGGAAATTAGAATTTTTGTGAGCTTTACACTTTTTCAGAGACATCTGCTTATAGTCATCCTTATGGTCTCACTATTTCCATAGTTTTAGAAGAACTCTTTTCAATTTTGGGGCCAAAGCATTTTTTTTCCTTTCTGCCAATCTGTATTTTTTAGAGAGTTAGCCAAAGTGCTAAATTAATATGAAATAGATGGCCAATCATAGTCAAACTGGGAGAGAGGACACATTTGCTTTCTCAGAGTCCCCTAAAGAGCTGTTTTTTTCTCGCTTCTTTGTCTTTTTCCACTTTCGACTAGCCAATTTTGCCCTCTTAGCAAAATCTGTTCTTGAGAGGAAAGACACAAAATACACACAGTGCATGCGTACAATTATGTTATTCATTTAGACTTTAGTCCAAGTGAATATTTGCATTTAAAACTTCTTTTCCAATAATTGTAAAAGAAAGGACTTTGCCTTCTCTGCAAAATAAATATGATCCAAATATCTCTGGATCTCACCAGTTTTGGGATACAGCATGTGACATTAAGTGTCATATCTCAGATTTCACAGGTCTTGCCCCCATCAGCTAATCAGGCCCCTAAATCTGCAAATATTTTTTCATCATCCCCATCATGCCTAGTGGCCTGCTGGACTTCTGTATCTTATGAACTTGTCCATCAGCCATGGTCACCACTGGGCAAGTGTTGTTTTCCACATTTTTCCATGCCCTGTTCTAGGTCCTCCTGGCCAGTGTTTTTTTTTTTTCCTCCTGAGACATTGCTGTGCCTGACATCCATCATAGCTGACGTGGCTGATCGTGACGATGCCAAAGCTGTGCTGAGACTATTCTCTCAATGGTCCCAAACTTGTCAGTCCTTGAGGTACTTAGAGTGCACTGGCATTTGGTGGAGAGGAAATGGTTTTTCCTGTTATCAAGATACATGATTCCATCCAAGAATTCTAAACATGATGCCTGTATTGCCCGTATTTTTCTTCCTTCTGTGCACCCATTTACCAATTTCTCAAATTTCTTTAGTTTAAATAAAAAAATAAACAAGGCCCATGTGGAAATCAATTCTTTGAATGAAGCTTTTGAGGGAGTGCTTTCTGTCCTTGGGGTATTTGTCATTTTGGAGGAAGACAAACATAAAACATATGAAAATCAATGTAATAAAGGGACTAATGTGTGGTTTTAGAATAGAAGTGCTGTTTGTAGAATAAAAAAGGAAACGATAATTTTTGGCTGACCAGGCTGAAGAGACTTCAAGGACAGAATTTTAATAAACAAAGAGAAAAGGACCAGCAGCCCATGTAGAGTGGACAGAATGAATAGAGAAACCGAGGTGGGGAGAAACACAGAGTGTGCCGGGCAGGCTGAGGACTCTCCTATGGGGTCTGGGTTCACTGAAGGAAATACAACTAGAGGACCTGAGGTTTCCTCAGTGGAGCAAGAAATCATTTTCCACAGTATGTGCCATGCCCCCCGGCTCAATCACATTCAAACCTGATGATTCAGATCCAAAACTGTTTTAAAGACAATCTGGTTTTATGTATATTTCATGTATATTTATTTATGTTGGAAAGAATGTGATCTTCAGATCACTGCCTAAAACGGGTTCTTGGTGATATTTTATATACTTGAGAATATAGATGTTTTCACTTCTTCTGGTAGAAAGGTATCAGTTAGAAGATGACAATAGCATGTAAGTAATGTGTTTTGCAAATGGCAGGTACTCAATGAATACTCAAAGAAAAGAAATTTCCATGAAAAGAAAAGACTTTGCTTAACTAGACCGTAGTTGTAAAACTGGTTTTTAAGCTTTGTTCTTCAAAGGGACTATAGAGACACATAGGAGAAGGGCTCCTTCCCACATGCACACATACACATACTTTAACTAGAAGATCTTCACTTTTATTTTTCTTATATAGGAGCTCTGAACAAGACTTCCTTAATAGAAAATAAGTGTTTATGGTTTAAAACTTTTGAAATATATTCTTACAATTATTGAATTAGTACCCCTGAAAAAAAGACAAGGAGTATTTTTGAAATTCTGAAGAAATTGTGATTCCAGGAGATTTGCTAATCTGATTAAGAAAGCTTCAAAGCATACTTTGGGAGGCTGAGGCAGACAGATCTTGAGGTCAGGAGATCGAGAAGACCATCCTGGCTAACACGGTGAAACCCTGTCTCTACCAAAAAGACAAAAAATTAGCCTAGCCTGGTGGCGGGCACCTGTAGTCCCAGCTACTCGGGAGGCTGAGGCAGGAGAATGGCGTGAACCCGGGAGGCGGGGCTTGCAGTGAGCCGAGATTGCACCACTGCACTCCAGCCTGGATGACAGAGCAAGACTCTGTCTCAAAAAAAAAAAAAAAAAAAAAAAGTGCTTCAAAACAATAATGTCAAGCAAGGCAGAAAAACAAATATCATGGTGAGTAATAAGAATGATAAATAAATAAAGATGATTGTATAGGAAGTTCAAAAAAGTTGCAGAAAATAAAACATTCTAATATTTTTCAATTTTTATAAGCTGTTTACTAAGTAAAGGTTTTAAACAATTAAAACTAAATTTTAGATACTAACAAGTAAATACTATCTTATGTAATACTGATACTTCTTTGTATGGGGATTCATGAATAGGAATACAGAATGAAAGAGGAACATTTTTAGACAGAAAATATCTACTAGTAAGGGAATAATTACTAGTACTATACATCAAATGCTATTCTCAAGAAAATCTCTGAACTTGATGATAGAGATCTACGTACAGAGCATCTTATAAAAGTGTACTATAGACAGCCATATAGAAGCCTTGGTCAACACCCTTTTTGGCATGATTAGGAGAGAGGTAATAATACATTTGAGTGAGCAGAAGAAAGAGGCCTGGGAGAAGGATAAATTTTACAATAGGCGATACACAGGCAAGGTAAAAAGCAGATGGAAATAATAATCATATTAACATTAGGTTAGTCTGTGGGAAAGAATGTGGAAAAAGACATATAACCACATTGTAAGTTGGGATCATAAATAAAAATGAATATAGAAAAGAAAAAGAACTATCTTAGTAAAGGTTTAGCCAACTAAAGGATTGGCCCAAGTGCCAATTATTTTGGAAATTTAAAACGCAAATTTTTAATAAAGTTGCTATGGTTATTATATTTAACCAATAATCATGATGATTTATAGTTTTGTTGGGGGGGAGGGGGGCGGGGGTGGTCGTGTATTTGAGACAGGGTCTCACTCCGGTTGCCCAGGCTGGAATGCAGTGGCATGATCTTGGCTCGCTGCAGCCTCAACCTTTGGGGCCCTCACTACAGCCTCCCGATAGCTGGGTCTACAGGTACACACCACCACACCTGGCTAGTCTTTTGTATTTTTAATAGAGACAGGATTTCACCCTGTTGCCCAGGCTGGTCTCGAACTCCTGGGCTCAAGCAATCTGCCCATCTTGACCTCCCAAAGGGCTGAGATTACAGGTATGAGCCAATGTGCCTGACTAGTGATTTACAGTTAATGCAAGTATTTGCCATCTAACTCATTGTTAATAATGGAGTATGGTTATGTTGTATCAATTAGGAATTGTTTATTTACAGCATGTTAGTTGCTGTTCGTCTAAGTACTATAATAGACATAATAATTATGCTATCCTTGTGGCCTGAAAAGGTGAGTGATATTTATACTGTGCTCTCTCTATAAGAAGCAACAAATAAGGGTAAGTAAATGCCGCTTTTGCATAACACTTGTCTTTGAGGATCTCTGGGTAACACTTCTCAGGTAGGTTGATAAGAAGAAGAATGAAATAACTTCTACCCATATTACGAATCTACTGTTGCATGTCAGGGTGCATTGATGTTAGAGATTTTATCAACAGCCTGGAACATTTGTCTACTGCTATGAAAGTGATCTACATCATCAAAGCTGGGCAAAGAAATAACTTTGCCAAGTTTTGTCAAGGAATATGGAGCAGAATATGAAGTTCTTTCATACAAAATAGAAGAAGAAGTCTTTTTTTTTTTTTTTGAGACAGAGTCTCGCTCTGTCACCCAGGCTAGAGTGCAGTGGCGCGATCTTGGTTCACTGCAGCCTTTGCCTCCCAGGTTCAAGCGATCCTCCTGCCTCAGCCTCCCCAGTAGCTGGGACTACAGGCACTTGCCACCATGCCCAGCTAATTTTTGTATTTAGTAAAGACAAGTTTTCACCATGTTGCCCAGGATGGTCTCCATCTCTTGACCTCGTGATCTGCCCACCTTGGCCTCCCAAATTGCTAGGATTACAGGCATGAGTCACCGCACTCAGCCAGAAAGAGTCTTTAATACAACCTTTATTGACTTTGGACAGAGTCTTCAACCCCCACCCATTCATTACCCTTTTTATTTGAAGACAAAACCCACTCACAGAACCATTTGGCATGCAGGATGTCATTCTGAATTGGCTCACTTGAAAAAACTTTTGGCCACAGGAGTTATGTAAACCTTTTCATTAAGGCCCTATAGTCCACATTTTAGATATTATTTTAAAACTATGAGACATTTCAGCCAAACAGACATTCTGGAACAAAAGACTGCAGATAAACAATCTGAAATTTTTTCCTTTGCTGGAGGAAGCGATTCTTTAGGCTGAAATCAAAAGCAACAACATTCTGTCCATTTTTATGCAAGCCAAAATCTACAGACACCTGGAAACACCAGATAATGTTTTTAAAAGATCACTTCCCCTCAGATGACCTGAAAGTGAGATGTGGATTCATAATCCTTTGCTCACTCAAAGGCCTTATGAAAGTTCCCCTCCCTGACTTGAGGGCACAGGATGTGATAACACATCAGTTTCTCCGGAAGACCCAGTAATTCCACTTCTCCTTGAAACAAACCTATTCTCATCTAGTAAAACTAGTAATGAGAATTCTGATTTTATTTGTTTTTCTCTTACAGGCATTTATCATTTGGAGTTTCTAGCATTTACAGGCACAGAAATGAAAACTCAAAATTGATTGTCAAAAGATGATTTTTCACAGAGCCATGTGCATTCATTCCACAGTATTTACTTCTTAGTCAAACCAAAAAATAACTGTCTTCTCATTGCAAGTTAAAGTTGAACACGATTAAGACTTACATTTTTAGTTTTATGCAAAATTTACATTTTTTTATATGAACATTTTCACATTAAGGCTGAGAATAAGAGAAATTTTTTCAGAAAAATTGTCTTGTATTCTGTCTTTATGAAAGAAATGAATGTGCAATGCAAGAAAAAAGATTATATAAAAAAGTATAGAAATGTGTGTATGTGTTTCTGGAAAGGAAATAAATAGCTTTCATCAGATTCTCAAATATTTATGACTCAAAAAAGGTCAAGACAGTAATAAAGAGCTAGTTCATAATCATGTCCTTGGTTCTATTCTATTCAGCTCTCTAATATTAAGTTGAACCACACACAATCGCACACAAGTGTGTGATAATTTTTTACGTACAAAAACAGCAATTTCACAAAGCACAGTCTAATATCTTCAATGAATTTTAAGAAGCATGAAAAAGTAAGGAAGAATAGCTAATATGTTGGACCCAGAATCAAGTTTGAAAAAAATCTTGGCATACTGAGATATGGAGTAGAAATATATTACAATGAAAGACAACAAAAGTAAGCCAAAAATCCTACATGGAGCTGCATAAAACAAAATTTTTCAAGCATAGTGTAGCAGAGATATTTCAACATGCAGGTAAAAGAAACCCCAAGGACTTAAATGAGGACAAGCTCAGCATGAGATAACAACATGGCAGGGCTGCTAATGAACGAAAACAGTCTCAGCATTAGGCCGAGCCATTGACTTTCACTTAATACTCGCTGTATGCAAGACTTTGCATTAGGCATTTTAGATTTACTTTCTCATGTAATTTTCATAACAGCACTTTGAGGTAAATGTCAATGGCTCCATTTGATAGGTGATAAAACTGAGCACAGAAAAGCTGCATAACTTGCCCAGAGTTAATAAGTGTTGGTGATGGAAAATGTAATAATTATTAATAATAATTTGCTGAAATGTATTGAGTTTTTCCTGATAACCAGGAACTATGGCATGTTCCTACATAATTTCATTTCTTACTGATATTAATACTTATAACAACACTATTAGGCAAGTATTATTATTATCATTTTACAAATGAGAAAAGTGAGGTTCAAAGATTACATCTAGCTTGATAAAGGTCTTCAAACTCCAGCACCAGATATGAACCCAACAGCTTTAGAGAAAGTGTTCAAGCAGCTCCCATGATTGGGAAAGGTCAAATTCCTTATTATATGTATATCACCAAGCGGCTCTGCTTCTCTGATCTGATTATGACTGATACACACGTAGAAACCTATCTGTACTTAGGTTTACATAAAATTCTGGGAGATTATATGCCCACATATTAACAGCGCTTATATCTGAGAAATGGAATTCAAAATGCTTTCTGACTTTTGTCTACTCAAATGTACGCTCTAAGTTCTTAACAGGGAACATATGTTACTTGAGAACTGATAATTTTAAAAATGAAAGTTATTTTTAATCTTCCTCATTACTGAGTTCATTTGTTAGAAAAATGTCATTACAACTGAACCCATGAATTTGAGCTCTAACGTGGTACTATAAGCACATGTGAGTTCCCCAATACTGAGACAAGTCAATAGATTGTGTGGGAAAGGATGGTAAAAACTAAATTCTGTATCTAAAAAGAAAATTAATAGAGCCAGAATAGTTATTTGCCTTGTAAATGTACAAGCCCAGTGAGACCACTTCCTTCTGCAAAGGCAAGGGGAAAGTTCACGCTGCCACCATGCTCCTCAGTGAGCAGGATCTGGGGCCTTCAGTGAGCATGATGCTGCCCTACAGGGCCCATCAGACCAATAGGGCCATGTACATGACCTGGGGGTGGAGGTAGTTACCTAAAGTGCCAGCTCTCCCTCCTCTGTGGAAGCAGACACGTGAAAGGCTGACTGTAGTGACATATACAAACAGATGCGCTCAAAGTTAGTGCTCAAAAGCAAACCATAAAGGAGAAAGTGAGGTTGAAAGAGACAATTAGGTAAGAAGTGCAGAGAGAAGTGGGAAACTAAATGTAGGCAAGAAATGGGGCTGAAACAGTGGAAGAGAGCAGTTGAGCAAGTTGGGGGTGAGGCAGGAGAAAGGGGAGGGGAGGAGGGTAAGTGGCAAAGAAAAATGCAGGGAAGAGAATGCTTTACCTCCCATCACGCAGCTTCTTCTGACCTGTGAGACGCCACCACCTTTTGTGCTTCTCTCTTATCTTTTCCTTTTGTCTCTCACCCTTCCCGCCCGTTAGTTCTCTTCCCTTTGTCATTTTCTCTCTTCCTCTCTTTCTTCAAATTAAAATCCCTTTTGTCCTGTGAAGCCTAAGAATGACATAAATCGGGAAAATAAGAGGCTATAGAAAGAGAGGAAGGGGAGGAAAACAGTAAGGAGGTTATAGAATTCTACCACAAGCTACTAATGAATTAAAAATATGCAAATGGAACTGCAAATAAAGAAGACACATAATGCATAGAAGCTTAGGGAGGGCATGGGAACTCCTGGCACCAGTTTAACTTTGTTTGTCTAGGGTTCTGTCACATAGTGGAAAGATTATAGTCATCATTTGGGCTGAGTTAGACACATTCATGAGCATTATGTTTAATGAAAACAGAAGCATAATTGAGGCCTGAATCTCCTGTAAAAAGAAAACATTAGAATACACATATACACACATACTTTTCAAAAAAATATAAGATTATGAATTAGAGCAGGAGTCAGTAAACTACAGCCCAAGAGTTAACTCCAGTGCCCCCTATTTTGGTACAGCCAGTGAGCTAAGAAAGATTTTTATATTTTTAAAGGACAAAAGAAAAATTAAAAGAAGAATATTTTGTGACGTATGAAAATGATGAAATTTCAGAGTCCATAAATAAAGTTTTATTGAAAGAGAGTCACCCCACTCATTTACCTATTGTCTGTCTTTTACTCTACTGCTTTTACTATACAATGGCAGAGTTGTGTAGTGGTGACAGAGATTGCATGTCCCATCAATCACAACATATTTACTCCTGGCCCATAACAGAAAAAGATTGCCAAGCCCTGACTTAGGGCATTGCTTACTGAAAGGAAAAAGTACACTTTCCTACTGATGATCAAATGGTTGGGAAGTCATCCCTCTGTGTCCCTCTTAGACTTCTCACTCTCTCTTCTCTATTATAGGATTGTCCCAGAAAAAGAGAGCTTTATAGGTGTGTTAGTCTTTTTAATTTTTAAGGATTTTTTTTTTGCCCATAAACAGCAGTATCTCAGATTATCGTATTCGGTATAATCTCTATTTGTTATAAACAAATAAATAAATAGAGATTATACCAAATAGAGATTTATATAGAGATTTTACCAAATACAGATGATAATCTCTGTTTGGTAAATAAATAAATAATGTCAAGTACATCTCATTTTTTTATTTTCATGTTTACTCTTTTATTTCTGGAGGTGACTTACCAATAAACCAAAGGAAAAAGCATCTTTTTCAGATAAACACCCAAGGCTGTAATAAAAATAAGTCTCTTAATTGCTCAACTCATGATCTAGATTTTCTTAAGTGACAAAGATCCTTAATGAATATCAAGCAAAACATTATGTGAGTGAAAATCCATGATAGCCCTCACAAGAATCTTGGGATTGTCATACTCAGATTTGGAGGAATGTTCATGCCCATTCAACATTGCTAGGTAAATTAGCCACCATTTCCACATAGAAAGTTTCTATAGAATTTTTAGAAACAGAAATATTTTTGTAACTTTGAAAAAATGTCATTTAACTGTGTGCTTTTGTATAGCTTACAAGTGTGCAAAGGAGGTCACAGAAATCACAGAAATAATGCACACTTAAACTGACAGATGGTCTTTTCTGAAGCCTAGTTGATACTTTACTACAACTTCTTATGAGTTAATCAGGAAACGTTCACTCAGCGCATACTCTCAACTAGAGCAGTATGTAAGTCATATTTATTTTCTTTGAAATGGTAAAGATTCAACATTACTGCAACTTCAGCATTAAATACTTTCAGAGTTACCCTTATAAAACTTCCCTTTTTATTATTAAATTCGTCAGGTTTCAGGCAGGGAAACTATTGTTTCCATAAACAATCAAAATCAAAGCACAATAGTGATATCAGAAAATGACAGCCAAGATCTTTTTTTGTTGTTCTATGTATTTATTTGTCTGGGGTTTTTTTAGATTGATTGCTTTGTGACATTCACTTTTTAGAATATTTAGATAAGTGAAGTAGCAGATCTATTAAGCAATATCAAAATAATCAGAATTATAAAAATCATAAGTGAAGCTAAAGTGAAAGGCCCAGACACTGTTTTACCCATACAGGTGCAAACTGTAATTCTGCTAAAAGCCAAGTCACCCCATTAACCATCAACCTTCCAATTAGAGCTTTGGGGTAATCTTTTGTAATTGCTGCAATATTTAAAAGTAACTGGTAATTATATAATTTATAAAAGTATCTGTTCATTATGACAAAGCCACTCAGGGGAGACAAGGAGTACATGTAATGTAATATAACAGGTTGATTGTATAAATGGTTCAGCCACTTTACTGCTATTACTGTATGCTGAACAATAAGTAATCGTTCAGTTCAGTCTAAAGCTCATCACAGTGTGCTTACCTCTTACACTGCTGGTTCAGGTCTTTCTTTTGAAGAAAACTGGTTGATAATGTATAATATGTCAGAATGCAAAATAAAAAAAATATGGCTCTACACACTTATTTGGAAGTAGTGTGAAACAAGCTTGCGTCTCAATCCATCAAGAAGAAGATTGCTTCCCAAATGGGGTTGGTGCTGTGAATTAAGAGCAAGTAGCAGTAGACAGAAAGGATGTTGCTGTAATTTGAGAGGCTCACCAATGGCCTTGGTGCTCAGCTGTTGACTCTGCGTGGGGGTGGAGGGGTGGAGGTGGTGATGATGTCCCATTTTATGTAGAAGTCATATCCAGCTTCCTTGTTACTGTTAGTCCAGCTACAGGCTTTACAAGCCTTAGAATTGTAGTGTGTCAATTACAATGGATATTTTCAAATTTGACATATACTGCTACTTCTATATTTTAAAATACATATATAAGCTTCATTACAAATTGATATTATTTTTTATTGTTCAGACAACCATATGTCCACAATGATGTAAAATAATTCTTAAAACTTAAATGGAAGAACAATTATCCGTTATCCTTTTGCAAGCTTCCCTTTAAGCCTACCGGCTTCATAAATTACATTAAGGATTAGTGTAATGTAGATAATTGCAAGGTATTATTTTAACTGGTTTTATTATTTTTTAGGTATGGTAAGCCCAACAGGTCAAGAGGTGATTGCCACTGAAATGACACTTTGTTGATCCCAGTTCCCAAGCAGACAGGCATGCCACACTCTGCAGGACCACACGGGGAATCACTGGAGTGAGTAGGGGGAGAGGGAGAGGGAAAAACTGTGGGCAAGAGCCTTTACTATGGTTTCTTCTGGAAGGAATGGAATAGGCAGGGTATGCAGGCTTAGGATTGGCTAGTTGAAATAATTTCAGCAGGCTCTGGGGCAAAGGAGCTGCCCTTTGTTGTCTGGTATCTGAGCCTGGAGTCATTAGGGCAGGTGGATAGTGGTCCAGGGTGTGAGAGCCCAATAAAGAAGGTGGTTGGATAGTTGGAGCTGTGAGCTCTGGAGTAGTTGATTCGCTCTTGAAAAGCATGCTTGATGCAGAGTTGTTTACTGTCTATAGGAATTGGCTGACCTTGAGAGGGGCAGCAAAGTCCCAGATGTCAAAGTATCAGAACACAAAAAATGAAAAACACGGTTAGTGCAAGTATTCACTTATCTTTATTGCAAAGTGTTGAATACATTTCTTTTTACTATGAAAAAATGGCTTTGATTCTTATTACTACTGATAAGATTGAAACAATTCAGTGCAAATTTTTATATTGCCTTTCTTCTCCACAAATTCTTTGTATCTTCCATCATTTTAATCTCATGTCTCCTGACTCAGAAGAATCATCTCTACTTTAATTGTAAATATTGGTCTTCATCTTACTGCTTTAATGCCAGTTCTAAAGCAAATCTTCATGAATAGTTCTCTCTCCATGTATATTTTGAGTTTTCTAATTTTTTTTATCTCTACAGTCCCATGCTCCCTGCCTGTAACATATTCAGACCTTCTCTATTTTAAATTCATTTTGTCTATAGAGGGTTGCCCATCAAGCAATCACCGTAGTACTGGCTTTTTCTTCACTGTCACAATTCTTGAAATTAGTCCACATTCATGGCCTCTGAGGCCTCAGTTTCATTCCTTAACCCCTTATCTTATGGTATGGCTCCTGCTCCACATAGATTTCTCTTTTATTTTTATCAAAGCCAGCGATATTTGTCTGCAGGATTTAGTACCATTGGCCTCTTGCTTAAACTGCCCTTTTCTCTTCAATATTGTGGCATCAAATTATCTCTGTTAAATGGTCCGGTCACTTCTAGTCTCCTTTCATGGCTTCGCTAAAGCTCTCTACTTTCCTTAGAGTCTCTTTCTTAAGTCAAAGTCACACTGCCAGCTCCCCCCACTGAACCTTTGTCCCTAGATTCCTCCTCGTGGCCTTGAACTCAGTCTAACCCAATCCAGTGTCAGCATCCTCTCATCCCAGTGTGCTCCTTCTTCTGTCTTCACTTTCTAACACTGTTCTCATTGCCTTTTGGTTCAAAATATTAGAATCACCTTTATATCCTTCAAATCTATTGCTTGCCATATTATACTAATTGGCAAATCTTGCCTGCTCTGTCTCAATGAACATTCTTACTTTTACTTCTTTATTTCTAGGCTCACAGTCATTATCCTTGTTTGAGCTATTATTTACTCTCCTAAGTTCCTGATTTGCCTGTATGTCTTCAGTTTCTCCTCTGTTAGTAGTAGTCTTTATGGGATGTTTCAAATGCCAAGCATGCATACAGGCTCCCCATTTGCAATTTGCCATTTTCAGTTCCTATGAGGATAATTTTGTTATGCTTCCCTTGCCCTAGCAGACAGTCTTTATAAGAAATCAACCCTAACTCTCAGACTACTGATACTGGAAAAATTATCAGTGAAAATAATAAAGCCAGTAATTGTAGTTTCTAAGTCCGCAGGTCATTGAATAATTCATGTAACCTTTACTCCTCTTTCCCTTTCACGCCTGCTTATAACAACAACCTATATAACAGTAGCAACAGGCAACTCCTGGATTCCTGTTCTGATTTCAGTTCAGAAAAGAGTGGACTTGGCCTCCCTTCCTTATTTGTTAGTATTAGAGTGGCACTGGTTATCCCATGATTGGACTGACCAATGAGTAAGTAGACAGAAATCATTTAAGGTGACATTCCGTCAACTCTGAAGAACCTGGAACCATGAACTAAAGAAAAAACTGAGTTGGTGTCTCTGGAGTTTGGGCTCCCACCAACAAAGTCCCTGCCAATCACAACCTTATTTTGGCTGTAATCCAGATGTCAGAACAGCAATAATGGTGCAGAAGAAAAAGAGGTTTTTCTCAGAGTAACCTTCATGGCCTGCTGAGGACATAGCCAATCCTTTCTCTCTCCTTGACAGAAATGGTGTCCTTTTGTAACCAGGGTCCCTTAGTTGCAAAATATACATTACTACTTGCTTAAGTGATAGGTGGTTGGGGTTCCTAGTTTTGTCTCTGGCAAATCTATAAAGAAGAAAAGTCAACCACGTGGCCCAGAGGTAAGGGGATCAAGGAATACTCTGACATAGCCCTCATTCTTTGCAGCTTATTATGTAGTTGGAGAAAGGACTATGCTTCATGGTACAGACCACTCTGGGGCCACATTGATGTTCCCTGTTAATCTACCCTCCACACTGCCTTCTGAAAACCCTGTAGCAATGCTCATATTGCTACTCTGGGGGGTTTTCTCCAAGAGTGCTCTCAACTTAACTGTAACCACTTGACCGTAGTATTCAAGGCCCTTCCTAGTATAATCCCAATATATTTCCCTGCTGTAGCTCCCTCTAAACTGGCCTTTTCTTTAGTGCATTCTGTCTACACTGCTTCTATATCTTTACTCATATGGTTTCTCTCCCTACTGCAATCCCTTGCCTTACTGGCTCACACAGTATTTATTTAGTACTTAATGTAGGCCAGGAACTTTGCTATATGGTAGGAATTCAAATGAGTAAAACCAGCATAGTCCCCATCCTTAGGCAGACTACAAGACAATGGGAAAGACAGACATTAGTCAAATATCACGGATTTGTTTAAATTACAACTCTAATAAGTGCAAGCAAAAAAAGACACACAGAGCTACAAGAATGTTTAGAATGGGAATTTGACATAAGTGCCAGGAAAGAGAAACTGAGAGCTTGGCAGTGTAGTTGCAGCACAGTACACACTGGGTCCTGCTGCCGAAATCCTTCTGACCCTCCGGAACCTCTCTGGAGCTCTTCTCTGAATCTCTTCAGTAAGATCACGCTCTTGTTGAATCCATCCCAGACTCTGTGTATACCTTTCCTATGGCCCTTCTCCTACTCTACTTCTTCTCTGATCTTACTTTTAGATATTAAGCAATTCAAGGTTAGAGACTCCAATATCCACATCTTTGTATTTTTTTGCCATTTCCTAGAACAATGCCTTAGATACAGGAGGTGATCATTAACTATTTACTAAAGGAATGGCCTTGTGTTAGTCCATTTTCATGCTGCTAATAAAGACATACTCAAAACTGAGCAATTTATAAAGGAAAGAGGTTTAATTGACTCACAGTTCCACATGGCTGGGGAGGCCTCACAATCATGATGGAAGAACAAGGGACATCTTACATGGCAGCAGACAAAAGAGAGCTTGTACAGGGGAACTCCCCTTTATAAAACCATCAGATCTGGTGAGACTTATTCACTATCATGAGAATAGCATGGGAAAGACCCAACCCCATGATTCAATTACCTTCTACCAGGTCCCTCTGATGACATGTAGGAATTATGAGAGCTAGAATTTAAGATGAGATTTGGGTGGGGACACAGCCAAACCATATCAGGACTTAATTTCTCCAAAATGTATCTATATATGTGCTCTGATGACATTTTCATGAGATTAATAAGAAAATACTATGGAAAAAGAAAATGATGCAACAATCCATAAAATAGCCAAGCAATCTCTGAGCTATTGAGAACTGGTTAAGCATCTATAGGTAAAGAAATAGAAACATATTAACCACATGTATATGTGTGTATGCATATATATGAATATATGTATACGTATATGTCTGCATGCATTGCATGATTGTAAAAAGCACATTCTTTGGAGTCAGACAGTCTGATTTCAAATGCTGGCTCTACCAATTGTCAGTTGTATGACCTTGAGAAAATTCTTCCTAAAATGGGAGTGATACTAACAGCACACTTCACAAGATTGCCATGGAGGTTAATTATGTAAAGCATTTAAAACATATTTCACATTGACATATGCCTCAAGAACGTGTCACAGTCCTCATTCATCTGGGAGAAGTTGGCTGGCTGCTCCTTAAGTTCTGTCTTCCAACTCCCTAGAATCAGGCTTAGGCAACCATCAGGGTCTGGCAAGGCCAGATTCAAAATAGAGGAACAAATTGTCACAGAGAAGCCACAGGATGGGACAAGGAAGCAGAGCATTCGAGCCAGACAGAGGTGCGTTCAAATCCACCTCGCCAAATTATTTCAGCTCTCAGAACCTTGGGGTCCTCATGTGTAGAATTGGGATTGTGGTGGAATTTGAGAATAAGGTCTGGCCTTCAGGGTGTAACGTCCAAGTACCTGGAAAAGCTCTTTCCTCTAAAATAGCCTCCTCAGAGTCCTCAACAAAGTGAGACATTCCTTTTTCAGAAACTAAGATTGATGCCATGATAACTTGGTCAAATGTTCCCTTTATATCAAGGTATATAGAAATTCTATTGTTTAGGAAACAGGATACTTGGTGGTACAGATTCATTGCCTGTTTCTCTGAATAAGAAGGCTGTTTCTTGCTGTCTACTGGAAAAGTTCCGTTACATCCAGGGAAACTACTCATTGTTTTTACTTTCATTTGCCAAATTCTCATGTTAAAAATTTTTAATTAAAACAAGTTCATACTTGTCTATTAACAAACAGAAAGTTTGAGCAATTCTAGAATTCCAAGAAATACAACCTTGCTCTTGGCCTCCAAATACCACTTTTGAAATATAGAAATTTTGGGGCATGTTTTTAGGATGTCTCACAGTACTCCAGCATTATGTTTCTGCTTAGACTTTCTCTGAGAGCCTGCCCATAGTCAGTGGCTGCTTTTCTAAGACAAAATATCCTTGACCTCAGTGTGACCTTTCATATGTAGGGAACAGATAGAATCCAAAAAACCTCAAAGAAAGAAAAATTTGACTTCATAAACTCACACTGTCTGTGAGAAATTAGGCAAACCTGGAGTGACAGGAGTATGTGCTAACTTTCACAACAGTTACTTGAAGTTCTGGAGCAGACACATCATGCTTTCAAAGTTCATCACTTTACAGAATTTAAAATGCCTGGAGTTAGATCTTGACACCTTTTGTGGTACATGCTGAGTTCAGCAGTTTAATAGAGCCATAGGTATTGATTTTGATCTTTCCATATTTTTAATGTCATCTTGATTTGGATACATGGGCTCAGATATGCTGAAATTGATTAGGACTGATGTTAAGAAAAATTATTAAGGCAGCAAAATGTATTTTCATTGGCCTCTGCACCTTTCCATCGGCATCCTTTCTCCCATGGCAGCTGCTTACCCAGCCATTTTCCCAGTGCCTTCATGATGGCTGGGGCCGCCATCCATGCTGTACCATTCTCCCTAGAAAAGCCCTCATGTTCCAGCTCAGTGAAATTTACCTGTTAGCTGTGGCCATCTCCCAGCCCTCGCTTAGTTGACAACTTGCAACATTCATTCCAATGGGTTAGTGAGTACTAAGGTCTTAATGAACTATCTTTACCCCTTCCTGGAATACTCTTCATTTCTCTTCTTGAAAAATTCAACTCATTCAACTTAAGTGTAATTTCTTTGAATTTTTCCTGATTTCTCCTAGGAATAATTAGTTGATCTTATTCTATGTTCCCACAATACTTTCTACAGGTAGTCTATAATTTTTTTTTGAGACAGAGTTTCGCTCTTGTCACCCGGGCTGGAGTGCGATGGTGCAATCTCGGCTCACTGCAACCTCCGCCTCCCAGGTTCAAATGATTCTCCTGCCTCAGCCTCCCAAGTAGCTGGGATACAGGCACATGCCACCACGCTTGGCTAATTTTTGTATTTTTAGTAGAGACGGGGTTTCACCATATTGGCCAAGCTGGTCTCGAACTCCTGACCTCAGGTGATCCACCCGCCTTGGCCTCCCAAAGTGCTTGGATTACAGGTATAAGCCACTGCGCCTGGCCACTAATTCTTATAAGACTTTATTATTGTATTATTTTGGGGATTGTGTGTCCTCATTTCCCCCATTCACTCTGAGATTTTCAATGGCTGGAAACTCAGCATATTTGTCCCAAAGTTTCCAAGTTAGCCCCTTAGTACTTTCATAGCAAATACTTATTGAATAAATAAATGATTATAATAATGTGAATTTTAAATCCTCTTTAGTTCTTTCAAAATATTCAGTCTTTGAGAGGTAGGAGAGAAAACAAAGTGGCATCAATCCCCATTAAAAGATGCTTTTGAGTAGACCTTTTTCCTGTAATACCAACCTGAGGACAACAGCATGTTCAAAGTCAGCCAGTTGTGCCACACATACTTTATCAGTAACCCTTGGAAATGACACGGCCCCTAACTGCTTTGTTGCAAGCCTGTTTCACTGACCAGAGTGATTCCATATCATTTTTTACTTTCATGCCAGAGAGAATCTAACTGCACGATATTCCCATCCAAGGACTTGGTATCCCAAGTTCTCTGTGAGTAAACAATATATTCTTAAAGAGACAAAAATAATATATTTTAACATGAGACCAATTCATTCGCTGAATCTCTTCTTTTTCTGGAAAATGATGACAATTGGTGATTCTAAACTCTGACCAGCCAGAGGGAAAAATATCTGGCACTGAGCAGGCCTTTCTTTGGTGCCTCCCCTCGAATCTTATCATATCAGCAGCCACTTGCACCACTATGTAGTTTAGGCTATGACCAAAGACATTACATGGACTAAAGTTACACTTTGAACATAAATGATAAAAATTCATGTCAAATTAGATATTCTTATCATTCATACAGATGTGATTACCTCCAGGATAACAAGAAACAGAAGGATAATACATCCCCATCCTTCATTATCAAAATTGCCTCACTTCATGTTTTAACATGAGAGTAAAAGCATGGTGAAAGATGTCTGTTGTGGTACTTACTGTGTAATATCTCCTGTTGCTCTGGAAAACCATGCTAAATAGCTATTTTTGTCATTGTTGTTGTTGTAGTCCCAAATATATAATCACAAACATAAGATCTAGACTTTTGTGGGAAGCTGGACATATGCTGAGTTAAGCCATGAGAAACAGATCATGTCGATAGCCTCCGAATCATTTGCTTTGGCAGATATATTTGTATAATTCCTAGATATTTACAGAAACAAATATAACATGTTGAAATGTGCAATATTTGGGATTGTGGTTAAGAAAAATATATATCAAACAAAGGAGGAAAAAATTGCCATCTGGCCTCACCAACATACTCTATCTAAAACCTACCTTTTATTTTCTCTGCTTATTTCTTTCCTGTTCCAGATGTCTCTCTTTAACTAATTACTGTCTTTACACTTTTTTAGTTAGCTCTCTTGTTATCAAATTCCATATGTTTATAACCTTTTGCCTGAAATGCTACTGCCTGAATTTCTTACATCCCATTTTCCATTTTTTAAAAATTATTCCAGCTACATCCTTAATCCCATCCTCCCTAAATTTATGTAGAACCCTACCACCTATTAACTTAAATAACTGCCATGTTTTTTCTCTCCTGGCATCTTCTTCGCCTCAAATATGAAGATGGCTGTGTGAGTGGTCAAAGGGGCCCACAACTCATTGGCCATGTATAGAATTTTGTGCAAGTTCAACTTAAATTTCTGAGCTTCAGTTTTTTTCATCAGTTTAATCTATCTTGTTTGCTACAGCTCAAGTAAGCAAACATAGACTAAAAGTAAGTGATAGAAAGTAGTGCCCTGTCAGTACAACCCTGACCTGTTTTATGGGAGCTTCATCCTCATCAAATGCTTTCAAAATCCCTCTCTAGTTGCACAATGCTCCATGACCTATGCTTCCTGCCCATCACCCACCATGCCACCATGT
The DNA here is from genome assembly GCF_000001405.40 of Homo sapiens. Taxonomy (NCBI): domain Eukaryota; kingdom Metazoa; phylum Chordata; class Mammalia; order Primates; family Hominidae; genus Homo; species Homo sapiens. The sequence goes on from NC_000002.12 coordinate 150,719,518, forward strand.
TTCTCCCTTTCCCCTCTAGCCCACTGGAGTGGATCTGTGTTCTCTGAGATTTCTGAAAGTGGCATCTATGCCAGCATTGCCCACTGTTGCCTTCCAAAGGCTGTCAGGATTCCAGTGCCCAAGGCAGGAGAGTATCCATGCCCCTGGCAGGGTTGCTGATTGCCAAAGCCACAGTTGCTTGAAGCAACAAAAAAGATGCCTCTGTCTCTAATGTCAGAAAACTGTCATCACCACTGCTATCGCCGATGCTACTGCTTCTCTTACAGGGACCACCCATTCCCAATGCTGTGGACAGTCTGCATGCCAAGGCTCCGTGGGAATTTTGGAGAAGCAACTGTTTTAATTTCCATTATCTCTGTTGGTGCAGTCCCTACACTAGGATTTGGCAAGCATCATGGTAATTGAACCAAGGACCATCCAGCAGACACCAAGCTGTCATTGGACTCATTCCTATACAACCTTCGCAGAGGACATTTTGACCCTTTTTCCTTATGAGAAGTGCCTCTCCTCAGGCTCACTCATTCTCAGGTAAAGAGCCCTTTCTCACATCCAGTCTGTTTGTTTTCCGGGTGTACAAAGCACGCACATTCCTCAATCCAAGTTTAGGTTCAAGCTGTGACTCTTGCTACATGTAAATTACAAATAAGAATCTACTTTGTGAGGCTGGGCGTGGTGGCTCACGCCTGTAATCCTAGCACTTTAGGAGGCTGAGGTGGCCAGATTGACTGAGCTCAGGAGTTTGAGACCAGCCTGGGCAACAGGATGAAACCCCATCTCTACTAAAACATACAAAAAATTAGCCGGGGGTGGTGGTGCTTGCCTATAGTTTCAGCTCCTCGAGAGGTTGAGGCAGGAGAATCACTTGAACCTGGGAGGCAAAGGTTGCACTGAGCCGAGACTGTGCCACTGCACTCTAGCCTGGATGACAGAGTGAGACTCCATCTCAAAAAAAAAAAAAAAAACTACCGTGTGGTATTGAGAATTAAATGAATAGTGTGTGTATATTGTGTGCAATGCATTTGGAAAGGCACCTGGGGAGAAGGAAGAGGGATTCAAGGGAAGAGGCAGGAAGAAGCCCCAGAGCTGGTGTCTGAAAGGTGTCACACCATAGCCTTGATGCACGACAGAACTCCAGGATGCATGTGTAATGCACAAGAGGAAACTCCAGGGAGAGGGTTCACTCCAAGATAAAATGGCTGTTTGGTGCAACTATGAGTGCTGGGCCAAGCCTGCCGCATTGACTTTCCTCATTTAAGCATGACCCAGGAAGAGCAAGAAAGTTATCATATTGGGAAGATTCTTGAAGATGGGTCCAGAGACATCCCAGTGATGAACTGCTTGGACCTACCTGAGCCCAAAGTGAGAAGTTGCACATCCCAGGAGAACGAAGGAAAAAAATCTCCAATTAAAATTACATTTTTCTTTTTCTTGGAAAAATAAGACTTTGAAATAGAAATTATATAGTTATAAACAATATTTATCGTCCCCCTATAAAAGAAAAATATTATCAAAATAATCTATCTCTGCAGCCTCAGTTCCTTCAATGTGTCATTGGTGCCACATTACTCCATGCTCATCAGTTTATTGAAACTGTGGCCTCAAGGTTCAGTGATGGACAACAATTCCATGAGGACAATATCCTGTTTCCTACCTTGTTCTATGCAACCTCTTCGCATAATATGCTGCTGCTCTTCCTGGAGCCTCTACCACCTTGCTAAAACATTTCTCTTCCCACTGCTACTTTTCTACTCTGTCAAGAATATCTTTTTTTTTTCCTCTTTGAACAATTATTAATCTCTTGGCAGTTTCTTCAATCATGTTTCATTCTTGCCCATATCTTTGACCATAATTCCTCCTTCCACACCAGACTTTCCCCTAGATAATCTTTTCTACCATCAGCCTCTAGTTATCACCTCTATCAGTGGTTCTCAAAATTTTTAATACATTATGCTGGGCCCTGTGGCTCACGCCTGTAATGTTAGCACTTTGGGAGGCTAAGGCAGGCGGATCACTTGAGGTCAGGAGTTTGAGACCAGCCTGGCCAAAATGGTAGAACCCCATCTCTACTAAAAATAAAAAACACAAAAATTAGCCAGGTGTGATGGTGCAGGCCTGTGGTCCCAGCGACTCAGGAGGCGGAGGCAGGAGAATAGCTTGAACCAGGGAGGTGGAGGCTGCAGTGAGACACGCATTGTACTCCAGCCTGGACAACAGAGTGAGACTCTATCTCAAAAATAACTTTTTTAAAAATACATTAAAATAACAAAAAAATATTTTTAACAGAAGGATTTCTGGGGCCCATCCTCCAGAAGATGTGATCAGATATATCTGGAATAAGGCCCAAGAATCTTCATTTTTACAAACATCTCACGAGAGGCACCTTTGATGCAGATGTCCTCAGATCACTCTGAAAAATGCTAACTTCTATTGCTTATAACTTCTAAATCTAAATCACCAGTGTCTTCATCACCGGTGTCTTGACTCCCAGACTCATATAGCTACTTAATATTTCCATTATCTAAAATGCAATGTTATAGTCTGAAAAACAAATATTACTTCATCCTGAGACAATTTACTTCATTATTTAGATGTCCTGTCTTCAAAGCAGCACTATCAACTCAGTCTGTAAACTAGAGATTCTCTCCATTTTTTCATTATCCAATAAGTCACTCAGTCCTTTTCACTTGCCCTCCAAAGAATTCCTTGAATGTGTCCCTTACCTTCGCCTAGTACACGTGTCTGTTGTTCTTCCCAGAGAAATTAAAATAGCCCCTTCCCTGGCCTCTCTAACCCTAGCCTCTCTCATTTCCTGTCTTCCTTTCTTTCATTCTGTCAGCACAAGCCTAAAGCAGAAATCAAAAAACAGAAACAAAACAAACCTTTGATGTTCTCTTGGCTCTCTAAATTTACTAATGCCCTAACCTAGGTAGCATTCAAGATTTTGTCCAATCTGAATCCAATCTTAATTCTAAGTCTCGTCTCTTCAGTCTTCCCACCATGCACAAGAGCAATCTCACAAGCTCCTCTCAACCTCAAAATGCCACCATATCTTCAGGCATACCTCTCTCCTACCCAGAATGTCCCTCACCCCAACTCTATACGTTGGAATCCTTTCCAAGCTTTCAGACCACAATGTTTCACTGAAACATGCCAAGGACAGAATTTTAAGCTGGCCTGTAATGTTCTTCAAATTGTGAAGACATCTTTGTTTATTTACTCATAACCAAGTATTTGCTGAATATCTGTAACATATCGAGTCCTGCGTTAGGCACTGATAATTCAGTAATGAATAAGATAGTTTCTGTGTGTGCATGTGTGTGTTTGATTGTGTGTGATGAGAGATTTGTGAGAGGGAACAGGAAGTAAGGCTGTGTTTTGGAGAGGAGAGGCCTCTTTTGGAGGGCACTGTGGATTGGACTGCTCAACACTCAATCCAATCTACCTTTCTAAAACACAAAGGTAGAAAGTCAAAATCCACATGTATTATTTAGCAAAAGGCAAGGATGTTACAACTAAAAGACCAAGCAATAATCCAGTGACTTAAGGAAGACTCAAGATTTTTTTTCACTCATGTAAACATACAAAGTGGTTAAACGAGCTTGCTTCACAAAGTCGTCAAGGGATCCGGGATCGTCATGTGGTGTTACATTCTGCATTGTTGCCATCTGTGTGGTTGAAGTTGGGCCAGGTTCCGCCAATGATAAAGGAAAGAAATGTGTATTACTTCCACTCACAGCCTCTAGGTGAGAACATAGGCACACGACCATGCATAACTGCAGGGGAGACTCGAATATGAAATCTATCGTAGCTATGAACTCTGGAAAGAGAAAATAAACTTTTGTAACAACTAATACTTTGTATAAAGCATTTGGTAGAGTCCCTTGGTTATCTTTGTGGGGGTACTGACTCATTTCAGGAGAGAAACAGGGGCTTCCATGTTGCTGGTGTAGATCATGGTAAAGGCAGCCCAGTTTGGGAAGCAGCAACTGCAGCACCAGTGGTTTCCTCCTTTGGCAGATTCCTGACCAAGGTTGAGGTATCATTCTGGAGCCAGGATGACATATTTCTGATTCTATAATAACTTCTGATTATGGCAAAGGCAGCGCCTCCCCTGGCCCAATTCTATTGCATGGACTTGGAAATGCTTCCTGGAACCTCAACATAGAGTTTTCTTCTTCGGTTCTCCCAATGGTTCTCCAAGTTATGTAATACCACGTAATAACTCCCTGTCTGCTTGGGAAGAGTAGATTCTGTCTTTGGCCATTGAACTCTGAAAAATATACCTACTATGTCACCAAAAGCCTGAAGTCTCCTTGGAGATCTCTCATTCACATTTTCACAATGCCCATACAGTTTACATTGAATTCCAGAGAGCATTTTCTAAGAGCTATGCCACTCTGTAGATCCCAAAAGGTGTAGAAAAGAGTATTAATTTTTCTTTTTTGTTGTTGTTGTTGTTGTTCTTGTTGTTGTTTTGAGACAAAGTCTCTCACTCTTGTCCCCCAGGCTGGAGTGCAATGGCACGATCTCGGCTCACTGCAACCTCCACCTCCTGGGTTCAAGCGATTCTCCTGCCTCAGCCACCCAAGTAGCTGGGATTACAGGCACCTACCACCACGCCCAGCTAATTTTTGTACTTTTAGTAGAGATGGGGTTACACCATGTTGGCCAGCCTAGTCTCGAGCTCCTCACCTCAGGTGAACCACCCACCTCGGCCTCCCAAAGTGCTGGGATTACAGGCGTGAGCCACCGTGCCTGGCCGTATATTAATTTTTCTATTAGGTCTAAGATTCTGCTCTCACACTTCAACATCCAATCGCACCTTCATCCCTTCAACCTCAGGAAGCCTGTTATGGGGGAAGGTGAGGTGGAGAGGGGAGTCATCCAAGATGTCTAGTGAGCAGAGTCAAAACCAGAGCCCCATGAAAACTTTCTTTAAAATGTATTGTATTTAAAGTCTATTGAAATGTCATTTTGTATGCAAGGTGAAGTGTTTAGAAAGGAATGGGCTGATGTGTGCAGTGTACTTTGAAATACATCAAGAAAATAAAGTGGCTGGATGCAGTGGCTTACGCCTGTAATCCTAATACTTTGAGAGGCTGAAGTGGGAGGATCACTTGAGCTCAGGAATTTGAGACCAGTCTGGGCAACATAGTGGGACCTCTGTCTCTAAAAAACATAAAAAAAGTATCCAGATGTGGTGGTGCCTGCCTATAGTCCCAGCTACTTGGGAGGCTGAGGCAGGAAGATCACTTCCACATAGGAGACCTAAGCTTCAGGTTGCAGTGAGCCACGATCACAAGACTGTACTCTGGTCTGGGCAACAGAGAAATACCCTGAAGACAGGAGGGAAGGAAGGAAGGAAGAAAGGAAGGAAGGAAGGAAGGGAGGGAGGGATAATAAAGCAAGTATAGTAAAATGTTAATGGGGTAGAATGCAAGTGGTATTATATGGCTGCACACAGTAAAATTATTTCAGCTTTGTAGCATGTTTTAAATTTTTCATAACAAAGTGTTTATAAAGTTTTGTTCATTAAAAGTAATGTTTCTTTTTTGTACACAAACAGTATAGGTACTTCTTGAAAAAAAGTAGTAATTTTCTCTTTTCCTTTATCTACTACAAATTTGTGATATATTTATTCATATTTCCCTTTATTACAAGAATAAAACCTACATATACAAATACAAGGATTTAAGATCAAATGGGATAATACTATATTGTATTTCCTAAATTGTTTTCTAATTTTATAAATGATCATAGATATCTTTCCAAGTTAATTCACATAGATCTATGTCTTTTTTGAACACTATATGGTATTTTAGAATGTAAATTACCTAATTGGTTCAACCATTCTGTTTTTGACAACTATTCATGTTGTCTTCAGTTCTTGACTGCCAAAAACAGTGTGATAAATTTCTTATACAGATGTCCTTATATACTGGTATTTTTATACCTAGTAAATAAGTAACTAGAAGTGGAACCATTGGCCAGTTGGGGCATATGTATTTAAAATGTTAACTAGTTCTGCCAGGTAATTTTCTAAGCAGGCTGTTTATTGTCCAACCAAGAGTGAATGAAAGTTCCTCTTTTTCCAGTCTCACCAGCGCCAGAGATTATCCCTCATGAGCATTTGGATGGTGATCTTGATATGTTTTAGGATTTGTTCCAGAGGAAACAAGACAGAATAATGAAGAGAACCCCAGAATAAATGACTTACTAAGGTCACATAGTTTATTAATACCAGAATAGGGAAAGAAACTGTGGATTTCTAATTTGCAATATTTGCTTCTTTCTTTTTAGAACATGGCCTGAAGTCACTAAGTAAAAGCATTCATGGGTGACTGCCTTAGTCCATTAGCATTTCTACAGAGAAAAGAGGTTTATTTTGGCTCACAGTTCTGCAGTCTGTACAAGTGTGGTACTAGCATTTACTTCTAGTGAGGCCTCAGGAAGCTCACAATCATGGTGGAAGGCAAAGGGCAAGCTGGTACATCACATGGAGAGGAAGAAAGCAAGAGAAAGAGGGGGAGGTGCCACACTCTTTTAAGCAACCAGATATTGCATATTGCATGAACTCAGAATAAGAATTCACTCATTATCATGAGGACAGTGCCAAGATATTCATGAGGGTTCCTCCCCCACGACCCAAACACCTTCCATCCCACCTCCAACATTGGGGATCACATTTCAGCATGACACCTTGAGAGAACAAACATCCAAACCACATCAGTGACCATTTTCATCTTGTATCAAAATTTTATCTTTCAAACAAATTTAGTTACCCTTCTTGTCTCAGCTTTATGACCTGTTTCAGTTCTATGTTCCTAATTTTTTAGGCAATATGGTCAAATACAGAATGTGGAATGTGGGGGATAGATACCTCAATGTTCCATCCAGCGGAGGGTGATAGAACTCTGACATATCCTCTTCTCATGCTGCTTCCAGAGGGTCATGGGTCAAAGGGGTGATACCAAACATGGAAAGAGGCATTCACGTGCACTGTCAGCCTATATAGAGCTCCCAGACTCACTTTCTAAACTTAGACAAATCTCTCCGCTGTCCTGTTTGCATCTCCCTTGCATGTAAAATGAAGATGTACCTCTTACATACTGAGAAGCAGAATTTATATATTTTTATCTATTTATTTTTTAGACAGAGTCTCACTCTGTTGTGCGGGTTTGAGTGCAAGTGGTGCAATCTCAGCTCACTGCAACCTCCACCTCCCAGGTTCAAGAGTTTCTCCTGCCTCAGCCTCCCAAGAAGCTGGAATTACAGGTGCCTGCCACCGCATCTGGCTAATTTTTCCTTTTTTTTTTTTTTTTTTTTTGAGATGGAGTTTCACTCTTGTTGCCCAGGCTGGAGTGCAATGGTGTGATCTCGGCTCACCGCAACCTCCACCTCCCAGGTTCAAGTGATTCTCCTGCCTCAGCCTCCTGAGTAGTTGGGTTTACAGGCATGCGCCACCACACCTGGCTAATTTCGTATTTTTGGTAGAGATGGGGTTTCCCCATGTTGGTAACGCTAGTCTCGAACTCCAGACCTCAGGTGATCCACCCACCTCGGCCTCCCAAAGTGCTAGGATTACAGGCCTGAGCCACTGCGCCCAACCCCAATTTTTGTATTTTTAGTAGAGATGGGGTTTCACCATGTTGGCCAGGCTGGTCTTGAACTCCTGACCTCAGGCAATCCACCTGCCTCAGCCTCCCAAAGTGCTGGGATTACAACAGGCATGAGCCACCACACCTGGCCCAGAGTCTATATTTAAAAAAAAAACATCTTAGTCAAGGTCTAGATATTTGGTAAAACCTCATGTAAGAATAAGCTATCCTACAAACAAAATAAGTGAAATGAGAAGGAACATAAACCTAGAAACAAGTCACATTACATGGCTTTCTTTTGTCTGATTCTGGGATATTTGAATAATTATGTTGCACTATCTTGTAGTGTATATTTTGAAACTATTTTTTCCCTAAGGATGAAAGCAGCTACTCAGATACTTCAGAGTAAATGGTTCAGTAATTTAAGATATATATTCTTTCCAGTAACAGAAGTGGTGTATAACCATTTCCCACTCACAGATTAAATCTTTGAAAAATGTTATTTTTATAGAAAAACTCCTTGTGCTAAAGCTTAAAAAAAAATACACATTACATCTTTTTTCTTCTCTTTATTGTCCAGGAAATTTTTTTAAAGTGATCTGGTCAGTATATTGTCCCAGTATCAGAGAAACACAAAACCAACAGTAAATAGAAATAGGCCCTGAAAATATATGATAGTGCTACTCATGAAAAGGCAAACTAATTGTTAAAGACTTTGAATGAATGCGAATGGGGCTAATAATTCAAATTTTCCAGGTAACTAAGCAGTTAGTGCTGATTGTGGCTGTTCTAAGTTTTAAAACGTACTTCACTTTTCACTGGGCTATCTCTGAAGTTCTCAGATACCTCAATGTCAAGGAGTACTCAATTTTTCTAAACACTCTGACGCAAGCATTCTGCAAAGAAAGAACAGCAATAGAGTCAGGGCAAAAACACTAGAGGAAAATCTTTTTATTTAATCACCAAGAAAGCTGAAAACTCATGTCGATGTGTTATTAATGCAGTGCACTCATAGGTTAGCGCTCTCTGAGATCGTGGTCATTTACTATATTACTTGTTCCCAAATATGTAAACTATGAACAGGTGAACTAGAGTTGTCTCTAACTTGGAACAAGTTTTCTTTTAGTCCAAAAATACATGTTTATTATATAATCTGCATATCTTGTTTCTACAATTTTCAAATAGTTTATCACCATCATAAACATCAATCATCACTATCACTATTATTATTATAGCAATATAATATCACTATTGCAGCAATGTGATCTTGGTCAAGCTAATTGCCTCATAATCTATTACTCCCATTTATTTCTGTAAGAAGTAAGTATCATTACAGGGAAGCATGTAAGTGCTATAGGATCTCAAGCCTAATTTCAGACTTTTCTTTTTTTTTTTTAATTATACTTTAAGTTCTGGGATTCATGTGCAGAATGTGCCGGTTTATTACATAGGTATATACATGACATGGTGCTTTGCTGCACCCATCAACCCATCCTCTACATTAGGTATTTCTCCTAATGCTATCCCTCCCCTTACCCCTCACCCCCCAAAAGGCCCCAGTGTGTGATATTCCCCTCCCTGTGTCCATGTGTTCTCATTGTTCAACTCCCACTTATGAGTGAGAACATGTGGTGTTTGGTTTTCTGTTCTGTGTTACTTTGCTGAGAATGATGGTTTCCAGCTTCATCCATGTCCCTGCAAAAGACATTTTTATGGCTACATAGTATTCCATAGTGTATATGTGCCACATTTTCTTTATCCAGTCTATCATTGATGGGCATTTGGGTTGCTTCCAAGTCTTTGCTATTGTGAATAGTGCTGCAATAAACATATGTATGCATGTGTCTTTATAGTAGAATGATTTATAATCCTGTGGGTATATACCCAGTAATGGGATTGCTGGGTCAAATGGTATTTCTGGTTCTAGATCCAACTTGGAACAATTTCTATCTGCCCCCCAAATACACACACACACACACACACACACAAAACCCATATTCTGGGAAGTCTTTGGGATAGACAGATACTCTAGCTCAGTTGTTCTAAGTCTTAGGAAAATATATTCACTTTTCTTTGGGTTACTTCTTCTACATTTTAAGTGCAGTATCAACCTATCGATCTATGACAGCAACCAAGAGGAACTCTTGTCCTGCTTGTAAACTTTAGGTAGGGAGAAGCGGTCCTCCTAGGATAGTCTTACTTCGGTCTAGCCTACTGGTTCCTACCTGGGAGTAATTTTTGCCCTCCCACCCAAGGGAAAGAACATCTGGCAATGTCTAGAGGCATTTTTTGGTTATCACAACTGAGGCAGAGGTGTGCCACTAACATCTAGTGGGTAGCATCTAATGGGTACCCTGGTGCTGCTAAACATCCTGCAATGCAGAGGACATCCCCCACACTCACACACAACAAACAATTATCCAGTCCCAAATGTCAATGTCAATAGCAGAGATTGAGAAAACTTTATGTAGGCCGGAGGGACTGGCATGTCACCAACAGCTTTAGTGCCACTAACTTTCTTATCATCCCTATTCTCATTTTCTCTTTCCCTCCCACCCTAGCTCCAAATATAGCAGACAAACCACCCCGTTACCAACTGAAATGATTCATATATAGTAATCATGGCTAACTCATCTTGAGAAATATGACTAATATTGGCCATTTCTGAAAAGTGAGTTGAATGGTCTGTTAAAATAAGTAAATAATTTCAAGTTAATAATCCACTTTGGATCACAAACTATTTGAGTTGGCCATGTTAATATATCAATGCGCAACTCAATATGGTCAACTTGAGTGTCCTCACTTTTAGATTATTCCCGGCCAAAAACAAAAACAAAAAATCAAAGAAAATGTTCAAGCCAACTGTGAAAATGGGTGAGTTTCTTTGTATACCCATGTAAAAACACACATAGTCACTTTTTGAATATGAAAAATAATCATCTAGGAAATACTTCTTTCTTTTTTTGAGACAAAAGTCTTGTTCTGTTGTCCAGGCTGGAGTGCAGTGGCATAATCTTGGCTCACTGCAACCTCCGCCTCCTGGGTTCAAGCAATTCTCATGCCTCAGTTTCCCAAGTAGCTGGGACTACAGGCACACACCACCACACCTGGCTAATTTTTGTATTTTTAGTAGAGATGGGGTTTTGCCATGTTGGCCAGGCTGGTCTTGAACTCCTGACCTCAGGTGATCTGCCCACCTCAACCTCCCAAAGTGCTGGGATTACAGGTTTAAGCCATTGTGCCCAGCTTTATCTAGGAAATATTTCTATTTGGCTTAATATCTGTGGATTAAGTCAACTAGGACAGGTGGCAGGACTATCAGTCCAGGTAAGTCTGTGTCAAAGGTAAACTCAAGATATTCTCTAGCCCAAGTAAGTTACCACCTAAATTAAAAAATTAAGGGAAAACTTGGAATAAAATAGTTGTAAATACTGACAATAAAGATTTGCTCATATGTGGAAGGGTTGTTTCCTCTATATTTATGAAGAAACTGTATAAGCTGAGCCCTGCTGGCTTGGTCTTTGACATACTACAGGAAAGTAGAAAATTATTTTAGTATCTCAACTAATCCTGGCTTTCGAGCCAATTGTTTTATTGTAAAAGTTCTATCTTTGATGTCAGAAGTAATTACTTCTTACTCTTCACATTTCTGCCTTTACAGTCTTAAACCATTCCCACCTCCATCCTTGATCAACTATATAATTTTTGGTACCCAGTACAAAATGAAAAGATGGGGCCTATTCAAATATTATTAAGAATTTCAAGATGGTGACAGCAGAGCCTTAAGCCAAGTATGGGGCCGTCCTAAGTGCATCTGTCATATTATACACCCATAAAGCCAGCTCTTCTCCATTTTATCCCAATAGATTCCTGTGAGGTCATGTACACAGAAATGCAGTTTTTAAGCCGTTACCCTGAAGGGCCTCCATATACAGTTGAGCAGATGCTGCACTGCACAATTCTAAGAATATTCACGTCAGAGGTTAAGTTAAGGAGATTGCATCTTCTTCTTCTTCTTCTTCTTTTTTTTTTCCTTGGACAGACTCTCGCTCTGTTGCCCAGGCTGGAGTGCAGTGGCACGATCTTGGCTCACTGCAACCTCCACCGCTCCAGTTCAAGCGATTCTCCTGGCTTAGCCTCCTGAGTAGCTGGGATTACAGGGCGCCTGCCACCACACCTGGCTAATTTTTGTATTTTTAGTAGAGACGGGGTCTCACCATGTTTGCCAGATTGGTCTCGAACATCTGACCTCAGGTGATCCACCCGCCTTGGCCTCCCAAAGTGCTGGGATTACAGGCGTGAGCCACTGCGCCCGGCAGGAGATTGCATCTTCTAAAACTGGGTGGCACACAACCTGCATCCCCATATGTGCCAGCCCTAGCAGTAGTTACATAAATCATATTCTTTGCTAGTTCAGTAAAGAGAGTCATAATACATAGTTACTACCTTTCTTATCCACCAAAAACTGCAAAGTGACTCAGTTGATCCTCAAATTCTGTGACTCTTCTATCTTTCCCTTTGTTTGCAATCATCAGAGAGGGTGATTTTCATCTATTAAATTCTAGTTCAAAGATAAGAAAAAACTCTTTTGTATTTTTCTCATAAACAAAACTATTTTTCTTGTTTTTTTCTGAATATTTGAAGCATTAATTTCCTGGCATTTCATTGGTAATATAACCCATTTATAGATTAGAATTTTATTCTGATTCATGTCTTACTTGGGAAAGCACTAGCGTTTATGGAAGATCTCCTGTGAGAGTCGAAGGGAATGCCTCATGGTCACTGAATCAACACAGTAGATTTATTGGATATTAGAGCTGAAAGTGACCTAAAAAATTTTCTTCCTCTACCATCTCCTCATACAGATGATAAATTGAAAACTGGACTTGGCACCAGTGCCATAGGTAGAAATTGGAAGAGTAAAGAAAGACCAGATCCCAGATCTCAGCAATCCTGATTTCTGGTACAATCAGAGAATATGTGCTTAAATCAGACCCATCCTGATAGAAAAATGATAAATGTTTCTTTCAGCATGTGAAAAATCTATGTCTTGTGAATAATTATAACTGTGACTTTGACTTGACAGATAACATGTTAGCAGCTACCCAGTCAGATCCTGTGATCTCACAGTGCCACTGTGGCATGACTGCATGAAATGGATGCTGTTAGTCATTGCAGTCTATTAGCAAAGTGGTTAAGATTCCTTATGTGCTGTCAGTGTAAACCCTCTTACTTCAGGTGTTTACAACAAACTCATAGGCATTCTGTTCCTAGTCAGACATCTGAAGCATAAAAACTCTCCACAATAAAAATAATTTAGAAGTATTTACTAAAAATTCAGAAATATCTCAGACATTTACAACATTTTATCAAACACAAAAAGGAGAGTTTACAAGCCAACTTGATTTTGCAATATATTTAAATTTGAAAATCATCATGAAATCCTGAAAGAAACATTGATTCAAACTTTCCTATATACAACAAACCATCAGAATTACTGGCCTCTGAAGTGATTTCACTTTGTCGTTGTGTTTCTATTTGACCTGGAGTCAATGTTTCTCTCACTGTAACAGAGAGAGGGGATTTCTTATCACCAGAACCAGACTGTGTTAAGTTCTAAATGTGAGGAGACAGAGCTTCCTTAGAAGCTCATGCTTCCTACCACCTCTATTATACACAGATAATTGTTTTTCTGCCAGTTCATTATTTCTTGATATTCTTTGCCCCAAATGGATGACAGGGTTTTTTCTGAAAAGTATTAAAACTGAACCTCAAAAAATTTGGCTACCAAGTCAGTGTTATATATTAAGTAATAATCGGCCCCATAGTTCTAAAAAACATTCGTGATTTCTATAAAAGCTAACCCTCCTTTTAAGGTGATATATTTGATAGCTTTGTGAGCCAGCACTATTCCCCTTATCAGGAAGCACTGACATGAAATGATACATGGAACAGGAATGGTGCTTAAGACAATATATCAGTTATTTCCTCATGTTAATATAGGTTGCATGCTTGGCCCTGACTCTTCATTGCTCCCTGTACCTATATGTTGCCATGTGATTTTGAAATTCTGCCCCTTGACCTCGGACTTGAGAAGGTGATTTATTTGGGCCAATGTGATACAAGTAGAAATGCAGCTTTCCCATTGCTTTTGTGTATCTTTGCCATTGTCATGAGAAGATCTGCCTTGCCTAGCCTGAGCCAGGAGGGAAGAACAGAGACAGGTGGAAAGAACAAAACTGCCCCGGCCAACCCACAGAGAAACAGCAAGCAGCAGTGTGGCCCCAGGCCACGCAGTCTAAAGCTGAGACTCCCAGTCAAGCCCAGCCTGTCAGCCAATGTGCAAAGTCCCACAGACACATGGGTGGTAAGAAGTGATTCTTATCTAAAGCCACTGAATTTTGACATAGTTTCTCATTCAGTAACAGGTAATATGTTAAGCTTTTATTGTCAAAACCAGGAGCAAGGCATAGCTGAAAATAGTTTATTTAGGACTTCTCTCGGTGTCCAAAATAAGGCCAGACAAATACTCTGTCAAGTTGCCATGCTTATTATTTTCAAACAGAGGAAACTGCTTTTATTTGGAGACAAGAATAGATAACAATGGCTAGCATTTGTTGAGTTTGCTGACAAACAGGTGGCCCTCCAGCTCTTTTGAAATAATAGTTTTCAAAGTTTGGACACCCTGGAAATGTTCTGATATGTAGAGACCAGAGGTTCCTTGCCATTCTGAAAATACCCCACTTTAGCTAATCTGCACCTCTCACTTAGAATCCCAATGCTATTTCTCCAACATAGGGTGTTTAGCTTTTATTTAACAAGATTTTATGGTCAATGGACACTACTATACTTTCGACTTACTAAATATCAGATATTTTTCATTTTATTGGGTTTAATGCTAAGATCAGAGGCTAAAGAATTCAAACTGGATTAACAGAGACTTTGGATTCTGAATAATTCTCATGAATATTGTAGGTGTTTGATCTAAATATCAAAGTAATTTCAAATTTACTAATGTTTAAATAAATGAAAGAATAAGCATAATTGTTAGGCCAATATATTTTACATCACAGTTATTGGATTCATAAAGCATTACTAACATATAGATGCTTCCCCATATGTATAACTTTTCTAATGATTTAATTGAAGTCAGTATCTTGGTTTGAGATGTACTTTGAGAATGAACTCAGGATATTTACTCATAAAAGTACTAGTGCAAACTAAACAAATAGCTAATGAAGGTAGAGAGATTATAAATAATTTTAAATATTAAATTAAGTATCGGAAAATGGATTGTGCCCTTAAAAACAAATAGCTATTTTTCATTTACTTCATGCAAAATGACTTTAGAGGTTAAAAAAAAAAAATCAATGTTTCATTACCTGAAGACCTTGCTGAGGATTGAGAATATTTTTCTGCTGTTGACATCTTATTAAGATTATTTAACAATGAAGTAATACATTTACCTCATTGGTGCTAAAATTGATATGTTTTTCAAAATACAGTCCAGAGTTTTCAGAGAAAACCTATGGATTTTTGACTCAATGTCAGTATCTATCACTAAAAGCTGTGAAATAAAACATTAAGTGTGTTGAGTCAAGAGAATAGAAAACATATTAAACAATAAAGTCCCGCCTTAGTGATGCTATTAAAAGTGGCAAAGAACATAAATATATTTTATAATGAGATTATTTTAAAAATTTCTGCTTTGCATTAATTTGCTATTGGTAATACATGTATTTTATCATTTTATAATTATGCCTTCAAAAACCTAGAAACTTTATTTATTTTAATATAGAGAAAATAGAGACATTTTATTTAAAACATAAAAACAAGCTTTCTTTTTGTTAACTTTGACATTAATTCAGGTTTATAGAAAGGTTCCAAGAATTGTACTTAACATTAGAATTTCCATGTGCCCTTCATTCATATTTTCTAAATGTTAAAATTTTACCGTGTTTTATCACACCCCTCTCCTTAATATATATAGAACTGTTTAAGAGTAAGTTGCAGACATGGTATTATATTTTCCCCTAAATATCTCAGTGTGTATATCCTCAAGCCAGTTGCCTTACATAAACGCAGTACAATTACCAATGTCAGGAAATTAATATTGATATAGTACTATAAGATAATCTATAGGCATCATTTAATCAATTACCCATTACAATAATGTTGTTTATAGCAAAAACCATTCAGGTTATGCATTACATTGAGTTGTGATATCCACCTCCTTTAAACACTCTCTTCTCTCCTGGAGGATTTCTTTACTAAGACTGTCTCCCCTTCTAGGTACACCTGTAGGTACCTCTCCTGTGAGCCATATTATGACCTACTGCATAATTTTTCAAATGTGGGGTTAACTTTCTCATAATGGTGATAACTTCAGAACAATCTTAACACTAAGGCAAGCTTCCCTCTTTTCTCTTCAGTGCAATTTTACCTAAGTTGTCCTCTATGAAGGCTAGCAGGAGGAGCATAAACAAGTATTGTAGAAAATAGCTTGCTTAGATTGGATGTTTAGAGTTACTTAGAGTTAATTTGAATTTTAAAAATTTTGTCTTGTAATTATTCTAAAAACATGAGTTTTTTCTGATTTGATTTCTTGTCGTCGTTTTTTTTCCCCCTTTGGAGGAAATGTTGGACCATTTATATTTACATCACTCCCATTGCTGGGTTATTGGGGAAACTGAAAATTCATGACTTCCTAAGTCCCCAGAACAATTATGTCTTACCGTATGTTAGAAATGCTTTTGTGATTGCAAGGAAGAGGAAACATAATTCATAGGTAGGGAGTTACGCTTCCCCTTAGGAAATTGAAAGGTACAAGAGATTGTTGTAACCACACTAACAATGAGAAAAAGCTGCATATTCTATAACATCAAGCTGCTTTCCATAACACAGGCTCTTTTGATTTCATGCAGCCTCTCTTCCTTTGCATGCTGGCTTTCATTGTTTTGCATGAAGCCTCATAGTTGTCCTATGGCTGCCATTGTCTCAAGTTTAAGGCAGAAGAAAAGAAAATGGGTCTGTTCTAGCCTTCTTTTATCAGGAAAAGCAAATTTTCTTCAAAAGTGAACATCAGGCCTCCATTAACATCTCATTGGCCATAAAAGTTTGTAATTTGCTTTTTTCAGTCTCTATCGTGGAGGTGGGGAAGGAGAAGTAATTTGAGAGTGGCAGCTGGGTTAGTCAACACAGGATCTATATACTCCTTTTATGTACCTAACAGCACTAAGTGGATTTCAAGTCACATGTGTTGAACCGAATTGCAATTTGACTGCAACCAAAATTCGCACATAGGACCATGGTCGTATTTATTTTTCCAGAAAAATCAATGATTATTTTCATTATATGATATGTTAAGCAGAGAATAATGCCATTAGTCCTCATCTTAGGAGTCCATCAATGGTATTATAGATGGCGTTGTATTTAGAGAAAGCAAAAACAAAAAAGATCAATATTTATACAGAATACAGAAACATAAGCTATGAACATCTGACCAAAAGCAGACATTTGAAATAAAGAACACCGCCTCCATCTGACCTAGTTGATATGTCTATGAACCTTTCCCTTACCTAGCACTTACGGTGTGCTTCTGTTAGCATTGTTGCAGATAGCCAAAGGAGCGATATATACATAAAGTTCCTTGCACAGTGCTCAATAAAAATTGCCAGCAATGACTTGTGATTTTATTAGTGCTATAATGTTTTAGCCAGTGCAATAAGAAAAAGACATGAAAATCATTCAGACTGGCAAAGTAGAATTAAAACTGTCTTTATTCCACACATCTATCTACGTACAAAGTCCCAAATAATCTAAAAAAAAAAAAATTCACTAGAAGTAATTTGTGAATGTATTGAGGTTTTATAACACAAGGCCAATATTTAAAACTCAATTATATTTTTACATACTGGTTATCAACAATTGCAAATTAAAATTGAACAAATGATACTATTAATAATAACATTAAAGAAAACATAAAACATTTATTTAAGTGTACTTCTAACAAACCATGTATAGGACCTGTACACTGAAAACTAGAAAGCCTTTCTGAAATATACTAAATGAAAGAAATTAAATGAGAGGTACTTTGTTCCAGAATCAGATGATTTAGTGTTGTTACGATATAAATTATGTTCAAATAGATCTATGAATTAAAGTAATGCCAATCAAAATTCCAAGAGTATCTTTCTTGTTTTTTATAGAAAATTACAAGCTGGGCTGGGTGCAGAGGCTCATGTCTGTAATCATAGCACTTTGGGAGGCTGAGGTGAGAAAATTGCTTGAGCTCAGGAGTTCAAGACCACCCTGGGCAACATGGCAAAACCCTGTCTCTACAAAGAATAAATTAACCAGGCATGCTGGTGCATGCCTGTAGTCCCAGCTACACAGGTGGCTGAGGTAGGACGATCACTCAGGTTGCAGTAAGCCAAGATTGTGCCACTGCACTCCAGCCTGGGTGACAGAGTGAGACCCTGTCTCAAAAAAAAAAAAAGAAAGAAAGAAAAAGTACAAGCTGATTCTATAATCCTCATGGAAATGCAAAAAACCTAGAGTTATCAAAACAATTTTGAAAACAAATAATAATGTTGGAGAACTCATTCTACCTGATTCTAAGACTTAATATAAAAGTACAGCATCAAGACAGTATAATATTGGCATATGACTAGTTAGTATCAATGGGGCAGAAGAGAGTTTAGAAATAGACCCACATATATATATAGCCAGTTGATTTTCAACAAAGTTGTCAAGGGAACTTGATGTAGAAATGGGTATTTTTTCAATAAACTCTGCTGGATAATTGGATATTCATATGCAAAATAGAAACAAAACCAAAACAGAATCTCAACTTTTTCTGCATTACCTTAAAATCATATAAATTTAGCTCAAAATATATTATATATCTAAATGTAATACCTAAAGCTTTGGGGAGAAATCAAAGGAGAAAACTGTTGTGACCTTGGGTTAGGCAAAGATTTCTTACATATGACACATACATATGTATCGTACATATGATACATAGAAAGTGCAAACCATAAAAGAAGACATTGGTAAATTATACTTCATTAAAATCAACAACTTCTGCTGTTTACAAGACAGTACTAGGAAAATGAAAATAGAAACAACAAAATGGAAATAAATATTTGCAAAACATTGATCTGATAAAAGACTTAGAGTATATATTCAAAAACTCTTAAAACTCAATAAGAAAACAAGCAATTCAATTAAAACTAGTCAATGATTTGAATAGACATGTTACCAAAGAGAAGTTATGACTGCAAATGATTACACATAAGTACATGGGAAAAATCTTCAACTTCATTAGCTAATAGGGAAATGCAAATTAAAACCTCAATGAGATAATAATACATATTTACTAGAATGATTAAAATGAAAAAGACCGACAACAGTGTTAGCAAGGATGCAGAGCAACCAGAACTGTCATGTATTGCTGATGGAAGTACAAGATGGTATAGCCCGTTTATAAGAAAAACAGTTGGTATTTTCTTCTAAAGTTAAACCCATCTATACTCATTTTCTTGGGATAGCCCTGCTAAGGTGGGATCAATTCCCTATACAAAATTGATTCAGATGCCAAGACTGATGCTGGAACATATGCACCAAGAGGATATGAAAAATTTATTACTCACACAATGTGGCTTTCTGGGAGAGCAGAGCAACCCGAAATGGCAACCTAAATGGTGGGAGCGAAGGAAGGGGTGATGGCTTTGTTATTGTGGTGAGGGCATAGGACAAAGAAAATTATGGCATGGTTTGAACTTCCCCACTGGCAACAAGGAAGGGAGCAAGCACATGGACTTTTACATGGCTTGTCCAGATGGGAAAAAATGGGAAGGGGCCGGGTGGGGCTTGAAACCTGTCTGTGATCAAACATAAAAAACGGAGTCAGACCCGGTACATTGGTTCACACCTGTAATCCCAGCATTATGGGAGGCTGAGGCAGGCAGATCACTTGAGGTTAGGATTTCGAGAACAGCCTGGCCAACATGGTGAAACCCCATCTCTACTAAAAAAATACAAAAATTAGCTGGGCATGGTGGTGGGAGCCTGTAATCCTAGCTAATCAGGAGGCTGAGACAGGAGAATCACTTGAACTTGGGAGGCAGAGGTTATAGTGACCCAAGACTGCGCTACTTGCACTCCAGCCTGAGTGACAGAGCAAGACTCTGTCTTCAAAAAAAAGAGTCACTGTATTCCACTTGTTCTATGACCTAGCAGTTCCACTCCTAGATGTTTATCTAAGATAAATAACATATCCACAAAAAAGGTGTATGTAAGTGTTTATAATAAAAACTGGAAAGCTACTCAAAAGCCTACTGGCTGGTGAATCAATAAATAAATTGGAATACTGCTCAGAAAAAAAACAAAGGAACAATTTCTAGGTACATGCAACAACAAAGAGGAATTTCAAAAGCATTATGCTAGCTGACAGGAGCCAGGTTCAAAAGGCTAAATACAATGTAATTATAGTTGTATGTCAATCTGAAGAAGGCAAACTACAAAGGCAGAAATCAGGTAAGTGGCTACCAGGAGCTGGAAGTTGGTAGAGGGAACTGATTTCAAAGGCACATGAGAACTTTCTGAGATAAGATCTTGATTGTGGTGGTAATTACATGGCTGTATAGATTTCTCAAAACTCAAGAAACTATACTTCTGGAAGGTGAAATTTTCAGTACGAAAATTATACAACCATAAACATAGTAAAAATACATCTTTGTAAGGGAAATAGTGATAATATTATTGTTTTTCATTTCTATATTAATACACTGAAGCTAAAAAAAAAAAAACTACGTAATTTACTGAACACCACCCATGTGATAAATGGCAGAGGTAGCATGTAAACACAGATCACCAAACCCTCATCCCAAGCTCTTTCACGATATTACATTTTTTTTAATCTAATACAAGTAGTTTTATAACCTTTTCTCATCAGCAGTATAACGTGGAAGAGGGTTTAAACTTGTCTGGTGTTATCCCGAAGGTAATATTATGTCCATTAGGCTGACAGATAAAAGTTATCATGTCAAATCATATTAGATTTTTATTTGTTATTATGGTGAGGATATAGGACCAAGTAGGGTATGACGTGGTTTGAACTTCCCCACTATATTGTTTTCTTAATATAAAAAACTACTTAAACAATGAAGCCTTTTTAAAAATGGGTAACTGATTGATAACATTTAGGGAAATATCAATAGGCCAGAGAAAATGGGTGTGCTGCCACAACAGCTCGTCTCTAAGTGTTCAGCCATCACTTCTGCTGGATAAAAAGGTGAAAGACATGTATTGCATTTGATAATGTAAAGTACAGTCCTAAGACCAGTGAGTACCACAGAGATGAAAAAGTTGCAATTGCTAACCTGAAGACATAAATGATAACATGTTAAAAAGCCTGTACCTACAGAAAGTGATTGTGTATGGCCTATGTTTTAAAGCAAAGCCACAACATAATACAGTTATGTATAAGTATTTATGAAGCCTGTGTAAGAGAAAGCAAAGATTATTATCTTTTCAACCAATGGCATAAAACACTGTTCAAATTATGACAGGTATTAAGAAAAATCTATCCATAATGTCTACTGATTAAAATTAAGCAAATTTAATTAATGAAACTGAATATAATTCCTTTTCTTATCATTGATAGATTTCAATTAAACTTTATGTTAGAGTGGTGGGATTAGGTAATTTGGACCTTTTCTTTGTATAATTGTGAAGCATTTTTGTGTTATTTCTTTTTATAATTGTGAAGGCTTTAATTTTAAAGCCTTGAGGATAAAGATATGCAGCTACAGGTAATTACTGTGTATACAAGAATAATGTAAACATCTACTGGGCTGGGACTAAATTAGAGCCTCTGAACTCAAGGGCAGAATTTAGTCCTGATCATTTGAAAATAACAGCATCCTCCCTTATAATTATAAGATCAATGACTGACAAGATAATTAGTATATCTGATAATCAAGGTAATAGCTTTTGCAGATCTAATTAGAGTATATTCGGTTGCTTGGAAAACATACCAAAGGTGTTAAACTAATCTTCTATACTTAAAGATGATGGCTGAATCTTAAGAAACTAATAGGAATAAGCTGTATTCCTCACTTCATAAACAGTGGGAGGCAATGAATAAATCAATATCACTCACTCATGAATTATGATTATAGTTTTAGAGCACAGTTAGGACAGAAGAGCTATCCTTTGAGGAAGGTCATCAATTTGAATACCTAAATCCCAACCAATTGTCTGACTTGTACTATCCTTTCAATCTAACTTGAAAGATTGGATATCCTTTCAGTCTAACTTGGACAAGTATATTAGAGACAAACTCAAGATATTTATAAATCACAAAGTTAGTCTTTCATCAGCCAAAATGTCTGTAGCAGCTTGGTCTGAGAATCACATAAGCCTGGATTTAAATCTTTGCAATGATGTGTAGACAGACCTCTGACAAATTTCACAGCGGGCATCTGTGTTTTGCCTGCACACCTTTTCGTTGGGACACAGGGCCTTTATTCTCCCTTTGGTCATAGAGCCTTTATTTTGCCTTGAAAAGTCCTCCCACATCAGTAGTGTGCAGTCTTGTTTGGGCTGTAAATTGACGCTTTACTTGATTTAATAATTGCGATGACTCTGAAGTGGGGGTTAATTTTGTCTCTATTTTTCAGATGAGGAAACTGAAGGTTAGAGATATTAATAAATCTATCCAATGTAAAGATAATCAACATTAATTAACATAAAAATAACCTCAAAATCTCAGTGGCTTCATGCAATAAAGGTGAATTTCTTCCTCATGTAAAGCCTGGTTTTTATACAAGTTTACATAGCTCTCCTGGGCAGCTTTTCTCTGGATGCCATTTCACAGATAGAGGCACTCTCCTTATTTGGGCTCTGTTATTTTGCATCTTTCAATATCACAAGAATGTCATCTTGCCAGCAATTAAAGATGGAGTCAGGGGTTACAGAACATAAGGAAGGCACTATAGCTACACAACTACCCCAACTTAGAAGTGATACACATAAACTCTGACCATATTCTACTGGCTAAAATTAATCACAAGATGCAAGGAAGCCGAGACACATAGTCTTTCTTTTTGGCCAAAATGAAACTAAAATGTAGCGCTGTCTGTTCCATAATTAAAAAACACTGGTTAATGTGGGTGGAGCCGAGATTACTGCCCCTAGCTGAATGTTGAGTTCAGACCCTTAGGCACTGTGCTGTTATACTGACGTGTGGTTGGCACTTATTAAATGCATGAGACAGTGTTAGGCA
The DNA here is from genome assembly GCF_000001405.40 of Homo sapiens. NCBI lineage: Eukaryota > Metazoa > Chordata > Mammalia > Primates > Hominidae > Homo > Homo sapiens. The sequence continues at coordinate 150,742,408 of NC_000002.12, forward strand.
AATGGTAACTTTTTTCTAAGGAAGAAAGAAAGAGTGAGAGAACAAGGAAAGGAAGGAAAGAAGGAAGGGAGAAAAGGAGGAAGGGAAAGGAAATAAAGACTAGTCACGACTAGTTCAACTAAGTTTCTTTATTTTGTGTCTCTTACCTCTCTTAATGTCATTAATGTGGTAAATTGGGGATGTAGAACAAACAGTCATATTTTAAAAATCATAATAGCTCAAGAAAAGAAAGAAATAACAGCAGAAATAAAAAGGTTACATGCAGACTGACCTACCTCCTAACTCAGCCCATTCAAGTAAGAGATTCAGCTCACTAAGCAGAATCTACTGTGATGGTGCTTTGAATGTCAATGGCACAGTTTTGATACTCCTTGAGTCTCTGCATTTGCATGTATAATACCAATTATATGCCTCAAGTCTTCTCTGCATTTATGCCTAAAATTAGCTCCTTTTGAAGTTTTCCCAAGTATTTATTAAAAGTTTCAAGGTACTTTGTCTCTCCTGAATCCATCTTAGTTTCCCATCCAGCCCCCTCACCTGACCACCCCTCTGCCTCAGGTGAACTTCGTGGGCTCTGTGCTGGGCTCCATGATACTTAATTAGAATAACTGGTAGAAAATATTGAAAATTAGATCAGGGGAGAGGAAACAATATTATCCTCTTATGTATGTCTCTGAAGATGTGCTAGCTCTTCTCTAAAATCCTCTCAGCATAGGAGATACTGGGCAATAACTTTCAAGAAGATCATATAAAAGGTTCAAATGATAAACCTTTTATAAATAATAAATGAATGATAAATTAGCCTAAAATTCCTATCCAATCTTACATCTATTCTAGGCACTCTTATTGGTCTTCTCTTCCTTTGCTTCCAGCCTTAATACATGTGCCAAAGGGCAGCTGGTCCTACTCCCACCTCCACCACTAGAAACGTTCCCGGCATCCTCAAGGTCTCAGATCTTGGCCAATCTGCCTCTAAACCTCCATGAGAAGTTTAGTTTTTCTCCCTTCAGTGCAAGGCCAACATGGAGATCTTTATTTCCTGATGCCAAAATGACAATTTTCTAGTCCCTTCAGGGAAAACCCCTCCTCCAACTGTATGTGTATGGTTTTGACCTGTGGCTCAAACAAGACAACCATACAGTAGTTTGATATCAGAATACTCACATTTTTGGTGCTATACATATTTTAAATATGACCACACATGAGATACAACAGTTTGACACAGGTGAGGCTACACTAAGCTTACCCGAGAGCTACAAATATATGTTTTGGCCAAAAGGGAAACATACTGGTTTTCCTGAATGAACAGCCTGTATTTAATAGGTTATGCAAACTCTGTTGAACTTAACACAGAGTTTCTGAGCCTAAAGATAGAGCTTATTCTCCCAAGACAGTTACTTAAAGACTCTTTAATGTGTGGATAAATAAATAATGAGCATACCTAATGGTAAGGTAAATATCTGTGAAGATTAAAAATCCATGGTGATATACAGTCCCAATACACGGAAAAACATCCTATTTTATTCTGTCCGAATAGAAAGTTTGGTTTATTGACACCCATTCCCTAATAATCTCATTCAAGATTATTAACAACTTATCATAAATTTTATGACAGTTGACACACAAATAATCATTACCTAAAGAGGGGCCTAAAAGGACATTACCTAAAGGGACAACTTTATGCCTACAGACTTGATAACCTAGATAAAATGAACCAATTCCTTGAAAGGTACAATCTGCCAAAGCTCTCACAAGAAGAAATAAACAATTTGAACAGGCTTATTATCTGTTAAAGAAATTAAATGAATAATAACCTTCCAAAACACAAAGCACCAGGCTCAGATGGGCTTACAGGTGAATTCTACCAAATATTTAAGGAAACAAATTACACCAATTCTCTACAGTCTTTTTCAAAAGACACAGGCAAAATAAATAATTTCTAACTCATTCTATGTAAACAGCATTACCCTAATACCAAAACCACACAAAGACATCACAATAATAATGAGAGATCAGTATGTCTCATTAACATAGGTGCAAAAATCTTCAATAAAATATTAGCAAATTGAATTTAATAATGTATAAAAAGAATTGTGCATAATGCCAACTGGGATTTATCCCAGGTATGCAAGCCTGGTTCAATATTCAAAAATCAACTAATGCAATTCATCACTTTAACAAGCTAAAGAAGAAAATCATATGATCATATCAATAAATGCAGAAAAAGCATTAAAATTCAATACTTATTCATGATCAAAGCTCTCAGTTAACTAGGAATGATAACTTCATAAAGAATATCTACAAAAAACTTATGGTTAACATACTATTTAACGATGAGAAATTATCAGCTCTCCCACTAAAATAAGAAACAAGGCAAGGATGTCCTCTCTCTTCGCTCCTTTTCAACACTACATTTGAAATTTTAGTGATGCAATAAAACAAGTAAAAGAAATAAGAGGTATACAAATTGGGGAGGAAGACATAAAACTTTGTTTATATATGATATGATTATCTGTATAGAAAATCTAAAAGAATCACTACAAAAAATCTCCAGGAACCAATAAGCAATTATGGCAAGGTTGCATACAAGATTAATAAACAAAAGTCAATTACTTCCATATATACCAGCAATGAGCAGGCGGGATTTAAAATTAAAAGCACAATACCATTTACACTGCCACCCCAATATATGAAATAATAAAGTATAAATCTAACAAAATATGTACAAGATCTATAAGGAAAATTACAAAACTGCAATGACAAAATCAAAGAATAAATGGAGAGTTATTCCATGTTCATAGATAAGAAGACTCAGTATTGTCAACCTGTCAGTTCTTTGCAATGTGGTCTATAATGCTATCCCAATCAAAATCCCTGAAAAGGAGTTATCTTGTGGCTATCAACCCCTGATTTTAAAGTTTATAGAAAGAGGCAAAAGACCGAGGATAGCCAACACAATGCTGAAGGAGAAGAGCAAAGTTGAAGGACTAACACTACCTAATTTCAAGACTTACTGTAAGCTATAGTAATCAAGATAGGGTGGTATTGGCAAAGTAACAAATAGATTAATAGAAAAGAATAGAGAGGTAAGAAATAGACCCACATAAATATAGTCAGTTGATCTTTGACAAAGGAGCAAAGGCAATACAATGGAGCAAAGATGGTCTTTTCAACAAATGGTGCTAGAACAACTGGACATCCACATGTAAAAAAACTGAATCTATACAGAGACTTTACACTCTTTACAAAAATGAATTCAAAATGGATAACAGATCTAAATGTTTGAAAACTATAAAGCTTCTAAAAGATAACATCCCAGACAATCTAGATAACCCTAGGTTTGCTGATGACTTTTTTAGCTACAACAACACTAAAGGCACAATTTATGAAAAAGAGAGTTTAATGAAAAGAATTTTCATTAAAATTAAAACTTCTGCTCTACCAAGACACTGTCAAGAGAATGAAAAGACAAGCCACAGAATGGGAGAAAGTATTTGTGAAAGATATATCTGATAAAGAACTGTTGTTCAAAATATGGAAAGAACTCTTAAAACTTAGCAATATGAAAACAACTTGTTTAAAAAATGAACCGATGACCTTAACAGACACCTCACCAAAGAAGATACACAGATGGCAAAAAAAAAAAAAGCATATGAAAAGATGCTCTTCATCATATCTCATTATGGAAACACAAATTAGAGCAACGATGAGCTACCATTATACATCTATTAAAATTTCCAAAATCCAGAACACTGACAAAACCAAATTCTGGCAAGGATGTGGTGTAACAGGATCTCTCATTCATTGTTGCTGGAAACAAAAATGAAACAACCACTTTGGAAGACAGTTCAGCAGCTTCTTACAAAACTCAATATGCTCTTACCATAAAGTTCAGCAATCACCCTTCTTGATATTTACCCAAAGACACTAATAACTAATGTCCACACAAAAAACCTGAACATAGATGTTTATGGCAGATTTATTCATAATTGCCAAATCTTAGAAGTAACCAAGATGTTCTTCAGTAAGTGAACAGATAAACTGCGGTACATTCATACAATGGAATATTATTCAGTGCTCTAAAGAAAAATGAGATATTCAGCCATGAAAAGACATGGAAGAAACTTGAGTGTATATTATTAAGTGAAAGAACCCAATCTGAAAAGGCTACATACTGTATGATTCCAACTATAAGGCCATTCTGGAAAAGGCAAAACTATAGAGACAGTAAAAAGGTCAGTGGTTGCCAGGATACTAATGTAGGGAAGGAAGGATGGCTAGGCAGAAAGCAAAACATTTTTAGGGCAGTAAAAATATTCCATTTGGTACTATAGTGATTGATGTCTGTCAATATATATTTATCTAGACCCATGGAATGTATACCATCAAGAGTGAACCCTAATGTAAACCATGAACTTTAGGTGATAATGATGTGACAATGTAAGTTTATCAATTGTAATATAAATGCACCAGTCTGATAGAGGATATTGATAATGCGAGAGGCTATGCATGTGTAGGGGCAGGAGACGTATGGGAACTCTCTGCACTTTTTGCTCAATTTTGCTGTGAACCTGAAACTGCTCTAAAATATAAAGTCAATTTAAAAAAAAAAGAAGCAAGCTCAAAATGTATTTAATTCAAATTTTGTGCAATCTTTAAAATTCTCCAATGCTTCACAGAGACCCTGCTTTTTGGATTTTGAGTCTTGCCATATTTTGGTAATGTGTGAGCCAGCAGCAACAATGAGCATTCATAGAAAAAGACTTTGGAAATTACTGTGTGATTCCAATACAGTATATCATAAACCAAGCCCCCAGAAGAGAGAATTTTCAGTGTCACCATTTTAGGGTACCACTATAATTCTTTTTATACTCAACTAACTTCAAATAAAGTACTCATGCCGGGCATGGTGGCTCACACCTGTAGTCCCAGCACTTTGGGAAGCCGAGATGGGCGGATCACCTGAGGTCAGGAGTTTGAGACCAGCCTGGCCAAGTGAAACCCCGTCTCTACTAAAAATACAAAAACTAGCTGGGTGTGGTGGCTGGTGCCTGTAATCCCAGCTACTCGGGAGGCTGACACAGGAGAATTGCTTGAACCCGGGAGGCAGAGGTTGCAATGAGCTGAGATCGCGCCACTGCACTCCAGCCTGGGCGACAAGAGTGAAACTCTGTCTCAAAAAAAAAAAAAGAAAGAAAATGAAGTACTCTTAATTAAAAAAAAAATAAAAAAAAGAAAAAGAGTACACAATCTTATCTCATGGCACTCCTACAAATACACACACACATACACACACACACACACACACACACACACACACACACACACACACACACACGCTTCAGCTTTTCAGAGCCTGGTAACTTTTTCCCATATTCTTCCAAAAAAGCAGTGTTTGAGGACACAACCCACTGACTGACAAGAGAAGATATTTCACTGAGCTGAATTCACCAGTATGAGATGCCTTTCTTCAATGACAAGTAACATTGACTTCCAAGATGGTGCTATTTGTCAAGAGTAAAAGTTACTTTCTTGAATGATTTTTTTTTTGTAGAAATACATTTTTGGTCTGTAATGTTACTTTTTGTAATGTATTTGTCATTAAAATTATGGTTTCATAAAATGAATTCCCCTATGACTTCTGAAAGCATTTCGGTAAATTTTTTTTATTATTTCTTCCTTAAATGTTTGATAGAATTCTCTTGTGGGACATCTGGGCCTGGAGGCTTCTTTGGGGGAGAGTTTGTATTTTTAAGTTCAATTTCCTTAACAAATATTAGTCTATCAATATTTTCGTTTGATGTATCAGTTTAGGTAAGTTGTGATTTTCACGGATTACATAAAGTTATTCATAATGTTTAATTGGTAAGCTTTTCATTGTTATAGGATCTTTCATTCCTTATATTGTTTTCCTTTCCTCTCTCCTTCTCCCTCCCCTCTGTCTTCTTCTGCCTCCTCCTCTCCCTCGTCCTTCTCCTCCTTCTTCCTTCCTTCCTCTTTCTTCTTTTTCTTCTATTATCTTTGCAAGGATTTTCTAAAATCATTATTCTGCTCAAAGAACTTTTAGCTTTATTGATTTTTTTTCTCTTTTGCCTTTTTCTTTCATTGATTTTCTACTTACCTTTTCCTACTTTCTACTTATGGAGATTTAATTTTTTATTAGTTTATTAGCTTGAAACTTTCTTCTTTTCTCATATGAGGATTTAAATAGATAAATTTATCTCAAAGCTCTTCTTTAAATGCATTCTATATATTTAAATATATTGTGTTTTCATTATCATGCAGTTTGAAATATTTGCTAATTTCACTTGTGATTTCTTCTTTGACCTATGGATTATTTCACAGTGTGTTATTAACTAGCAAATATTTTAGGATTTTCTAATATCTTACTGTTATTGACTTCCAATTTAATTCTGTTCTGGTCATAGAATACATCCTGTACTATTTCGTTTAATTTTTAAGACTTGTTTTGTGGCATATCTAAGTGAATAGTCCGTGTGTACTTCAAAAAGAACACATATTCTACAGTTGTTGAGGATAGTGTTCTATAGATAGCAGCTATATTAAATTTATTGAGTATATTATTAAAATCTTTTCCATTTTTTTGTTACTTTCTATTTGTCCTATCAATTGCTGATGAAGTAATGTTAAAATTTACAATATTTGTCTGTTTCTTCCTTTAATTGTGACATTTTTTGCTTCATCAGTTTGAAGCTCTGTTTTAATGAGGTACATGCACAGTTAAGATTGCTACATCTTCACAATAAATTGGCTTTCATTATGCAATGTTCTTCTTAATCTCTTGTAATACTCCTTATATTAATATCAAATTTGTCTGAATTAATATAGCCATAGAAGCTTTCTTAGAACTAGTATTTGCATGAAATACATTTTCCACATCTTAATCCTATCTGTGTCTTTATATCTAAAGTGATAAGTAGCATATGGTTTGGTTTTGCTTTATTATCCCCATTAATAATCTGTACCTTTCAAGTTTTAAAACATACTTTCAATATAATAATTGATTCTTAAGTTTTTAATTACCTATTCTTAGTTACAATTCCTTAAGCTTTTCTTAAGAGTATGATTAGTGGACAGGCACCGTGGCTCACGCCTGTAATCCCAGCACTTTGGGAGGCCAAGGTGGGCAGATCATGAAGTCAAGTGATGGAGACCATCCTGGCCAACATTGTGAAGCCCTGTCTCTACTAAAAATACAAAAATTAGCTGGGCGTGGTGGCAGGCACCTGTAGTCCCAGCTATTCGGGAGGCTGAGGCAGGAGAATCCCTTGAACCTGGAAGCAGAGGTTGCAGTGAGCCGAGATCACGCCATGGCACTCCAGCCTGGTGACAGAGCAAGACTTCGTCTCAAAAAAAAAAAAGAAGAGTATCATTACCATATTTGTTTTGTTTTCTATATGTCTTATTTGTTGCTTCTTTGTTCTTCCTTTCTTTTCCTGCCTTTTGATCAGCTTCTTATCAATTTTATCACCATTATTTGCTCCTTAGCTGTATCTTTGTCTTAATGCTTTAATAAATGCTCTGATGACACAATGCATTCTTAACTCATAGTAATCTAACTTTAATTAAAATCTTATCACTTTAAATGTAAGAAGCTTGTAGTATTTTTCAACATAACCTATTTCCTGTTCTTGATGCCGTCTATATATATATGTGTGTGTATATATATATATATATGTGTGTGTGTATATATATATATATATGTGTGTATATATATATATATGCATAGATTTTTTTTTTTAAGACAGGGTCTTACTCTGTTGCACAGGCTGGACTACAGTTGCTCAATCTCAGCTCACTGCAAGCTCTGTCTCCTGGGTGCAAGTGATTCTCCTGCCTCAGCCTCCCTAGTAACTCTGATTACAGGCGCCCACCACTACACCTGGCTAATTTTTGTATTTTTAGTAGGGACGTGGTTTCACCACGTTGGCCAGGCTGGTCTTGAACTCCTGACCTCAGGTGATCTGCCTGCCTTGGTCTCCCAAAGTGCTGGGATTACAAGCTTGAACCACTGCGCCTGGCCACATATTTCTTGTGTACTAATTATAGAGCATAAGATAAATTGTAATCATATTTGTCTTAAACAGTCACTTGCCTATTAAGGAATTTTACTTATGTTATTTATTTTCTTATATTTACTCACACATTTACCATTCCCACCACTCTTTATTTTTTCCTGTATATCCTAGTTTCTGGATTTATGGGATCCTTTAGATGGAAGAACTTCCTTTACAATATCTGTTGTGTTGGTCTGCTGACAACAAGTCTCTCAAGTTTTGCTTATCTGAAAACATGCCTTCACATTTGAATGATTATTTCATCTATGCACAGAATTACCATGACAGTTCTATTAAGTGCTTCAGAGATGCCATTCCATTGTCTCCTGGTTTCTATTGTTTCTGATGAGAAGTTAGGCATAAATTGAATCATTGCTCCTCTGTATGTAATGTGTTCTTACCCTCTTGCTGTTTTCAGTACTTTTCTTTTGCTTTGGATTTCATCAGATTGGTTATCACATGCCTGTGCATGCATGCGTATATGCATAAGTGTGTGTGGTGTGACAATTCATCCTACTTAGCATTCAGTGAGCTTCTCAAATCTGTGGGTTAAGTTTATCTGTTAAATTTGGGGTAAAATTTGACCATTATTTATTGAAATAATCTATATGACTTTCCTTATCACTTTTTCTTCTAGGACTCCAATTGCATGATATTGTTCCACAAATCTCTGACATTTTCTTCATTTACTTTTCTCATTGTAACTCAGTTTGAACAATTCATCTTATCTTCTTTTTAAATTGACTATGTTTTTGTGCATGCTAGTCTGCTGTTCAGTCCATCTAATTACGTTTTTATTTCAAACATTATGTTTTTCTGTTCTAGAATGTCATTTCATTCTTTTATAGTTCCTATTTTCTCTCCAAATGTTCAATCTCTTTGCTCATTGAATCCATTCTTTCTTGTAAATTTTTTAACATATCAGTAATAAAGTTTTTGCATGCTATATTCATTTTCTACTGCTACTGCAACAAACCACCAAAAATTTAGTAGCCTAAACAACACAAATTTATTATTTTATAATTCTGGAGGTTAGAAGTCCAAGATGGGTTTCACTGGATTAAAATCAAGGTGTTATCAGGGCTACATTCCTTCTGGAGGAAGAATCTAGACATCCTAGGGGAGAAACTATATCCTTTCTCTTTACAGCTTCTACAGGCTGCTTCATTCCTTGGTTTATGGCCTATTCCTCCAACTTAACAGCCGGCAGCACAGCATCTTTAATTCTCTCTCTGACTCGGACACTCTTCTCAATGCCACTTTCGGTTATAAGGACTTTTTTGATTATATTGGATACTTTTCCCATCTCAAAGTCAGCCGATAAGCAACCTTATCTGCAACTTTAATTCCTCCTATAGCTTCTAGGGATTAGGACACTGACATCTCCAGCATTATTACCTCAGTTACTATCAATAGTTGAGTCTACATGGGTCTGCTCTTATTAACCACTTTTTTTCTTGATTAGGGATCACATTTTCCCACTTCCTTATATGTTTCATATGTTTTCACTGAGTTTTAGATATTGTGTATAAAGAAGAGGCTGAAATATAATTATTTTTTATTTTGTTTATTTTCCAGATAATTTAAGCTTTTCCTTCTGACAATTATAGTAAGTGGTTGATGATTAAAATTTTTTCAAAAGTCAAGTTGATCTGGGACTGAACCATAATGTCAATTAGATTAAGTTCACATTTTGTTAACCCTACCTGTACCCTCCTCCTACGCCACTACCACTCAGGGGCTAATCATTTTGGGTTTTTACAGCATTTGAGCCAGGTAGCATAGGGGATAGACCAATGTTTCAAACAGCTTTGGCTCATGTTTGGATTCAACTTTCATGGGTCCTAAAACCTAAACACCTCAAGAATGCATAAAATTGCATGAATTCACTTTGCTTTCAAGCTTCTCCTCTACTGCCATCTTCTCAGTGAAATTTTGACAAGGAGTGTGACAAGAGAATTGTCAATCCAAGTGATTTATTTTTGTGTTTAGAATTCATATAATAATCTCTTATGCCACTCACATTGTCTTTAAAGGTGTAGCTGATTTCTCCTTGTCCCTACAGTTTTTCCATCTGTGTTATACCTACTCTTTCACTCACATGTTCCCAAATAAAGCCCTCAGGTATAGAAGCTACAGTGGTGCTCCTCTTACTCATAAGTGGCTTATTCCTTTCTAGAATTCAGTTCACCAAGGCTTCACTGTGTTCTCTGCTAGTTGATAGCTGAAGAGTATAATATTTTTTTAATCCTGTTTTTTTATGTTGTCATGATGGAAACAGAGGTCTTTTACATATTTTCATATACTAACTGGCATCAAAATTCTTCTGATATCCATAGAATGTTGCTTCAGAAAAAGAAAGGCAGAATTTTTATTGCTTAATAACTACTTTGTTAAAGTGATCACCTATTTTTAAATGAAGTTTTTGCCAGTTATTGAGACTATACTTTGAGGGCCATGAAGAGTAGGAAAGAGGAAGACAGAAGATAATCAGAAACTAATCTGGTCATAAATTACTGATCAACTAGCAGCCAATTTATTAGTTGATGGTGCCAACAGAAAAATTAAGTTTTGATCAACACTTTCTACTGAAAATCTCCTCTTCTTAAAACACTTTTCTTTCTTTTTTTTTTTTTGAGACGGAGTCTTGCTCTGTCACCCAGGCTGGAGTGCAGTGGTGCGATCCCGGCTCACTGCAACTTTCGCCTCCCAGGTTCAAGCTATTCTCTTGCCTCGGCCTCCCAAGTAGCTGGGACTGCAGGTGCCCGCCACCATGCCCGGTTAATTTTTGTATTTTTAGTAGAGATGGCGTTTCACCATATTGTCCAGGCTGGTCTCAAACTTCTGACCTTGAGATCTGCCCGCTTCGGCCTCTCAAAGTGCTGGGATTACAGGCGTGAGCCATCGCACCTGGCCAAAACACTTTTGTCTTAAGGATATAGTAGATCTATGTAACAGCCTGTCGAAAGGGGACTCTGTTGTTTCCACTGAGACACCACTCAAGCCTCAGAATGAACTATTTCCACATTCTAAAGTGAAGAGCTAAATCTTCTATATAGGATAGGTAAAGGAAGTGGCCAAACACTCATTTTTTTTTTTATTCTTAACCTATTGCCCACTTTGAATGCATATAAGTGTCAAAGCTGAAGTGGTCAAGAAAAGAGACTTTTTGGTGAGAGCAGTCAGTGCCTGCATGTCCTTCCACTGCCCATTCCCATGGAGATGTAAAGACAGTACACCTTCTCTTCCCTCCCCTTAAGTCCAGTGGCAGAAGGGGTTTCAAAGAAACCATTCACACAACATGATATTTTGCCCCTTTTGTTTGAAGGACAACATGAACTCTAAACGCAAGAAGGTATGGCTTGGCCTAGAATAGCAAAGCTAAGAAAGACTGTACTGGGCACTAAGGTCAGTCCCATCAATGATTAGGTTAGGCCCTGTGAGTTTTTTGGTGGGCTAAATGGACAGATGGGATAAAGCTGCCATAAAAGTAATTTAAAGGAGACTATGACCAAGAAGCCATCTGGATGCATGATAAAACCCCAGTAGATAAATCTATTTTAGGAAAACAACCAAGTGTCCAACTTCTAAAATTGTAGTTAAAAGTGTAAGAATATAGTTATTCTAGTTGGGAAAAGGAGTGAGTCACAAGTAGGGTTTCTAAAGTGCTAGTGTTATTCCATTTTTTGTTTAGGGCACTGATTACCCATTTGCATTTGTTTTATGAAAACACAGTGATTTACCCCTTTCTGTATGTATATTATACTGCAATAAAAAGTTGTATTTTAAATTGCTGATTCTAACCAAGATTTTATTCAGAACCACAGAAAATTCTCAACTATATAATATTTAAAGGGATAGTAGGGTTAATATCATTGTACAGTACTGTATTAAATCCAGTTGACAAAATGACATTTCCATTGAACTTCAAATGTATTTACTGCAAACAGGAGCTTTGTTCTGTCAAAGCAATTCTCTCAGTCATGCTAAAACTAAATTAAATTAAAATATAAATTACATTTATAAAGTTTATTTCACTAGAATTTGGTCAAAAAGGGAAATAAAAACTAGCTACACAATAAACTGTTTACTTTCTGGTAGGCAGAATTTTAAGTTGACCTCCTGTGACCTTTGTCTTTGTAAAATCTATTCCTCTTAAGCATGGGCAGAACCTGCAAACTCAATGAGTTATCACTCTCATGATTATGTTATATTACATGACAAAAGGGATTTTTGCATATGTAATTAGTTTACTAATCAGTTGGCTTTGGTTAATCAGATGAGCCCTTTAAAAGCAGAGGATTTTCTCTGGTGAGTAGTGAGTAGCAGAGAGGAAGTCAGGTAGATTACAAGAGAGAATTGGAAAAAAGCTCGTGGCTTGAATATAGAGGGGAGCACATGGAAAGGACCTGAGAGAAGCTTCCAGAAGCTGAGAGCAGCCCCTGACTCACGGCCAGCAAGAAAATGGGGACCTCACTCCTGTGGCCATAGGGAACTGAATTCTGCCAGCAAGAATAGACTTGAAAGCAGATTTTCCCCTCAAGCCTCTAAACAAGAACTCGGCTCTGCCAACACTTTGATTTTGGCCTTGTGAGACCCTAAACAGGAAACTCAGTTTTGCCATACCAACATCTGACATAAAAAACCGTGAGCTAATACAATTGTGTTGTTTTAAGCTGCTGAGTGTGTGGTAATTTGTTATGTAGCAACAGAAAATGAATCCAGACAAGACATAAAGATGAGCTACACCACCAAGACTAATGGTGGCTTTTGGGAATGACCACCTGCCTTGGTATCAGAATACATAAAGCTCTAAAATTTCCACACTTCAAAAAACACTAGTGTCTCTCTTTTACTACTCAAAGGTCACCAGATAGGATAATACAAAAGTATGAACATCATATGTTGTCTAAAAAAGGTTTCTCATAAATCTCTACTTGTCTTCCTTTTCTCTGACAAGTACATTTAAATTTATAATCAGCAGAAAAAAATGCGACAATAATCTGGAATGACACTGGTTATTTAAAGAGCATTGAGACCATAGAAGTGGGAATTGCCCCTAAATAGTTGAAGATGCAGGGAGTAAATATTGTTGCTATATGACGGTGACTTATTAGAAGTCCACTCATAGAAACTGAGGATCTCTTTCCTAAGAGATTAAACATCTGGTTCTTCAGGACAAAGTTTGATATCTGTTATTACATTTGTATTTCTCACAGGTGTCGCAGTGTTAAATAATCAACATCTGCCTTCACTTGTGTTGAACAACCTTCTAGTTTTAGCTGAATTGTCTTAGAAGAGGACCTTATTGAAAATCCAGGAACACATTTTGTTTTTTAAGTTTTGAAAACATATTTTCTTTTAACATTAAGCTGTGGCATGTAAACAGTGGTCTGAAACATAACTGGACTCTTCGGGGCGTTGCAGCAAATTTCTCTGTTCACCTAACACTGTTTTCAACGCGCCCTCAAAACAGACAGCCTGGCAACTATGGGGTCAAGAACAAAGGTTATAGAGTCCAGCTGATATAGAGAGAAATGCCGACTTTACTGTTTATTAGCTGAGTTCATAATATCTTCAAGTCTGTTTTCTCATCTCTATAAGAAGAATTTCCTTGACAAGCCAAGATGAGGATAACAATTTTCTTTCAGAGCCATGATGACAATTATGTAACAAATAAATTCAGAGTTTATAATTATTCTAACCCAACATGTAGTGCTTATTTTTTATTAATATTTATTCTGAAATCTAATTGTTTTAATCTCTAGCTTATTACAAAATTCACCAAAAAATTCAGTTGTTCTTAAATTTTTTCTCTTGATGTTACCATTCATCAGAACACTTTTGCTTCTTTGTCAACAGTGCTTTACTCATCATTAAGGAATTAATACTACTAAAGTCACCAGACTGACTTAAGGACACTCTACAATGAAGCTTTGGTAGCTTATAGTAGATCTTAAAAAGGTCTTTTAAACACAATTCTCGAGTTGTTAATGGAGATATTTAGCACTTTCAGTAGAAGTTTATTCCTCCAGGCCAAAGGGACCACATTCTATTAATAGTCTGTATTTGGGTTGCTGTAACCTCTTTATACCAAATAACATTCAATAATAATCAATAATGATATGGTAGTGTTAATTTCCCAGGCTCTACAATGTCTAGCAAACGTTCTTTCTACACATGAAAACCATACTCATTATGCTGTACTTTTATATAAGAGTTTGAACTAGGCCATTCTGTATTTTATAAATTCAAAGCAAGACTTTATTATTTATTCTAAATGTGAGAGCCTAGCTGTAGAGGTGGGCAGCCCCCACATAAGTAATCTGCTGATTAGGGCTAGTATGCATATCAGAAGCCAGCAAACTCCAATTTGCATTGAATGCCAGCTGCATAACAATTTATCAGAGAAGCCCAGATAGGAGGGCAAAGAAATATCCCTTCCTTAATTATGAGCATGTGTATGCCTGTGCAAACCTGCATTTGTATGACCGAGCGTTCTGGGATAATAAGTTAATGCTATTAAGACTCATTACATATTCCTAATATGCATACCAATGCCTCTTACTAGGAATATGTTACATCCCAAGCTTGAAGTCTATGGTGACAAAGTCCAGTGAGAATGGAAAGAGGTTCAGCCACGAATGCCAGTAGATGTACTAATAAGGTTTTGTGACATTTTAGAAAAGATAGCACTTTTGATTATTGCACATATTAATTCAGTGTTAATGTCAGGTGATCTTGATTAATTATCATTTTTAAAAAGTTTCTGTTTTGGATGTAGACATCTAAATTTCTTGTGCTCATCTAAGAAAGAAAAAAATAAATACAAAGTGAAGAGCAAATTAGTGAGGGCCTACTTTGGCCTCAGACCTGTTTTATTTGCCTAAAATTCTAAATTTAAATGCCATTTGGTAGCACATGTACAGTCAGCAGCAGATCGTCTTTGTGTTCGATGTATTCATTCGCATTATCTGACTGGTCCCTGAAAACATTTGAGCTTGAGACTCCAGAAGTTCTCTTTGAGAGGCCAAACCAGGCAAGAGAATGTGACTCTGAATGTTTTGCCTATTTGCTATGTGAGACCCTGACAAAGTAGAAATTCAGGATTCATGTGACCTAGGAGACTGTAACACACTGGGAAGTGTCCTGATTTGGGAGACAGGAGACAGTGCTCCATTAAATTCAATGACTGGATCCAATCAATGATTGAATTCATCCAATCACTTAATAATTCATTCATTCAGATGACCAGCTTGTATTTTCTGCACCCCGGGTACCATTGTTGGGCTAAAACAATGAGCAATGATTATACTGCTTCCTAAGATTGCTGTAAGGATTTGAGCTGATAATGCCTTGGTTCTTCTTTTTGGATTCCTTTGCCTGCCTCTTTTTGTTTTTCTCTTGGTCAGCATCCCACCCATGCTTAATATTCCCTTTATGACTAGATAAGATGTTATTTAAAACTCCAAAATCAAAGAAAGAATTGATGTGATATTGGACAAGATATCCAGACTTTCTGAGCCTCAAGAATGTATTTTAGTTGAATAAACTGAAAACTCTTCTAGCTCTAAATGTTAGAATTCTATGATCATCTACATTATACCAAAATTAGTTTATAAAATAGAAAATAGTTATCTTCTAGAATTTCTAAAGCATGATATAGGAAAGTGATTTTTAAAAAATTATAAATTAACCTTATCAAATCAGAAAGTTTTCTTGTTCTTAAAACATTTCCAGTCCCCAAAGTCTATTTTGTATCCCCAAATTAAAAGGAGTTGGCATTAAGCCATTTCTAAATCAACCACACAGCTCTAAAATTCTATTCTTCTATGGTCCCATTTGGACAGTGTCATGTTTGAGCAGTTTCTTCAGAAGGAGAAAGGAATTACCATTTATTGTGCCAAAAGCAGTGTACCAGGCACTAAGCAAGTTTATTTATATATATTATTTTATTTAGTCTTCATGAAAGGCATGAGAGAGTAACAAATGGCCAAGAACCTGCAGCTAATAAGGAGCAAGTAGAGTTGAGAAGCCCTCTGCCAAGCTCCAAAGTCCTCGGTCCCCTGAGGAACACACTGGGCATGCATTTTTATTTTCACTGCTTCCTGCTCTCTTCCTTTATCCACAAAAATCTATTACTTAGGAACTGTTTGTTGACCCACAGCTTCACAAATTTAATATTCCTTTACTTATTTGACTTTTGCTGAGTGATTAAAATATCTAGTAACATAGAGCTTCATATCTCGTTTAAATAGTACACGTTGCTGTGAAGGGTAACTGACAAGTTTAAAAATTCTTTAATTTAGCAGCATTAAAATATGCAGTTCAGTTCCTGAATCGGTTCCTAAACACAATATCAATATTTCATTCTCTGTAGTTCTGTCATCCAGAAGTGCCTATTAACCAACACATTTGTGTTTTGTAAATAGGTATTATCACAAGATAATTCTGATATTCAAGAAATACTAAGGGTTTTTTTTTCAATCTTCAGTTTTACTCTAATAAGTCTAATTTGTCATACTTGAATAATATTAAAATTGTTAATGCATAAATGGACTAAGATAAGTCTGTAATAATGAAAATATGTAATTATACTGAGTCTATCATATACTAACTTCAGCAGACATAACATGAAACAGGAAATTAAATCCATATTTATGTTATACAAACACACAAAAAATTTTAATGACGTTTTTATCACTAAATTGTTGATATAATTAGATATTAAAATATTTATCATAAAACAAACATAATCAGTTAAAAAATTTTACATTAAGTATTTTTTTAACTAAGCCTAAACCTCGCCAAACGTTAAGTATTAATCATCATGAAACACCATCTGCAGAGCATAGCTTAAATAAATAAAAATGTCTCTAAAGCAAAATAGTCTTATCTATCCATGCCTGACTCCTACACATTAATTTAACTCCTACATCTCTAATTGAAAAGCTTAGCCTAAGTATTGACTGGTCAGAACATGTAAGAATTATCTAGTTAAAACATTTGGTTGTCAGAAACATTTATAGTATTACATTTTCAACTCATTTCAGTTGAAAAGAATCTCAGTATCAAAAGTTGTAGGATGGAAGATGATGTGGCAGAACAGAAAACAGGTAAGACAAAAAAAATGGATAAAACATTTATCGTGCTTCATTTGTAATACAAAGCAAGGGGCCTCATGTACTCAAACAAATGAAAGCCTTCAGATTACCCTGTGTGGCTCTGGAAGCTCAGCCAAGAGCTGTTTTCCATAATCTATGGTAATACACAGTTTGAACTGAAGGGATTCTCTAACCACTGAATGGCCAGATACCAACATCCTATATCATGACAGAGCCCAGATGTGGTCTTTCATTTGGTGGAGGAAAATAGCACAATTATTTTTAAGGTGTTCTATTTTACCAAAGGCCTTCTGATATGGTTTGGCTGTGTCCTCACCCAAATCTCATCTTGAATTCTAGCTCCCATAATTCCCACATGTTGTGGGAGGGACCCAGTGGGAGATAATTGAATCACAGGAGCTGTTTCCCCCATACTGTTCTTGTGGTAGCAAATAAGTCTCACAAGATCTGATGGCTTTTAAGGGGTTTTTCCTTTCACTTGGCTCTCATTTCTCTCTTGCCTGCTGCCATGTAAGACATGCCTTTTGCCTTCCACCATGATTGTGAGGCCTCCCCAGCCACATGGAACTGAGTCCATTAAACCTCTTTTTCTTTAAAAATTACCCAGTCTCAGGTTTGTCTTTATTAGCAGCATGAGAACAAATACAACTTCCCATCACTGCTCTACTCATGGTGTAATAAATGTATCAATCAGCACTCACACATTCATAACAGCCAGCGAGACTCAAAACCAAGTAGAAAAGTGCAAAGCCATTGAGTCTGTCCACAAGGCTCATCCTTCCCTCCTGCATGTCCTCTCCACCCAGCACACTAGCATCCTCTAGCTTCTCCCTAGTTTTACAAAAGCATCTTATGTCAGCCTCCCTCCTCCTTAGTCCTTTTCAGGTCAAGCTATATATTATACCTTATCAGAGGCACAGGTAGGTTATTTATTTATGCATGAATGGATGTCATGACACACTTACTTATTCAGTCTCTCAACAAACATGTGCTGAGTATCCATTTTGTGCTAGGAGCTGCACTGGACACTAGAAAAATATCCCCTCAGTAAACTCAGTAAACACAGTGGTAAGAAAGATTGGCCCATGCTCAGTCATCCACTCTTCCACTTTGTTGCATTTTAAGAGGATAATACGTAGGCTTTAGCCTAAAGTAATAGACTCTAACTGAGGGATTTTAAGCAGAAATATACATATTTTAAATAGCAGTGACTCCCTCAGAACTCTCCAAGCCCAGGGCATGCACCCTTTCTCTCCATTCAAAAGATCAGCTGTGAGCACAGCATACAAATTGTTCAATGACATATTAAATGGAAATTTTCCTGTAATCTTAGAATTTGAAATTAAATCTTAAGCAGGAGAAAGGGTAATAAATAACCTCACATTCTAAAAAGCAGCTGCTAGATACATCCCTGTGAATTTTTAAGGGTTGACAAAAATTAGTCCTCACCTCCAAATGCTCCAAAGAGCCTATGCAAAGAGCAGAACAGAAATTCAGAAATTCAGGGAGGGTCATTCAGATTTAGAATTACCGGGTCTTAGAAATACTTTGACTTTTCGTTTCTTCATGGGGTTGGGTAGAGGTACTCTCCTCTCACAAATAAAGGAAGGAAGATTCCAGAGACAATTCCTGATAATTGAAAAAGCAAGAAGAGGAGATATATGTTTCTCTTCCACGTGTATGATTACAACAGCTCAAATACCACAGTGGGGAAATCCTTGGGAAAGTTCGACCTGCTTCCCTTGAGTTTGGGAGGTACGTGGGCACTTTGAGACTGCTGCCTGCCTCTATCTTCAGAATTCCCGAGAAGGGAGATTGGCCGGAGCAGTTGCAAGGAAGGTGAGGAGAGAGGGCCAGCATGGAAGCAACCTGTACTCTCATCATTTGGCAGGTCCAGCCTGAAAGGGTACCATGAAAAATCCAAGTCATCTTGAAGGCACCTGATTCAATGCCTACTGCTACTGTAATGAATTACCACAAACGTAAAGGTTTAAAGCAATACAAATTTACCCTCTTACAGTTCCAGACATCAGAAGTCTAAAATGGGTCTGTAGGGTTGCTTGTCTTATGGAGGCTCCAGGAAAGAATCCACTATCTTGCCTGTTCTGGGTTGAAGAGGTTGCCTACATTCCTTGGCATGTGGCCTCTTCTGCCATCTTCACAGCCAGCAACATAGCATCTTCTCTCCTCTCTGTCCTCTGCCTCCATCCTCAAATCTTCTATGACTGATCCTCCTGCTTCCCTCTGATAAGAACTCTTTTGATTGCATTAGGCCCACTTGGATAAGCCATGATTATTTCCCCATCTCGAGATTCTTAAATCAACCATATCAACCAAAGTCCTTCTACCACATAAGGGAATATTAACTGTGTCTGGGGGTTATGACATAGAAAGCACCCAACCCAAAATGGGGGCTTATTTGGTCATAGGGACCCAAGCAATAAGAAGCTTGTAGTATACCATGGGCAAGGAAGGAGCATCTCAAGAGAGTCAGAAAGAACATATCCAAGTTAGAATTCTCAGTGGGCTTCCAAGGCATCATGTAAACATTGTTCTATGAAGGAGCTAATATCTAGCCCTTCACTTCACAGAGGGCAACGACACTGCATTCTAGCACCTCCAAGTAAGGTGGGACTTCCTTTAGTCTATCTTCTCCTCCCTTAACCCTGGAAGACCCAGGGGTAATGTCTGGGGTTGAAGTGAAGAACAAGGGAAAAGGAGAGAGTAAAAAAAGTCACGCACTCTGTGGTCAGTTAGGCCTAGGCCAACGGGAGGTAAGAAGCACTGAATTAAACGTGAGATTGAAATCTTGATTTAAACAGCACCAAAACTTTTACTACTCCAATATGAATTTTCGCTAACAAAACAAGACTGTTCTAATATTGGAACAGTATGAATTCTGCCTATAAGGCAATCGAGGCACAGGGAAAAGAAAATCCAACAGAGCATATTTGAAGAGTAAGACTGGAAAATAATAAGCCCTTTTCTATTTGTACAACACAGATTTCAGCCTATTCAGCAAAGTGGTTACAATGATTTTATGTACATTTGTGGAAGATATAGCTCAGTCATTGACTTTTGATAAGATATTTTTCTGTCTCTGGTTTCCTATGTGCACCTGCCTGGAAATTCTCTTTATGTCAGTTGCTGTGCACCTCCACTACTCCCACACTTCACAGCACCCTGCTCATTCCAGATTCTCATCCACTCCTAATTATTCGGAGCCTGTCTAATTCTCTAAATGCATTAACTGGCACTGGATCGACACCTTCTATGTTGTTCAGCAGTTGTTACATTTGCTTCTAAATAAATTATTTCAGCTTGGCATTACAGAGATAATCTGTCACTACTGCAAACTTGTGTATTTACAATATTAGAATCGCTGTCTTGTTATTTTTTCATTACTACTATATTTTCTGAGCCTCTCTCATTACCATGTGTATTGTTTCATTATTTACATTTTGAATGCTATTATCTCCAAGGCTGTCAGCAGAAGCATTCTGAGATAATGATGCTGTGAAAAGAGAATTATCTAAATATGGATCTTTCTGCTCATGCTCAAATAAATGATTGTCTAACTCTTCAGATGCTTCTTCTGAGTCCTCATTAAGACACTCATGGCTTGGGGAATTGTGGAGTATCAACTGCCTTTGTCTAAGGGTCTGAAGATGCAGAAACAAGACTAGAAATAGAGAAAGCCAATCAAGGCAGGAAGTGAGGAACTTTCTATTGATAGGAACAGGGGATGTAAAAACATCCAATGACATATGTATTTGACGACAATAGCCTTGAAAGAGAATAATCCTTTTTTGAGAGTCTGAAGGTGAAACAATGACTGAAATGAGTACGAAATCTTTTGCTTAGTTTTGTTGTTCTTATTTAGAGATCAATAAATAAATTCTGTTTCAAGTGTCAAGCTATTTTGCCTGTTTAAAAATAGACACGCCCAAGGGACTTTACCCAGGGCCCTGGCTCTAAATACCAAGTATACATCCATGCCTCCCAGATTTTTACCATTATCTCTGGCCTCTCCACGGGGCTTCAAGTTCAAATATCCAACTTCTAATTTTGACATCTATACCTGATGGTCTGTTGGCAACTCAAACTTAGCACGGCCAGTACAGAATTCTTTTTTTCAAATATCTCTTTGTTCCCTTGGCTCCATGTCACACAGTCTTAGTACAGGCCATCACTATATAATCTGTTGCTCAAGGAAAAGATAATAAATTGGCTGGGTGTGGTGGCTCATGCCTGTAATCCCAGCACTTTGGGAGGCCTAGGCAGGTAGATCACGAGGTCAGGAGATTGAGACCATCCTGGCTAACATGGTGAAACCCTGTCTCTACTAAAAATACAAAAAATTAGCCGGGCTTGGTAGCACGCACCTGTAGTCCCAGCTACTTGGGAAGGTGAGGCAGGAGAATTGCTTGAACCCAGGAGGTAGAGGTTGCAGTGAGCAGAGATTGCACCACTGAACTCCAGCCTGGGCGACAGAGTGAGACTCAGTCTCCAAAAAAAAAAAAAAAACAAAAAGCTAATAAGTTTCTCATGACTTGTCTCCTATTCTTACTCCTCATATCTAATTGATCATCAAGTCTTGTGGGTTTATCTCTAAAACCCATCCCAAATTCAACTACTTCTCTCCATTTCCACTGCAACCACCCTTGCCCAGGAAAGCATCATCTCTGAATGAGAACCACCTTCCAACTGGGAAGCCAGCTTCCACTCTCACTCCTCTGTCCAAAGCAGCCAGAGCAAACTCTGTAAGATGCATATTGTGTCACATATCTCTCCTGCTTAAAGCCCTAGTGGCTTCTCGTGACACTTGGAACAGAATCCATGCTCTTCACCATGGCCTGCATGGTGCTGAATGACCTGGCCTTGCTCCCTCCTGGACAGCACCTCCTCCCCTCTTCCAGCCACACTGGCATTCTTCCAGGTGAGCCCTGCCTCATGCTCCCTACACAAGCTGATCCTTCCTTCCAGAAAATTCTAGCTCCAGAACCACCCATGGAAGGATAGCTGCTTCTCCTCACTCAGGTCTCACTTGAACTCCTCAGGGAGCTCTTTCCAACTCTCCAGCCACTCTCCCTCATATCTGGAATTTCTTTTGAAACTATTTTATCCATCAATGTTTGTTTATTTATTATCTGTCTTTTCCAACTAGACGATAACTCCACGAAGGGAGAAATCTTGTCTCTCTTATTCGCCACTTTATATCTAGGGTCAAGAATGAGGCCTGGCACATAGCAGTCTCTCAATAAGTATTCATGGGTGATTGATCAGAACCCAAATCCCTCATGACCCAGTGTCAGGCCCACTGCCAGGCTTCTTAGTGATGGTAAATAGGCTCATCCTCGGCTATCTTCCTCCGCATCTGGGAAGATCCAAATAGGAAGTTCAAGGCCTGTGTAGCGCTGGCTGCTCGGTGCTTCTGCAAAGCCAGTTATCTCCAGTTCTGCCCTGCTATTTCATGCCTTGCCTATGATTATCACAGTGAGAGATGTGTGCCCAGCCCCTGTTCTAGCATGGAGAAGACACAACCCCGTTCTCTCTGCTGCTGGAGCCCAGACATCCTGCCCCCATCCGCTGCCTGGAATGCCCCTCTTTGGCAAATTCATCTCTCCTGACCTCTTTCTCCACAGATTTCCCAACTATAAGCAGATTAGACTTACTCTCCCCAGTTCCCATCAAGAATGCTATGTTTACTGGAAAGACAGAAATTTCTTAGTTTCAATTTTATTGTTTCCGTCCTTTTTGGCATCCCGTAATTACATGTTGCAGTGATTCTGTATAAAGTATAGCTACAGATGTTTGCTTATTTTTGAGGGGGGATAGATAAAAGAGAGGAAAGTGGGTGGCAGGATCTCACTCAAAAAATATTTACTGGAGTCCTATTTAGCATTCTTTACCATTTTAATGCCAATAGAAAAAAAAGTGTGCCCTTATCTCCTAAGGCTGATGTTGTTGCCCACACACAACCCATTGATTTCTCTACTGGTGAAACAAAATTTAAAAACAGCAAATAACCAATGCTGCTTTCTACAACACCACCAAGATCCCGGAGACGAGGCGATAATGTAATTAAGCAGTTGTCTTGAAAAAAAAAAACGAAAAACAAAATGCAATCCTAAATCATGCTTATGAAATCCATCACATAAGTCAGAAGATGGTTCGGTCATGTTTGGAGAACATTTAGTTAATATTGGCATATGAATAATACTGAATAATAATATAGAATGCATGACTAGTCTATAAATACCAATGAAATTTGTTTCAACAACTTACAAATCTATCAACTATCAAAAAGTAATTTAAAAAGATGTATTGGACTGAAATGTTTGATTAATCCTGAGCTTTTTAGACAAATATAAATTGTTTTGCAATAAAATTACTGCTGCTAACATATCATCTTTAGTTGAGCACTTACCGTGGGCCCGACACTGTTCTGTGCTTCTTTTCTTCTGTTTACTCATATACTCCTGAAAATCTCCTGTGAGGGAGATTACAAACCGTATCTACCTTCGACAGACAAAGGATTATGAACACAGAGAGTTTAAGCCAGGCCACTGGGGCTCAGCTGTCAGCAATAAACCGGGAGGGGGCTGGGGGTTGAAACTTTCTCTCACCACCAATCTGTACCACCTGTACCCTATTCTGAGTAGTGCAACCGGTGATACTTATTAAGCCTTCCCACTGTTCCATGTGCTAGGTAAAACACATTCCAGGTGCTATACCATCTCATCTTCCCAATGATGCTTGGTAAAAGAGCTATTCCTATAGCCCTTGTATCTATCATACTATCATAAAACTGATGATAGTATGATTTCATGGAAAGTTTCTCCCATACAGCTCACTGCTAGAAACAACTTTTATGTTTTGTTAAATTTTGCAAAGCAGGATAGCCCCTGGGAGCTCAGTTCACACTTGTGTTTTCTCAGTAGTCCCACACAAGGGATCTAGAAGTGCCAGCTACATGCTGACTTCCATTTTTTTGTTAATGTGACCTCTATTTTTTTCATCTATAAATATTTTAACTATTTTTTCTTAACTGAAGTAGGCATACTTTTAAGATGTTGCTGCTTAATTTTCTAGCTGTACAGGCCTATTCAGGAGATTTCATTCTCATTTCAGCCCAAGGTTAGAGCTGAAGACTTCGAGTCAGTCTAACCCTACCACAGGAAGTACAATAGCTCAGTCTATGAGGGTTGCAAATTATATTATAAAATATGAGTCCGTTCTTTCACTAAATTAATAGGACCACATCACAGGAAAGCCAATAAAGGCCTTTTAGAGGCTCCAGTCAGTGAATCCTTTTCAGTGTGATGCCTATGACATTCCTTTATTGGTCCACAAGAAACAAACATAATGCAGACATCAACGTTATTGCAATAGTAGAGAGATTTCTGGAGCCAACAGAAGAGTGCTTAGAGTTCCAGCAAGTAGCAGTAACAGGGTAATTTAGCAACAATCTCCATGAAAGACAAAACATACATGTGTAATTATGCAGGTGAACTCCTTAATACAAAAACTGGGAATTATTAATTATAATGAAATAAGGGTTAACACTGATAACTTGATACAGTAGACACTGTTCTCAACATTTGAAATGCATGATTCCATATTAATGCACAGTGGGGAAATACCATTATTATCCTTCTTTTACAGATTAAGAAACTGAGGCTTAGGGAGGTCAAGTAAATTGCCCAGGGTTACGCAGCCAGTAGACAGCAGAGCAAAGCTTTGAGCCCATGCAGTCCAAATCCCGCATATTTTTACTCTGCTGTGTTTTGTCTACCCTCAGCATCCTAGAATGGTAATACAACACAGGCTGACCACAGTAAACTATATGCAGTTCCCACAGCACAGAAGCAGGTACCTTCCCACCTTGGCAACTTTTACCCAGGGAATTCTCTGCCTGGGATAGCTTCGTCCCCTACCTCTGCAGCTTCATATTCACTCTCTAAGATTCAGCTTAAGTGTCACTTCTGGGAGGTTGCTACTATAAGAGCCTTCTGCCACTGACACGGTTAGATGCCCTTTCTATGGCTTAACATGCATGATGTATGCAATACAATGTGTGCAATAAAGGAATAAGTAGTCAAGTAGGCTACCTGGGAGTGCAAACAGTGAGGAGAATGTTGATATCTAGAACTACTGGAGTTTTATAAAGAAAAAGAAATCTACATTCACCTGACTGTGGTTAAATACCTTTGATGTTTTGAGCTACTGACTGCCTGATAATGTTCCTATTATTTACTACTTTACAAGCCACAGGGGCGTAAGCTGCATTGAGATAGGCATCCAGTACTTATTTATTAGGGCCTTTTGATAGTCCGTGGTTCTTTATTTCAAGCCTCATTTAATCACAACAAACAAAAAAATACTCACATTATTAAGGTAAGCTAGCTCACACTTGTAATTGAAGCAGGAGGATTGCTTGAGAACACGAGTTTGAGAACAGCTTGAGCAACACTGTGAGACCTCATCTCTACAATAAATTTAAAACTCAGCCAGGTGCAGTGGCATGTGCCTGTAGTCACAGCTACTCAGGAGACTGAGGTGGGAGAATCGCCTGAGCCCACGAGATTGAGGCTGCATTGAGCTATGATTGCACCACTGCACTCCAGCCTGGGCAACAGAGCGAGACGTTGTCTCCATAAATAAATAAATAAATAAATGTAAGCTAAAAGTTTTCTTCCTTTCCTGGTGTAAGAGGAAAGCAACCATATGGAGGTCTCTGGATAATAAATAACTCCTTCACCTTTTGCTTTTCTTGGCAAGCTTGTGAAATATTTATTGCATTTCTTTCCAAAGGCTTTAGAGTATCTTTCTCCTCCAGAGAATATTATTCTGTGACCTAATGCATGTCCCACCCTTGCCTACTTCAGCTGTGCTTCCATCTCCTGCCCCTTCACCTGACCCCTGTCTTTCAATGCTGCCTTTGGGTTAACTTCTTCTGACAATTTCTGTTGCCTTTCATTTAAGCTGTTACACTCCATATGGCTTCTCTTTCTTTGATGTGGCCCAGAATATATTACAAACCACAGAACACAAACTCTATGATGAAATAATTCACCAAAGATTTTCTGCACTATTTTACCCAAGGCAGAAGTTAGCACAAGTTAAAAAAAAAAAAATGAAGAGCATTTAGACAAAGAGAAGGAGAAGGAGAGACCTCCATCTGCACATCACTCTTATGTGTAAAAGAACCACATGGACAAATGCTAGTGCAAACAGCCATTGTGGATAAACTCAATGACAAAATCCAGCCAAGTCAATCACTGGTAGTCAGTGGGTCTGATTTGGGATTCAAATTTGAAATTCAATGGTAAATTGAACCAAAGCATATTAAAAAAATAAAAGATAAAAAAAAAGAATTTCAGAACTAAAAGTAAGTAGAACCAGAAAATGTTTTGAAGAAATTATTTACCCATTCCCACTCAATGTCCAAGGGCAGTTAAGCAGCTTCAAGAGAAACTGTCCATCTTCAGTCAAGCTAATTGGGTAACAATACAATGGAATTAAAAATTATTCAACAGCCTTTGTGTCAGATATTGGTATATGTCGAAAATGAAATGGATTACTCAGTTGAAGGTTAAAAGTTCTCCAGGTATTTGCAGATTTAGTTTTGCATACAGTAAAGTGAAAAAGAGGAGGGAAGGAGAGAGAGATAAGAGTGAGAGAGGGAAAGAGAAAGGAAGTGAGAATAAAGAAAGAAAAAACTAGACTACAGGCTTTCCAGAGATCTTGTTCAATTCAGGTTCTGCAGCTGAGCTGCAGAATATCCTTGAGCAAGAGTTCCAACATTTATGATCAAACTTGTTCATCAGTTAGGCAAGGCTAATTAGGACCATTCACCTTCCCTACCTAAAAAGCATAGTTCATATTAATTAACTTGGACATTTGAACAGCCTGTGCTCTGCACTAGAAAAGGTGAAAGGATATTTCATGGTTGTTTAGCAATTATCTGTGAAATTATTTAAGTTGTCAGAAGAACCAATACATATCTGCCCCAGGAGACCTCCCACGCCATCACATCAGCCACATGTTTCTTGTTTGTAAGAGAAAAGCATTCCCTCTTCTCTCTCTCTCTCTTCCACTCTTTTATTCCTTGTCTCTTTTCTCTTAAATATTCTTGTCCTCTTTTATGAGA
Organism: Homo sapiens; assembly: GCF_000001405.40. Classification (NCBI taxonomy): domain Eukaryota; kingdom Metazoa; phylum Chordata; class Mammalia; order Primates; family Hominidae; genus Homo; species Homo sapiens. Next base: position 150,769,767 of record NC_000002.12, read on the forward strand.
CTGTCATGATCTTTTTTGCTGGACATTATCCTAAATCTTCTAAAGACTAAGCAACCAAGTCCGGTAAAAATTGTTCTCCACATTCTGTTCACCCCGCCCCAAGCCACTATAGGCACCTCATGTCTTTTTTCCCTTTTTGTGGGCTGACCCATATTTTCTAGTCATGTTGTATTAGCAAGGGAAAGAGTTAATGCCTGCATTCTCAGATCTTTTCTATTAATCCCATGAAACAGATTAACATAGATGTGTTTTTATATACCATTGGCATGTAATTCTGGACAATTGAAAAGAATAATTGAGGGTGACTTTCAAATAGTGTCTTATGTTGTTTTGTGTTTTACTAACACAGGGAAAAAACAAAGGATGCTAGAAGGTTATATTCTAAAATAAATATGTCAGGAAACTATTTCACAGGGATTAAGTTATTGTGTTGCTTTCTGACACCATTGTATTCTTTTCCCTCAAGAATTTGTGAAAAGTAGCCCCACTATGACTTGCAAACATGCTGCTTTCCTTGACTTTTGGATAGCTCCTAAGATTTGTTTTTTTTAAAGGTTAGGTTATACATCAAAAGTGTACTACAAAGTTATTGGCTTGATCTTTGAACCAGTACAGGTTATCTGGGATCTAATTCATAATTTGTAAGTAATATATAAAACAAGTTGAGAGAAATAGGGGGAAAAAAGAAAGAAAAAGAAAACTTTGCAAAAAGCACTACTTAAAAAAAGTTTTATGTAAAGTTTTCAAATATTGCTAATTAACTGAAGGCATTTTAGAGTAGGCCAACTGTAGCCACAGAAGGTAGTTTTAGAAAGTAAGTTCAAAGAAATCTGAAAATTATTTAAGCTTTACATCTAGAGATGGAATTCCTTTAAAATGTTACTAGAATTCATTCACCAGGTTTATTCTGTTATCTAATTTTTCATTATAAAAATAAACATAAATTTACCTGTTAGTCAACATTTAATTATGAATTTGGCTCCTTTATACCAGGTACTATAGTAGCTGCTGGGAATAAGCTAAAAGATCATCTTTTACCACAGGAGTTATGTTTAGCCAGGGTGAAAGACAATCACCTGAGCACTTTTAGGGCTCTCACAACAGATAAATGTAATTTTTGTGATAATCCAACTCACAAAATGTATACTTGAAAATTATGATTCATTGGAGTTAGAGAACTTTCACATCATCCAAAACATCCAAATTAGCAACAGTTGCTTGTGAGCTGGCAGACATTCTGCTCTGGTTATTAGTTGGGAGAACTCTATTGATGGACATTCAGATGTGCAAACAATCCGAAACCCCCCACAATAACATCCGCACTTGGAGGAACTCTGGCTCTTACTGTAGACTTTACTGTAATTGTAGCAGTTACAGTCATGTGGTTAAGGGGAAAAACTGGCAGAATTCCGCATAGCATTTGTAGCCCCATCAATCTGAAATAAGAGAATTTTTCAACCACATTGCTGCTAATTTCTAACCTGCCCACACCGGGTATAATAGTCCAATGTTAAATCTAAGTAACATACTTGGAGTTATTAATACCAGCTTTGACTTCAACCAATATAATGACTTGAGATTATTGTTGATGTTTCTTGAAATGGAAAAAATATTAATTAAGTCAGGTGGCAGACACACAAATGTGCTATTATGTTTCCATAAAACATATTTCCATGGACCATATTATAAATACCTAACAGGCAAGCTGTAACTTTAATCTTATATATAAAGCTAATTATGAAATTGTAAATTAAAAAATAATGATTAGCAATCCGTTATGCATTAACTATGCAAAGCTATGTCCGTTAAATCTGATATATTTTACTCCTAGGAAAGTTCTCATCAGATTCCATTAACTCTTATTTTAGAAATTTCTAACAAGTTTAGGTAACTAGTTTACTGCCCAAGAGCAAAATGTAAGTAATAAGCTTGATATAAGCAGGATCTGATTTTGAGACAAGCACATTAATGGCAGCAAATTGCAATGAAATAAAGAGGAATGTGAGAGAAGAAAAAAAAGCTTTGGAAAGCAGAAATCAGAACTCCAAAAGTAAACTAGTTTTTCGCCATTAGGGAGAAAGGTAAACAACTTTTTACATTTCATTAGCCTCTGAGGACAAATGATCATAAAATAATAATCACCAAAATGGTTAAATACAGTAATATATTGTGAAATTCATTTTTAAAGAATTTAAGAAAGTAAACATTGGTTAATAATTTGAGAAAAGTATGTTTTCATTGTTAATAAATTGTGCTTATGCAAAATACTTTGTTTTCTACTAATGAACATCTTCCTGTAAAAGAAAACCCATTAGATTAGAAATAAAAAGGAATCTCTTTAAAGACCATTTATGTCTTCAATTACAAAGTACTTATTAATTGAACCTCAGTTTATCTCTGTGTTATTTAGCACTTTTTAATTTCCACCTAGTATCACAATTATTAATATTTGTTTAGGATTGTCCTGTTAGATCATTAGCTACTTGAAGATAGAGAGTGGATATCAGACACCTGAATTCATCTTTGTATCATATGCTCTCCTTCCTCACTCTGCAAGGCCTAAAAGGTAGAAAGTGCTCAATAAATGAAGAAAAATAACTTGTAATGCCCACATCTACATCCTCTATTCTTTTAATGACAATACATAATAGTATCAAAACTTAAATTTGGATAACACTGTAAAAGGTACATTTATATGAAGAAATCATTCAATATGATTTGAACTCAAATAAAATTAACAGAAAGGTTAGTCAAATGAGTGAATGAATGAAAGTATGAATTATTGAATATTCTTCAAAAATTACAGATAAGCAGAAACTATTGTTGCCTATTAATAAATTTCCAGAATGTGTGGGTTGAAATTATTTATTATATCAATTACATATTATAGTAATTTTACATTAGGTAGATTACAATTTGCATTTTTTTGTTGAAGAAAAGCTTAAAATTAAAACAAAGCTTTACTTTAAAATGCCCCCTTGGAACACTTATACACTGTTGGTGGGAATGTAAATTGGTTGAGCCACTGTAGAAAGCAAATGGAAGATTTCTCAAAGAACTTAGAACTATCATTGGAATGAGCAATCCCATTACACAAAGGAATATAGATCATTATACCAAAAAGACACATCCATGTGTATGTTCATTGCCATGCTATATCCAATAGCAAGGACATGGAATCAACCTAGGTGTCCATCAGTGGTGAACTGGATAAAGAAAATGTGGTACATATACACCATAGAATACTACAAAACCACAGAAAAGAATGAAATCATGTCCTTAGCAACAACATGGATGGAGCTGGAGGCCATAATCCTAAGCGAATTAATACAGGAACAGAAACCCACATACTGCGTGTTATCACTTACAAGTGGGAGCTCAACTTTGAGCACACATGGAAATAAACATGGGAACAATAAACACTGGGAACTACTACAGAGGGGAGGGAGGGAGGCAAGGGGTTAAAAAACTACCTATTGGATACTATATTCACTACCTGGGCCCAATATACCCATGTAACAATCCTACACATGTATTCCTTGTATCTAAAATAAAAGCTGAAACAAAAAAAGAAGAAGAAAAAAGAAAGAAAGAAAGAAAAAATGCCTCCTACTAAGTCTTCTTGCATTTCTAATTAATGAGATCTAAAACAAGAGGTTTTACACTACATATTTCAATAACCATGAATCTCGGTTCTCCTAAGCAATTTCTTTTTATTATGATATATTTTATTTTCAAGACAGTTTGTTAAACAGGATTTAATTTTTAACCTTTGATAGACACATATAAATGTGTCTATTAAATTCCAATCATATAATAGTATTTTTATTTTGAAAAATATTTTCACTATGTCTATATAATATTCATGCTCAGGTTAGGGCTCAATCTCAAGACATTTAGCAGGGTTTAGGATTTATTCAAGAATAAATCAGCAGTTGAGCATCATTATTTTCATTAAAGTAGTCAAAATTTTTCTGATTAATTATACTCTTTTTATACTTATAATAAACACTATAAAGAGAGAGTAGAATTTAGTTAATCAGATAATGCCATATGACTGCAATCTGCAACCTTGATATCTAGGTGTACCTTTTGGGTAATAGAGAGTGAAATCATCTCTTAGTGACAACAGCTAAATTATCAGAATTCAGCTGCACAAGAAGAAGAATTGGTTTCCCATGTATAACAGGAAGTTCTTTCATATCTAAGCAGGGACTACTGGTAAACATAACAAGTATTCTAGCATAACTCTTGGAGGAAAGAAGATAGCAAAAGGCAGATGTGCAAAAGGAAAGAAGATAGCAAAAGAAGATGTGCAAAAGGCAGAGAGCTGAGTCATTTTGATAAGCAAATGCTCAATCACCTGTTAATATTGTTTTGCTTGTTAAATCCATTAAGCTCTTTTATTAATGTAAGAAGATGGGTGATCCTGTTTTGAATAGAGGATTATTTGAACAAGGCAGGAAATAATCCATTCACCCATTCATTTAATATGGAGTACATAAAAAGTGCCAATCACTGTGCCAGAAGCAGAAAATAGAAATAAGAAAATGACTTTCTTTCCCCTAAAACTGCATTGTTGTCCATAAAATACATAATTGATAAGCTGGACTTCATTAAAATTAAAAACCTCTGCTCTGTGAAAGATAATGAGAAGACAAGCCACAGACTGAGAGAAAATATTTACAAAGGCACATCTAACAAAGAACTGTTATTCAAAACATAGAGAGAACCCCTAAAACTCAACAGTAAGAAATCAAACACCCCAATTTAAAAATGAGCAAAAGACCAGAACAGACACCTTGCTGATGAAGATATATGATGGCAAATAAACATATGAAAAGATGCTCAACATCATATGTCATTATGAAATTGCAAATTGAAACAATAAGCTACCACTGCACACCTATTAGAATTGCCAAAATCTAAAACATCAAATGCTGGCGAGGATGGTGGAGCAACAGGAGTTCTCATTCATTGCTGGTAGGAACGTAAAAGGGTATAGCTATTTTGGAAGACAGTTTGGCAATTTCTTACAGAACTAAATATATTCTTACTATACAACCTGGCAAATCGCTCTCCTTGGTATTCTCAAATGAGTTGAAAACTGGTATCCACACAAACAAAACCTGCACATGAATGTTTATAGCAGCTTTATTCATAACTGCCAAAACTTGGATTCAACCAAGATGTCCTTCAGTAGGTGAATGGATAAATAAACTGTGGTGTATCCAGATCATGGAGTATTATTCATCATGAAATGAACTATCAAACATGAAAAGACATGGAGGAAACTTAAATGCATATTATTAAGTAAAAGAAGTCAATCTGAAAAAGTTACATACTCTGTAATTCAAACTATCCTGACATCTGGAAAAAGAAAAAACTATGGAGACAGTAAAAAGATTAGTGGTTGCCTGAGGATGGAGGCAGAACACAGATAGTTTCTAAGTCAGCAAAACTACTCAGTATGATACTACAATTGTAGATACGTGTCGGTTTTCATTTGTTCAAACTCAGAATGTACATCTAGAATGAGCCCTATGGTAAACTGATGGACTTTAGGTGATGATATATTGAAGTAGGTTCATCAGTTGTAACAAATGTATCTCTGTGGTGTGAGATGTTGACAGCAGAGGAGGTTGTGCATGTGGGGGAGAAGGGCAGGGTATATGGGAACTCTGTACTTTCCACTCAATTTCACTGTAAACCTAAAACTGATTAAAAAAATAAAGCCTTAAAAAGACTGCGTTATCTACTAAGAAATGCAGACAAATAATCAAATGATGACATTATGGCATCTCAAATGTTATAAAGAAGACACGTCTACATGGGAAGATACCTTGGGAGCACAGAGCGGTGACAGAACATTCGAGCTGGAAAGAAGAAAAAAGGAATGTCAAGGAGGCATATCTCTGCTTATTTCCAAACTCCAAACAGGAAAATAATTCAAATGTATTCTACGCTTCTGCAAGAAAAGGAGAGAGAAAAACTGGGCAGAATTCTCTTTAAAGAGAAGGGAAATAGGTATTTCTTTTGGCAATGAGGTAGCTAAAAGTGAGTGACACAACAGGAAGTTGAGAAGGAAGAAAGACTGATGTGGGGAACAGAGGGAAGCTGAAGACACTGACCAACTCCACTAAAAGCAAGGTACAGACATCTGCAAACCGTTTCATTCTAAATATTTTCTCTAGATAGTACTTCAGAAATTTCATGGAAGAGGCATAGTACCAAGGTACAGAGTGAGCATAAAACTCTTTACTAACTCTAGGCCCAAGGAAGTACAGTTTCTCAATCAGCAGAGTGTGTAATCAAAGGTTCGCGTAGACATTTTCATCACAGAGTTGTGAATAAATTCTGCTACTGAGTCACAATATTGTTCAATTGACACAAGGGGTTTTAAGAATATTCTAAAAGATGTATTTAAAAAACCTATATTAATTTATTACCATTTGTATTAATAAACTGGTAGCTTCAAGTACCCGATATTTTTTAATTAGTAAATTAATATTCTGCAGCTAAGATAAAGCAATTGTTGAAAGGATTTATATTCCACATTATTCTTAAAAATATTTAAGCTGGATTGGCTGGGTGCAGTGGCTCATCCCTGTAATCCCAGCACTTTGGGAGGCTGAGGCGGGTGGATGATGAGGTCAGGAGTTTGACACCAGCCTGGCCAATATGGTGAAACCCCGTCTCTACTAAAAATACAAAAATTAGCCGGGCATGATGGTGCACGCCTGTAGTCCCAGCTACTCAGGAGGCTGAGGCAGAAGAATGATTTGAACCCAGGAGGTGGAGGTTGTAGTGAGTCCAGATTGCGCCACGGCAACAGAGTGAGACTCTGTTTCAAAAAAAAAAAAAGAAGGAAAAAAAAGAAGCTGGATTATATAATCACAAAAATATGTTGTATATGAGAAAAAGAGAGGCAATTTTTTAAAGGGAAAATAAATATGAGGATGTATTAATAGTAGGAAAACATGGATTAGGCTAATATAAAAATGCCTACCATAAAATCCTATGAGAAGAATAGACTACACACGTGGCAAATCTCTTCCTAAACTGACAAGAAAAAGGGCATTTGGTCATTTACACAATTCATGATGTCATTAAGGAAAATCAAACCAATTTCCAAGGAAATGCTATCTAGAAATAAAACCTACCCAACGGTCACAATTTTTCTACGTTTGAGAGAGATGATAAACCGAAAAAGCTCAATGAATCCCAAGGACAAAAAACGTGAAACATTCACACTAACGGATGTCATAATGAAATCCATCAAATCAGTGATAAAGAGAAAATCTTAAAAGCAGCCAGAGAATAAAGACACATTACATGAAGAAGAAAGATAAGGATGAAAGATTTCTCATCAAAAACAATGAAAGTAAGAAGACAGAAGACCAACATTTTAAAGTACTAAAAGAGAAGCTTGTCAACCAATAATTTTATATTCAATGAAATTTTTTTTAATGGAAGTGCTGAGAGATTCAATCACCAGCATACTACCCATAAGAAATGCTAAATGAAGCCCTTTAGGCAGAAGGAAAATGATACCAGATTAAAATGTGGAGATATATAGATATATGATTTTTAATTATTATTTAAATATTTTATTAAAATATAGATATATAATTTTTATTATTTAAAGCTCATTGATAGTTTACAAAAATAATGATATGTAGGGCTTATACCATATAATTCACATATAAGTGAATTATATGACAACAATAGCATATAGTTCAGAACGGGAAAAACAGAAATATATTGTTGTAAGGTGAAGCAGTACAATGCCAATTTAAAGTAGACTGCAATAGCTTAAAATGTATACTCTAAACACAAAAGCAAAAGGTAAAATAACAAAACAGTTACAGCTAATAAGACAACAAAAAGATAAAATGAAATCATGTTTTGAAATCCTCAGTTATTCAAAAGAAAATAGAAAAAGAGAAAAAAGGGAACATAAAAACAGATGGCATACACGGAAAACAAATAACAAGATGGTAGGTTGAAGCCTGACCATGTCAGCAATCATATTAATTGTAAATACAAGTGAGAGAATGACGTACTGGACAAAAATGCAAGACCAACTATTTGCTGTCTACAGAAAACTTTTGTGTTTTTTTTTTTTTTGAGACAGGGTCTCACTCTGTAGCCCAGGCTAAGGTGCAGCGGCTTGATCACAGCTCACTGCAGCCTTGACCCCCTGGGCTGAGGTGATCCTCCCATCTCAACTTCCTGGGTAGCTGAGACTACAGTTGTGCGCTACCATGCCCAGCTAATTTTTGTATTTTTTGTAGAGACAGGGTTTTGCTATGTTGTCCAGACTGGTCTCCAACTCCAGGGCTCAAGTGATCCACTAGGATTATAGGCATGAGCCACCACGGATAGCCAGCAAACCATTTTTAAATATAAAGATACAAATATATTAAAAGTGAAGAGATTTTTTTAACATGCTAACACTAATCAAAAGAAAAATGGAATGACTATATTGATATCCAAAATAGATCTCAGAGCATAGAATATTAGCAGGGCTAAAGAAAGTCATTTCATAATGATAAAGGGGTCAATCAAGCAAACATAAGAATCTTAAACATATATACATTTAATAGAAGAGCTTCAAAACACATAAAACAAAAAATGATAGAACTGCAAGGAGAAATAAACAAATCCAACATTTTAGTCAGACATTTCCACTCTTTCAATAATTGACAGAATAAGCATAATGAAAGACAATGAGAACACACAGGACTTGAACAACACTGTCAAACTTGATCCCACTGACATTTGTAAAGCACTGTGCCCAACATTGGCAGAATACACATTCTTTTCAAGTGTACACAGAACATGTATTAAGAGAGACCATATTCTAGGTTGAAGAGAGTTACATTTCTCTGCCTATTAAAGCGAGTCAATTATTTGTGTATATTGGTGGGGACAGAAAAAGAGGACAAAAGGACATGGAAGGAAGTCAGAGGTCAGAGCCTGATTTGTAAAATATAGCCAAGGGACTTTCTAAGGGCAGAAAAATGTAATATGCAATTTTAAGTTATCTGTGTCGTAAATGCTGTTCCCCTTTTACATTTGGTGTGTAACCCCAAATCTCAGTGAATGTCTTCTGTTCCCAGCTGCCTCCTGTGAATAGTCTGAGGAGAAGGAGAACACAGAATAAAGGAGGAAATGCTCCCACATTTGACTTGAAGCCAGGCCAGAGATAAAGGAGCAGCCTCAAGACTTAGAGTAATGAGAATTCAACAAAAGCAGGAAACTGGAGTCAGAGGTGACTAGCACAGATATATTTGCAGAAATCCTGAGGGCATCGGACTTGCCATAAAACACAGTGGCAGGGTTTGAGCTGACCTTATCCTGATGCTTGAAGCAAGGTGACCCCAGGGAACATGTGTGTTACATTTTTTTCTCTCCTCACAAGTCACCATAAGAGAAAAGAAGCAGTATAGATCTATTTCTCCACTGTTAAAAATGATACCAAATCCTTCCACTTACAAAGGAAAAGTGGCTACAAAAGTTTATTTTAAAATATTATTTCCATGACACACCTATCACCCCACTGAATTTGAGCATAGTATCAAAAGCATAGCAATAAGTTGGAACCAACAAAGACATAAAAATGAGAAAAAAAAAAACTAGAATATCCTCAGGGTAGGAGATCAGACATATAAACAGGCACGTATTCTCAGAGTGCCTCCAGCTACTTGTGTTTCTGTGCCCCCACACATTTTTAACATTTTTCAACTGACAGCATATAGGAATAGGGAAATGCAAATCAAATCCCCTTTTTGTTTTACTGATATAGGCAGAGGATAAAATAAATCATGAGCTTTCAGCAAGCTGTAGTATATTTGGACTCTGTTTCCAAAAATCTTCCATAGCAGAGGAGGGCTCAGGACCTCGGTCACCTATGGGAATTCAAGGAGGATATTTGACAGGATTCTCTCAATTTGAATTTTTGAGAGTCATGGAATCTTAGTACCACTTGTCAGTTCCCATTTGTCCGAACCTTTCTGAGAGTTAAAAAGGACCTGGTCGCACTGCTTGGACCACAAGGCTGCCATGCAAGGAACATCTGAAGCCCCACGCCACCCACAAGCAGCAACTGCAATGGGACAGAGGTGGGAGTGAAACTCAGGTCCTAGAGCAGAGAGGATCTTCTCACGGTCTGAAGTCAGTATGTTAAACTGCTTGATGTAGCTGTCTGTTTACTTATCCATATTCCCCGGATATTATTCCATGAGGGTGGTAAAATTGTCTAGATTATCACCTAGACATTTGAGACTCTCCTACTTAGCACAAGAAGGTGCTTATTAGTTGTAGAATTTGATTCTTGTTGAATTCAAAGAGTGTGAACAAGCCTGGAATGGGAAAAATTAAAAAAGTTGTCATCATGGCTACGGTAGGAGCTTTAGCCACCAAGTGGTAATAAAGCAAGTAGCCCTCTGAGAGCTGGTGTGATTCCTCCCAGCTATCAAAGCAGGGCAGTCCCTTAGATGCAAGTGGCATGTGGGTTAATTACCCAAAGAGGATAGTTAATGTTATGGAGACTTAGGGAATATATTTGTGGTTTTTTTTTTTAAAGTGTAGAATGTAACAAAATTCAAACTCTAGGCCAACCTGAGAAGTAAGGAAACAATTGTACAAATGATCTCCTTCCTCTGTCTGTGCCTTTTCAGCATCATTTCCAGCACAGAGCTCCTTTTTCCCTGCTTTGCCACAGTCCACATCCTCTCTATTCCTCTACCTTCATCTGAATAAATCAGCTCCTGGTAACCAGAACATGAGTAACACTAAACATCTCCTATTTTAGAAAATGGCAATTTGGTAAATATATTTTTACCAGGATGTCATGACTGCTAAGAAGTTTGTGTGTTAACCTTCTTAGGCATATTTGCATTTGTGCCAGAATAAGTCACATGTTAAAAAGAATTCACGAAAATGGGGATATTTGAGAAATCAATGAACCTGGATTTTTTAAAAGATGAAAGCAATATAACAGGAATTATAATCCAGCATGGAAAGAATAATTTGTTTTCATTTAAACTAAAGTGGGGGACAATAATTTGTTTTATTTGTAATACCCCTTCTACTGGCCTTCAGTTGTTTCATTTAGAAAAGTATTTGCAGTAGAGTAGCAAATAATTCAAATTGTATACTTATAAGATCACTTGAGAATTTTACTTCATCTTTAAGAAAACTGCACATAATTTTGCTTATTTGTGCTTCTTTATTAGACTTTAACAGAGGATATAAATCATACTGTGTCTTGTAAAAAGACTAAAACAGGCATTATAGAGGATTTACAGTTTCCCCTTTGACTTCAATTGTGCCTCTTCTTTTTTTCTTCTCTCCTCCCACACTTTGTTGTTGTTGTTGTTGTTGTTATTGTTTTCTGCTACCTCACCTACCCCTGATACTTGACTAACTGATAAATGGCAAGGCTTGCAAGAACGGCACTCAGAAAGTACTACTCTGACAGCTATCCAATGGGATTACATCAACAATCCTGAGCCGGAAGCAAGAAAACCAGAACGTCGGTAAATTTCACAGCAATTAAAGATGAAAGCCACTACCTCAGCCAAACCACAAAAATACATACTCCCCTCTTCTCCTTACCCTGTAAAACTTCAACCCTGCTTCAACTCACAGTTGCCTGGTCTTCAGGTTTTCCCTGGTGTGTATCAGCTGAATGAAGTCTTTAAGTTCTATTTGAGTTTGTTTGTTTGTTTGTTGAGATGGAGTCTCGCTCTGTCGCCCAGGCCGGAGTGCAGTGGCGCGATCTCTGCTCACTGCAACCTCTACCTCCCAGGTTCAAGCAATTCTCCTGCATCAGCCTCCTGAGTAGCTGGGATTACAGGCACGGGCCAACACCCCTGGCTAATTTTGGTATTTTTCGTAGAGACGGGATTTCACCATGTTGGTCAGGCTGGTCTCGAAACCCTGACCTTGTGATCCGCCCACCTCGGCCTCCCAAAGTGCTGGGATTACAGGCGTGAGCCACCACACCCAGCCTATTTGAGTTATTTAATGCATTTTGTTTCATAGTCTTAATGCAAATGTTAACATTCAAATATAAACTTCTGTGTATTGCATAATATAAAGTCATATATACACATATATAGGTGTGTATGTATGTATTTGTATATAAACTCACATGTATATGCATATGCCTATTGCAGATTTTACCAAAGACATCCTCCAGTGCATTACTAATCAGGGTCAAGATGTCAGGCAGGGCTGCATAGGAGCTGGATTAAGGTTGTATGGCTACATATGAACAGGTAGTAGATGAGTTTCTCCCCTTTTCAACTTCTCTCCTACCTGTGATTCGTCTTTTTACAGTTTCCTTAACTTTTCAATCTAAGATTGTATCAAAAAATAGTTTGTCCTGGATTATTTAAGAACATTTATTAACCATTTGCAGACATAAGAGATCTATAAAACTTTCTTCCTGGAAGAGAGCAGACATCAATCTGCTTATTTTCGAGCTGTGATCGTTTATCAAGTCTGCTCCTGTGACATCTTTTTCCAGCTTTATTGAGGTATAATTGACAAATAAAACTGTATAAATTTAAGATGTAAAATGTGATGATTTGATATACATATATATTGTGAAATTATTACTACAGACAACTTAGTTCACACATCCATTACCTCACATAAGTATATGTGTGTGGTGAGAACATTTAATATCTACTCTCTTAGCAAATGTCAATACAATACAGTATTAACTATAGTTATCATGCTGTACATTACACCCCAGAAATTATGCCTTTTATAACTGAAAGTTTGTACTCTTTGACCAACATCTCCCCATTAGAACATGATTTTTTATTTATTAAAATTGCCTATTTTATTTTGATAAATCCACAGATTCTTAAGAGTTGCAAAGGAGACTTTGAAAGTCAGCCCTCATGCAGCGAGACTTCCCACATACATGCATAGCAGAAACATACACATACCTAGTGATAATAGCACTTATATTGCAGAACTTGTTTTACAATTTGCAACGCATACACATATGCAGGCTTTCTAGTGGAATATGAACATACACAGACATAAAGCCATCTGGTCTCTCCTTAAATACTACTCACAAGTAGTATTACATCATGGGGGGCTCATTACATTCAAGGCAGTCTACTCATTCTTTTAGTCTTGGAGATTCTAACAGAAATCATGCCAGCCAGTGAGAGAAAATTCGGTTCTTTGATATGGATAGCTGAACCTCAATATTTCCAATCTCTCACCTACACAACTGCAGGAAGTCCAATTTTCATAGAAAACTCCTGACAGTCTTCAGAGGTGCTTGTGTACAGCGGTCCTTGCTCCCCACACTAGCCAACCTGCCTGGGATGTTTCCATAGCAACCCCAGTCTCAAATTCAGCCCCATCACTGTTATCCTTGGAACTGGATGCCCTCCCTGGAATCTCAATCTGGAAACATGTGTCTTTCTTGTAGGAAACAGTCCTCTGTGTTATCTCAGTCTCTCAGCCAGCCTGTGCCAAAATTGTTAAGGCAGGATGGGTCTTTCGATTCACACACGTTCATTTTCTCCTAAGGGCAAAACACACAGCCAGAATGGCTGGGTCAAGATAAGATACAAGATTAACCACAACCAGGTAACTAAAACTATCATTGCCTTCCAGCATGCAGACCCGATTACTGAGTCTAGGCCACACTTTATCTTTCTTATGATGAGTTCCCTCTCAGGGCCACCTTTGTCTTTTCTTTCAATCTGACTTTGATAGGGCCTCTCCTGAGTGTAATACTTTTAAAAATATATTTGAAACCAAGTTTTGGACAGTATTGATCTCTCTATCATCCCACCCACATGAGCCTCCACCCACAAGCCAAAACTTAAACGCCTTTGAAAGTCATCACTCATTTATGCAGTGAGATTATGCAGTAAGTGTAAATCGATGAACAATTGAATACTCAGGAAAATGATTGCTGCCTGCGTACTCACCAGATATCTCAGTTTCTGGCAGGTCATGACTCCCTTTTCTATTTCTTCTAAGAAAAATATCTACATCTTATTACCTCTTGCCCTTCATTTAAGTTTTGCCCTCTGGAAAATACTTTCTCCTCATAAAATTCCATTCAGACACCACTATTTTCCAGTCTAAATATACTATTTCATTCCCATTTCTCACAGGCCACAACCCCAAGATCACTAATACGCCCTATAAAATTTAATTGCTCCAGCCACTGCCCAACTTCAACAGGACATACTTGGATGTCCTGCGTCCCTTATTCTGGGTACCATTTGCTTCGAAAAGTCCTAAAATTGATGTTTGCCTATTGTGTAATACTAGATAGGTACTGAGCTAATAATTTAAAAATTAACAAAGGTTAAGTTCACCCTAAACATGGCTCTATTCAGGGTCAACAAGAATCTTCACGTTGCTAGTGATCAGACCCAACACTCACATGACTATCTCCATGAACAGCTATCTCAAATTTCACATGTTCCAAACTGAAACTCTATTATTCTTCCATTAACCTGGCCCACTTACACTCGTCCTCAAAGTTTCTCAGTTATTAATATCCTCCTTACAATTGCTCAGGCCAAAAGCCTTATTGTTATTCTTGAATACTTTCTTCACATTCCCTATCTAATTCATCAGCAAATTCAGTAAGCTCTTCCTTCAAACTATACCCAGAATTTCTGCAAGCCCATCTCAAGCCTCCCTTCAGCACCACTCTGATTCATACCACAGCCATCTCTCACCTGGCTCAATACAATAGATCCTAGCTGGTCTCCTTGCTAGTCAACACAGCAGCAAAAATGATCCTGTTAAAACACAAGCCAGCTCATGGTTCTCGTCTCAGTGTCCTCTGACAGCTTGGCAGTTCTTTCAGAATAAAAGCCGGTCTTTACAATGGCCTGCCAAGCCCTACAAGGTCCACCTTCTCCTTCCCTTACCATGCTTCAGCCATGCTGGTCTCCTCGTGTCTTTGAACCATACCAGGCACATTCAGGCCCAGTTCCCCTGGAATGTTTTCCCCAAAGACACACATACTCTGCTCCCTCGCCTCCTTCAAGTCCATATTCAAATGTTGTCTTGTTAAAAAAAGAGCTGGAGTTCTTTTTTTCTTAGAACTACTAGCTCTAAGAACTATTTCCAGGAAAAGACAGAAATCTATTGATTTTATTCTATATAACCTGTCAAAATGTTTCAACATTTCAGAATGAGAAATACATTTTTAAAAGAATATTTTAGAATTTCAATTTTAGAGTGAAATAACCCAAAGCAGGTTTGCTTTCTCTCTTTTGATTGTTGTGATGGCCTTACAGTTCCCTAGTCTAATAGCATACGTCTTTTCTAAAATGCTCTTAGGTGATTTGATTGGGCAAGATTTCCTCATCAGGTGCCCCACGTGCACCCATGGAAGGTCCCCCCTCTTCTAGTGGGTGCCTGAGTTCCCACCTCAAGACCTGAATGTACACTAGTCCCTCCAATGAGACCACTGCTACTCCACACCAAGACGGCTGAAATTCTACACATACACTGTGGCCCAGATAGATGCTCCCTGTTCCATGAATTCTTCTCTGATCTCTCTTGCAAAAAGCCACCTCTTCTTCCTGGGAAACCAGAGCATTGATTTGCACTCATTCTTGCATTCATTCTTGTATACAACCTTTTTATGTGACTTGTGTCCCTTAAACAGGTATTCTAATTTAATTTAGGAGTATAATTATAATCTTACTAGGTATTTATAAACTTGAGATTATAAACTGCATTTTACTTGCTACTTTATTGGCCTAACATAAAATGAGAATTCAATAAAATGGTTATTGAATAATTAGATAAAAATGGAATAAGTAATAAGCAAATTAAGATAGGGTCTTAAACTGCTCTTTTTAAATAGTCATTGTTTTTCTTAATTAGGCGCATTTAAATAAGAGTGTCATTGTAATTTTTTTTTTTTTTTTCTTGAGACAGAGTCTCACTGTGTCACCCAGGCTGGAGTGCAGTGGCCCAGTCTCGGCTCACTGCAATCTCCACCTCTCCGGTTCAAGCAATTCTCCTGCCTCAGCCTCCTGAGTAGCTAGGATTACAGGCACATGCCACCATACCCAGCTAATTTTTGTATTTTCAGTAGAGATGGTGTTTTGCCATATTGGCCAGGCTGGTCTCAAACCCCTGACCTCAGGTGATCCACCTGCCTCGGCCTCCCAAAGTGCTGGGATTACAGGTATGAGCCACCGCGCCTGGCTGTAATCTTAATAATATCAGTGACAGTAGTATTTAAATTGCCACCAATAATTTTGATGTCATTATTTAAAATATGTTTTTTATTATTAAAAATGCCTACTACTAATATTTTCCTTGGCTTTCTATCTTCAAGTATGGTTGTGTTTACATAAAATACATGGTATATAAAGTATATATTTGTCTGCATATATTGGATATGCATTTATATGTATAAATATTTAACAATGCATCCTCTTAGCAAAGGAAAATGTACATATGTACAAGTTGCATTTTCTATGTAGGCTTGTGTGTTTGTGTTTGTGTAAGCATCACATAACATTTCAAGTAGGACTATTGATCAAAGATGATAGTAACTAATAGAAAGGCCCTAGGCATTTCTAAGGACTAGAATACTTTGAAGTATTCCAGAAAGAACATATTGACCTCTTTTGGGAAAAGGATTATGTGCAGCAATCAGACATGACTATCTAATGTTGAAGATCAAAGGGTATTGACTGAAATCTGCAGTTGCCATAGCTATTGAGCCCTGTGAATTTACTATAGTTCTCTTATTACAAGCACAAGATCTATAGTTAAGACCTGCTCTATTGACGAGACGGGTTATCTGTTCACTAAATCTAGGAGTTTACCAGAATGATTTTCAGCCCACGTTGTTTTGCTAAATTGAATCTGATTCAGTGAAATTAAAATGTTCTCAAGGCACACATTCATAATCTACTCTAACTCTATCAATCTTTTTAAGATGTGCAAAATATCCTAACCACAACTCTAGTCTTAGAGGATAAGATGCTTATGGCATATTTTTATATGGGGCAGGCTCTCAATGGGCTGCAATGCGTGAAACGGAGATTCAGTCACAAGGATGACAAAGTAGCACCAAGCCAGCAGGTCTCAAAATGCTCCTCACAAAATAGCTTAATGCCTTTTCCCTGGTGACACCATGTGGATCCCAAAATCTCAATCATCAAAGCACGCCTGGTTATCTAAAGCTACTTTCTGAAACCTTCCTTCAAATAAGGATTTTAAAACATAATCCGACCTTTGGCTGACTTCTCTAAAATTGACCTTGTTCTCAATTTCTTACTGTGAAGCAGGTTCACCATGTACTGGTTACCCACTTAGAAGAGTCCAGTGAGAGACAGAACACTCACAAACAAGTTATATAAAGCAGGTTGATTACTACAGATAGACAGCAAGGGACAAAAGGAGCCTAGGATCCATTGTCAGCCAGTCTTCCAAGGCTCAAAAAGCTGCAGGGGCAGAAGTAGTCTTGACTGCACATGCTCTTCTTGCACCACAGCTGAAGGAGGCCAAAAAGCAGCCTGCCTTGGGTGAGTTATCTCAGGAGCAATGTGACCCACTGGGGAAAGCTTTGAAGGGCATATTGTGTCCAGAGGAGGGAGGAACAAAGTCCAGGCTGTCCAGAATAGTTCCTCCCTAACTCAAGGTGTTATGTTTCCTGGGAGGAATGGGAACAAGGCTTGGGCTGTTTCAGGCAAGTTCTCCCTGTCTCAGAATGTTGCAGTCCCAGCACATTCTGCAGACATTCTTGAGAACTACAAGCAAGAGAAGTGGAGAGAACTGGGCTTGTCCAAGGCCATCAGAGAACTGTCCGGCACTTATTCTATTATTCTAAAAAAATCCCATTTATTCATCTAATTACTGAATAGATATTTGCCTGTTTGGCCACTACTACCAATGAAGTATTTTCATAACTAAATGGGGTGATTGGCAATGAGGGAAAATGGGGAAAAAGCCAGTCAGGAAGTGTTCAGCTACTTTACACTCAGATCTAAAAGGATGTTGTGCGAGTAACTGGATTCTCTCCAGTTGTTATTTGCCTTGATGTTCATGAATGTGCCTTCTGTTGCTTCTGGAGGCCTTAGGGGAAATAATTTCCAAAACTCGTAATTTTGTTTATTATACTAGAAATAAAAAAATATGCACTGTGAGGAACACCACGCATACAGATGGAAGTCCAAAAGTGTGATATTGGCAGCCAGATTGCCTGGGTTTGAATTCCGGCTGAAGTCACTGAGCTTCAGTCTCCTCAACTGTAAAATAGAAAAAGTTACAGTTTCTACCTCGTAATGCCTTGTAAAATGTTAAGAAATTCATATAAACAAAGTACATGACACATAACAAGTGTTCAATGAAGTTAAGCTATTATTTTCAGGACACTATTTTGCTAAGAATTTTTTTTTAAGTAAGAGGAGGAAGAAAGGAAGAAAAAATTCTTGTGATTTCAAATATAATTTTTTTTAAATATAAGGAAGTTGCCTCTGGATTTATTTTACAATCCTTTACTCTGCTTTGATCAGACACTGCACTTTAAGTTTTGTTCTTAGAAAATATATTAATCTTTTGAAATATGTCACAGTTATTCTTCAGATCTTAATACAAATACTTCATAGCAATTAGATACAGTGACTGCTTATTCAAGTTCAGACCATTTAAGACAAACTAGAATATTGCATTACAGTTTATGGCAACTAATTACAGCAAAAGTTTATTCTAGTTCCTCAAAGGGGGGGTAAGTTTTCTGCTCTATTTTTTAAGCTTTTTACTGGAGTGCCATCTGCAGCCTTAAAAAAAAAAAACAAAACAGTAAAGTACTTTGGAAATCCAAGGCTGTGGTCCATGGCCATGGTTTCCATAGTAATAGTGGCCTAAATCCATACATCCCTAACTAGTTACACATATAATTATATGAAGTATAGCAGTAAGAAAGAAAGATGTTTTGCGTAATATGCAAAATCATCACACCTTCATTCTTTTGCCTCCAAGCATTCTCTCTGTTCATCAGTAAAGAAGAGAATGAGATAATAATATGTAGCCATGTGATAAACACCAGAGTCCGCTTAATATTTATTTTGTTCATAACTCAGTATCTGTGTCTGTTTAAAATACCAGGGGGTATAATCATCAAATTGAAATCAAGCTGGAAAAGTAACACATGGAAAAATTCTCTTTCCTCGGGCTAAGAGGATTCACCCACTTGCTCACTCACCCTCAAGTCAAGTACTCATAAAATGGTGACTATAATAAGTAAGGATGGATTGTATATTTCCAAATTGCTAAATTTGGAAATGAGCAGTAGATTTTAAATGTTTTTGCCACAAAAAAATGGTAAGTATGTGAGGTGATAGATTTGCTAACTAGCCTGATTTATCATTCCATTTTATATTGTAAATGTATGTCAACACTTCCTATTGTACTTCATAAATATATGCAATTATTATTTGTCAATTAAAAATGAAATTGAATAACAAAAAAGAAATTATTTTCTCTTGCTCTGGAGACCTACAACATAGCTTTCAAGCAATGCATTCTAGAATTTCCAGGGAAAATCCACTGTGTTCCTTCCCAAGGCCTTCTGTTGAGGTTTTGATCTACACCGCTTAGCTTTGCATCAAACCCAAGAAAAAGCCAAGCTAGAGTCTTTATTCCAAGCATACATACAGGAATCCAGAAAATACATGAAAAAATAAAGTTGCAATTGTGATATGTAGAAGTGGGCGCAAGCACTCTACTCTACTGAGAGTTGGTAGAGTTCTCAGCTGCTCTTATTCTGAGACAGCTTTGTTGTAATTTGGCAAGATTTAGGAATGTGGGAGTTTTTTCCTGTTGGTTCATGAACAATTTTTATCTGTCATAGAACAATAATTGTTGGCCAGAGTATTAAAGTTCAGAAGATAATTTAATAATGCAAAAGGAACAAAGTGAACTTGGAAAGCTGTGTTACTACTGCTCAGTCTCTTGCCCTGCAGAGAACTGATGTTATCAATAGTTTTATTATATAATCTTGCTGTAAGCAACAAATATACTATAATTTAGCTGGAGTTTCATCTAAAAAATAAAAATTGTTTAAAGAAGAAAACTATGGTGTAACTTCCAAATCTTCCAAATTAGCTACACTGGAAAAAAAAATTAATCTTCTCTTAGTTGCTATAATTTGAGTCTATGAGTCTAACTCATGAATAGCGTGAGGATGTTTTTATGTATTTTTCTGATAGATTAAAATGAAAAGTATTTGGGATCCAGGGGTTTTGTACACAGACGGGAACTTATCAGCAGATTACTTTTGAAGTATTTTGAATATTATGACTTCCCTAAAGTTGTCCCTCTTTTAATTCTAATTGCATAGATTTTAGTTATGCTTAAATGCTAGAGTCAAATTTAAATTTTTCCCCCCTGAAAATAGATTTGAAATTGTGGTGTAGGGACTCCAAAGACCCATAAATACCAGTGGAGTACCAAAGGAAAAAGCTTTGAAAGTGAATATTGCTAGCAAAATTTTTTTTACAATCTCTAATTCAAAAATATTTCTAGAAATATTTTGTCTAGGGCATTTAGGTAATGAAAAAAGGTCTAAAAAAAAAAAGCAAGTGAGATGAGAGCGCTATCATTAATCATTCAAATGGACTCAAAATGAAAAAGATTGAAAATCATTCATTAATATTTTATCTGTTTCTCTGTTAAATTGTTCTATTGAAATTGAGTTCAAGGATATAGACAGTAACAACAGACCATTGATATCTATATCTATATGTCTAGAGAGAAAGAGATTTTATTTTATTTTATTTCATTTTATTTTATTTTATTTTATTTTTTGAGCCAATGGAAAGTTGTGTAGTCAAAGAAACCTTAAGATACTGAATTTCAGAAAATGATAAGCCCTTGGTCGGTGACCTGAGGTCAGTACTACTCTCTTCCATTGATACAAGTGCCAAGTCTGGTCATAGGTAAGTATAGTATCTTGCCAGCCATAGGTCAGGGGAAGAGAGAGTTGGTATGCTGGAGTAAGGAGAAATTAGCAAAGCTTTTAGCTATCACATGAACCTGCTTGAAAGATTGGAATCTGCGGCAGTTCCAACATCAGAAACAGTTCGTTCCAACATCAGAAACATTTCCTTCCAACTGCCACTGATTCTCCCCCACAAGCCTGCAGTAGTTCAGGATGCACAGTGCTATGCTGGAAAACAAAGAATTATTTCCTGAAGTCCTGGTGGTGCTTATATTCCTAAGTCCCACTATAGAGAAATGCTTGCAGTACACTTAGAACAGACCTTAACCTCAAGTCATTTAACACAGGAGGGGCACTATACTTTGTAAAGTGGCAACCCAACCTCAGACCTAGCTCAGCTGCAGATTGGATCAAAGGGATCTCTCTCTAGCTATCTGACAGAGGAAAGAGTAGGCCCTCTCTGGGGGAAAGAAAACTTAGTTTAGTCTCTATGAGCCTCTTAAACATAATATATGCCATGCAATTTTAAAAAACACATGTGCAAGGAAATAGGAGAATTTGACCCACAATCAAAATTATATATACACATATATATGTGTATATATATATATATTTAATAGAAGCAAAACTACACATATAGAATTAACATACAAGATCTTTAAATAAATCATAACATTTTAAAGAATTTAGAGAAAAAGATGGAGAATTTCAGCATAGAAATGAAGACTTTAAAAAGAGCCAAATTAAAATTCTAGAAGTAAAAAATACATTATCTAAATTAAAGATTTTTGGATAGGCTTAACAGTAGTCTAAATTTAGTAAAAGAAAGTATCAGAGAACTCTTAGCTCAATAGAAATGATATAAATTGAACCACCAAATTTTAAAAAGAATGAAAAAAGAGCTTTTGAGACATGTGGCACACTAACAAATGGCCTAATATGTATGCAATTTGTGTCCCAGACAAAGAAGAAAGAAAATCAGGCAGAAGAATTGTTTGAAGAGATAATGACTGGAATTTTTTTCAAAGTCAATGAAAGACATTAACCCACATATACAAGAAGCTCAGAGAATCTCATGCAGGACAAATACTAGGAAAACTGTATTAATTTGGGGAAACAATAATAATAAGAAGAATTAAAGCTTACTGTCTTGTCATCATAAAAAATGGAAGCCAGAAGAAAGTGATTTGGTGTCTTAAACTTCTGCAACAACAACAACAAAATTCAACCTAAAATTCTATAATTATCCAAAAAGTCCTTCAAAATTGAAAACAAAAGTAATTCATTTTTAGATGAACAAAATCTGAGGCAGTTTGTCACTAGCAGACCTGCACTACAAGAAATACTAAAGGAATTTCAGGATGAACAGAAATTATTCCACATGGAAGCCTGGACCTTCAGGAAGGAAAGAAGACCCCAAGAAATGAATATACAGTACCATTTGTAAACGTATTCACTTTACTGATTAAGCAATAAAATCAACAATGTACTATGAGGTTTATAAGATATACAGATGTATATGGCAAAAATAACACAATGTGTAGAAGGAAATAAATGGAATTACATAGCTCTTACATTGTTCTTAAAGTAATATAATAGTAATTCAAAATAGCTGTAATAAATTAAGGGTGCATATTGTAATTTCTAAGTAAAAATACAAAAATATGGGGGTGGGGAGCAGTGTCAAGATGGCTGACTAGAAACAGTGGCATACAGAGGCTCCCATCGAAAAAAACCATAATCAGCATGTGAATCCTTCACTGGCAACCAAAGTATCCAGGTTCTCTCATCAGAACTGACTAGGAGGCTGGCGTAACCCAGGGAGAGAAGGAAGAACAGTGTGGTGTGGCGGCCCATCAGAGAGTCATGGTGGGGGACGGGGGCAGGGGAGTCCTCTTCCCCCAGCCAAGGGAGGCAGTGAGTGAGTGTGCAGCCCAGTCAGGGAAACCGTGCTTTTTCCACGGAACTGTGCAACCCATGGATTGGAAGATCCCATTCGCAAACCCATGCCACCAGGGCCTAGAATCCCAACCCTGGAATGCACAGATTCTCAACAGCCTCTCAGCTGGAATCTGCTTAAGCCTACCAAAATCCTGGGGGTAGGGGCGACCAGCACGTGTATGCTGAGGGTGCCTGCTGTCTAAGCCATTTGGGCTACTTAGGGGAGGGGCAGCAGCCATCACTGGGACTTGCAACTGCCTAACACACTAAGCTCCCCGGGTGGGGAAGGGGCAGAATCCTTCTCTACAGCTTTAGGCTGTGCTGTTCCCCTGCTGGAGCCAGGGAGTCTGGATGGCTTGGTCCCAAGACTTGTCCCCCATAACCCAACACACCAGCTGTGGCAGTCTGCAGCCAGAGTGCCTCTTCAGGCCTGGCCCTGACCCATCTTTTCTCACTGGGTGGGGCTTTCCTGCAGGAACTCCAATAACTCCAGCCAGAGGCTCAGAGACAGAACCCAGATCTCTCTGTGCCTGAGCTCCTAATGGGAGGGATTGGCTGCAGTCTCTGCAGACCAGCAGACTTAGCCTTTCCTCCTGCTAGTTCTGAGGGATCCAGGCAGCCCAGACAAGTGGGTTTCCCTCGAGGGAAGCACACCCCCTCCACCAAGTGGCAAAGTGCTTCGTTAAATAGGTACTGTCCCCTGTGCCACCCAAGTGTGTGAGCCCCTCCAAAAGGGGTTGTCAGACATCCTATACAGGAGCAATCCTACTGGCATCAGGTTGGTGACCCTCAAGGTCAGAGGTTCCAGAAGAAGGAGCAGACACCCATCTTTGCTGTTCTCCAGCCTCCTTCAGTGACATCTCCAGGCGCGGGAGCAAATCAAGATCAGAGAAGAATTGAAGGAGATAGAGACATGAAAAACCCTCCAAAAAAATAGAAGAATCCAGGAGCTGGTTTTTTGAAAAAACTAACAAAATAGATAGACCGCTAGCTAGACTAATAAAGAAGAAAAGACAGAAGAATCAAATAGATGCAATAAAAAATGATAAAGGGGATATCACCACTGATCCCACAGAAAAACAAACTACCATCAAAGAGTACTATAAACATTCTACGTAAATAAACCAGAAAATCTAGAAGAAATTGATAAATTCCTGGACACATACACCCTCCCAAAACTAAACCAGGAAGAAGTCGAATCCCTGAATAGACAAATAACAAGTTCTGAAATTGAGGCAATAATTAATAGCCTACCAACCAAAAAAAGCCCAGGACCAGAAGAATTCACAGCCGAATCCTACCAGAAATTCAAAGAGGAGCTGGTACCATTCCTTCTGAAACTATTTCAAACAATTGAAAAGAAAAGATTCCTCCTTAACTCATTTTACGAAGCCATCATCATCTTGATACCAAAACCTGACAGAGACACAACAAAAAAACAAATCTTCAGACCAATATCCCTGATGAACATCAATGCAAAAATCCTCAATAAAATACTGGCAAACCAAATCCAGCAGGACATCAAAAAATTTATCCACCATGATCAAATTGGCTTCATCCCTGGGATGCAAGGCTGGTTCAACATACACAAATCAATAAACATAATCCATCACATAAACAGAACCAAAGACAAAAACCATATGATTATCTCAATAGATGCAGAAAAGGCCTTCGATAAAATTCAACATCCTTCATGTTAAAAACTCTCAATAAACTAGATATTGATGGAACAAACATATCTCAAAATAATAAGAGGTATTTATGACAAAACCGCAGCCAATATCATATTGAATGGGCAAAAGCTGGAAGCACTTTCTTTTAAAACTGGTACAAGACAAGGATGCCGTCTCTCACCACTCCTATTCAACGTAGTATTGGAAGTTCTGGCCAGGGCAATCAGGCAGGAGAAATAAATAAAGGGTATTCAAATAGGAAGCAAGGAAGTCAAATTATCTCTGTTTGCAGATGACATGATTGTATGTTTAGAGAACCCCATCATCTCAGCCCCAAAACTCATTAAGCTGATAAGCAACTTCAGCAAAGTCTCAGTATACAAAATCAATGTGCAAAAATCACAAGCATTCCTATACAACAACAATAGACAAGCAGAGAGCCAAATCATGAATGAACTCCCATTCACAATTGCTACATAGAGAATAAAACACTTAGGAATACAACTTACAAGGGACATGAAGGACCTCTTCAAGGACAACTACAAACCACTGCTCCAGGAAATAAAAGAGGACACAAACAAATGGAAAAACATTCCATCCTCATGGATAGGAAGAATCAATATTATGAAAATACCATACTGCCCAAAGTAATTTATAGATTCAATGCTATTCCCATCAAGCTACCAGAGACTTTCTTCACAAAATTAGAAAAAACTACTTTAAATTTCATATGGAACCAAAAAAGAGCCCACATTGCCAAGACAATCCTAAGCAAAAAGAACAAAGCTGGAGGCATCACACTACCTGACTTCAAACTATACTACAAGGATACAGTAACCAAAACAGCATGATACTGGTACCAAAACAGATATATAGATCAAGGGAACAGAACAGAGACCTCAGAAATAACACCACATATCTACAACCATCTGATCGTCGACAAACCTGACAAAAACAAACAATGGAGAAAGGATCTCCTATTCAGTAAATGGTGCTGGGAAAACTGGCTAGCCATATGCAAAAAACTGAAACTGGACTCCTTCCTTACACCTTATACAAAAATTAACTCAAGATGGATCAAAGACTTAAATGTAAAACCCAAAACCATAAAAACCCTAGAAGAAAACCTAGGCAATACCATTTAGGACATAGGTATGAGCAAAGATGTCATTACAAAAATGCCAAAAGCAATTGCAACAAAAGCCAAAATTAACAAATGGGATCTAATTAAACTAAAGAGCTTCTGTACAGCAAAAGAAACTATCATCAGAGTGAACAGACAGTCTACAGAATGGGAGAAAATTCTTGCAAGCTACCCATCTGACAAAGGTCTAATATCCAGAATTTACAAGGAGCTTAAACAAATTTATAAGAAAAAAAACAAACAACCCCATCAAAAAGTGGGCAAAGGATATGAACAGATACTTCTCAAAAGAAGACATTTATGCTGCTAAGAAACATGAAAAACAGCTCAACATTACTGATCATCAGAGAAATGCAAATCAAAACCACAATGAGATACCATCTCACTCCAGTCAGAATGGCGATTATTAAAAAGTCAGGAAACAATAGATGGTGGCGAGGCTGTGGAGAAATAGGAATGCTTTTACACTGTTGGTGGGAATGTAAATTAGTTCAACCATTGTGGAAGACAGTATAGCGATTCCTCAAGGATTTAGAACCAGAAATACCATTTGACCCAGCAATTCCATTACTGGGTATATCCCCAAAGGAATATAAATTATTCTATTATAAACACACATGCACACGTATGTTTATTGCAGGACTATTTGCAATAGCAAGGACATGGAACCAACCCAAATGACCATCAGTCATAGACTGGATAAGGAAAATATGGCACATATACACCATGGAATACTAGCTAGCCATAAAAATGAATGAGATCATTTCTTTTGCAGGGACATGGATGAAACTGGAAGCCATTATCCTCAGCAAACTAACACAGGAACAGAAAACCAAACACCACATGTTCTCACTCATAAGTGAGAGTTGAACAATGAGAACAGATGGACACAGAGAGGGGAAAAACACACACCACGGCCTGTTGGGAGGTGGGGGAGTGAGGGGAGGGGATTTAGAGGACAAGTCAATAAGTGCAGCAAACCACCACAGCAAACATATGCCTATGTAACAAACCTGCATGTTCCGCATGTGTATCCCATTTTTTTAGACGAAATAAAGAAAAAAAACAAACAAAAACATGCAATTAAAAAACCAAGAAAGGTGATAAAATTAATTAAAAACTAAAATATTGCCCAAGATTATGTAACAAAAGGCCATATGGTTTTATTTCTTGCCCTTGTTTTTAAGAAAACTCGTTCCTTATTTTTTTATAGTTAAATTATTTGTCTAAGTTGGATATTAGATTATGAAGTATTTGGATTCCAAACAATTAAGGGTTTTCAAGAAAAAATAAAATAAAACACCCTTAGAACTTGATTCCTATATGCATATATATTTTAAATGAAGATAAGGATATATTTTCTTTTCTTTTCTTTTCTTTTTTTTTTTTTTTTTTTTTTCTTGAAACAAGGTCTCACTCTTTTGCCCAGGCTGGAGTACAGTGGCACAATCACAGCTCATTACAGCTTCAAACTCCTGGGCTAAAGCAATCCTCCTGATTCAGTTTCCCAAGTAGCTGGAACTACAGGCACACACTGCCATGCATGGCTATTTTCTTGAGTGTATATCAACACCCATCATTGAGAGATCATTTTGATAAATCCTAAGAAAAGAATACTATAATGGATCATGAAGGCCATATTTTATTAGTTTGCAACATCCATGGTGGATCACTGGGCATGGTGGTGCACATCTGTCATACCAGCTACTTGGGAAGCTGAGGGGGGAAGATCGTTTGAGCCTGGAGGTTTGAGAGTGAGCTATGATTGTGCCACTGCACTCCACCCTGGGCAACAGAGCAAGACCCCTGTCTCTAAATAAGTAAATAAAATCCTCATAGTGGATTACTACAAGATGGCATTTTCTTTCTGTTAAATAGACCATGTGATCTATATTCAAGAATCCAATCAACGGGACACAACAGTAGTTTCCTGGGTTTAGAACATCAGAGCTTACACTGTTTCACACCTAATTTTCTGCTCCAAGGTGGCTCCGTTGCACAATGGATAGCCCAATTCTCTGCCCAAGCCAGTCAGATTTTAGGGACACAAAAGCAACGATGTTCAAAGATGACAGTTATGGAGGTAAAACTAAAACCAGAGATTGGAAATCCTCAGCCAAGATTTATGGATATAGACAATCGGTTATATTTATCCCAAATTCTCCTTACTTAACTCCTATGAATTCAACACAGTGAGAATTTAAAAGTCTTTGTCATTGGATGCCCTAAGCTGAAAGAAGAAAAATTGAATGTTTACATTCTCTATAGTTGATACTATATAAAATAACTGAAAGCACAGCTATGTCTAGTTACGAACCACTGTATTTGAATTTATGTTTTTTCTGTTACTTGTGTTTGAAAGTAATTTCATTTGTTTTATGGAGTGCTATAAAATTTCTCCACCTAGAGAAGGTCACTTCTTGTGAAGCCTATTCAAATACGGTGCATAAAGAAAAAAAGGGAATGTGGCATTTTTCAAACACAAAATTTTTGATAATCCTCTCACTAAAAGGTAGAGACTACTTCCATTCCCCTTAGATATGGGTTAGCCTTGGTGGCTTCTAAGGAATAGAATGAGACTGAAGTGATGCTGTGCGACATCCAAGAGTAGGCTAAATACAGTGGAAGAGCTTCCACCTGGCTCTCTCTCTCTCTCTGGATGTTTACCCTTAGAACTCAGCCACCATGCTGTGAGGAACTCAAGCCACATGAAGAGGCCAAATGGAGGTTTGCCAGCTAACAGCCCTGCTTAGTACCCCAGGTGAAGTTTAGCATCAACCACCAGGTATATAAGTGAATGAGCCTTCAGACAATTTCAGCCTCTAAACTTTGGGCCACCCCTAGTTACACCATATGGAACAAAGAGCTGACTTTGTTGAGCCTTATCCAGATTGAGATACAGGAGCAAAATAAACATTATTATTGTTTGAAGCTACTAAGTTCCAGTTTGGTTTGTTCTAAAGCAATAGATAACCAAACAGGACCTAAGATTTCTTGAAAACCACCTATATGTTAGATCTTTTATATAACTAATTAAAATTCAAGTAACCTTAAGTCTAATGAAAGAGACAATTGACTTCTCAGCAATTAAATAATTTTTTAGAAAATTGGTCTATATGATTTTTTGTTGACAGATTATCTGACCACAAAAAGCCTCATACATCAAAAATTTGTCACATAAATAATCTGGATTTTCATTGTTTTGGAAAATTCCAAAACTAAACTCCAGCCTATTGTTACACAAGCTGTTGTGTTTTACTTCCAGGTCCTTCAGAGGTGTGTTAGGGGAGGGTCACACACATGAGGCTACAGCAGTAAGGGGCACTACATGGAAGGCCTTGAAGGCCAGGCTCGGGCAATTGAGGGCCATTGAAGGCACTGGAGATGGAACATGCCATAATCAGAAATATGTTTTCTGAGGCTGATAAAGTTTCAAAATCAACTTTTCACGATATAGGAAGACCAACCAATTCTTGAAAAGCTTTTTTCTTTTCCCAATTGCTTCAGTGATAGCCACACATTTCAATAAACCCAATTTTCCTCCATCTGTTCATAAAGATAATCATTCACTGACCCATCCAAACTTTACAACCTTTTTTAAAAAATTCACATTGTCATTTTTACACTAAAAACTTTCAATCATGTATTTCTCCCCCTGACAGTCCCAAGGATTCCAGGTTGAGCTTCAGAGCCAAATGTTTTTCTGTCTATATTGCCTCCTGCTATAGTTTGAATGTGTCCCCAAAGTTCACAGTGGAAACTTAATCCCTAATGCAACAGCATTGGGAGGTGGGGCCTTTAAGAGATGATTAGGATATGAGGGCTCTGTCCTCATAAACGAATTAACGCTGTTATTTTGGGAGTGGATTTCTGTTTAAAAGGCTGAGTTTGGCCCCCTTTACCCCCTCCTCTCTCTCTCACTACGTGATACCTCTCATCTCATGATGACACAGCCAGAAGGCCCTCACCAGATGTGGCCCCCTCGAATCTTGGACTTCTCAGCCTCCAGAACCATGAGTCCAATAAATTTCTGTTCATTGTAAATTACCAACTCCCAGGTATTCTGTTACAGCAGCATAAAATGGACTAAAATATCTCCTTTCTTTAAAAATTATATAGAGAATCTCTTCTTTCGGAGACTCATTAAATTAGGTTTAACTTTTAATTTGTTGCTTCTGCATCACAAATGCTTATTTAATTGTGACATGTTCATATGTTATTTACTTAGTAATCTGAGATTTACTTCAATCTTTCCTTCATCACCCCACTCACTTTTTTAACTCTTTTGCCTCAGATTGTTTCATAATTTTCCTTTGTATGTTTCTGTTGATCTTCCTATATGATCTTGTAATTAATCTTTATCTCTTTCTCCTTTAGTTTTTTTAAAATTATAGTACCTGTGATGATTAATATTAGGTGTCAACTTAATTGGATTGAAGGATGCTTAGATAGCTGCTAAAGTATTGTTTCTGGGTGTGTCTGTGAGGGTGCTGCCAGAGAAGATTGACATTTGAGTGGGTGGACTGGGAGAGGAAGACCCACTTTAAATGTGGGTGGGCACCATATTAATCATCTACAAGTGTGGCTAGAACAAAGCAGATGGAAGAAGGTGGGATAACCTTGCTAGCTGAGTTTTCTGACCCTCATCTTCCTCCCGTGCTGGATGCTTCCTTCCACTCCTCCTGCCCTTTGACACCAGATCCCAGGTTCCTCAGCCTTTGGACTCTGGGACTTGTATCAGTGGCTTGCCAGGGGCTCTTGGGCCTTCAGCCACAGACTGAAGCCTGCACTGTAGGTTTCCCTGCTTTTGAGGCTTTTGGACTCTGACTGAGCCACTGCCAGCTTCTTTCTTCCCCAGCTTCCAGACAGCCTATCATGGGACTTGGCCTTGTAATCGTGTGAGCAAATTCTCCCTAATAAACTGCTTTTTATACATACATATATCCTATTAGTTCTGTCCCCATGGAGAACCCTGAGTACACTTCCTCAGCCTCTAAAACCTTTCCTCCTGTAGAGATATTCAAGTCCTTTTCTTTCAAGGCAGGTATCTCTAATCTCTTTTCCTTATCAGTAAACATTTAAAAACTTCAACTTTACAATATTTTATTAAATATTCTAAAATCGATAGCTTTCCAATATACTCTAGGGCTTCACTAAACCATTTTTCAATTTCTTCCTGATTTGGCAGCACTACTCTTTTAATGAGCATCTGAATAAATAAGCAATCATTATTCTATTGGCCAGTAGTAATGAGAGACACTTATTACCGGTCTTCTTCGACTTTTTAAGGCCATTTGATTTAGAATTAATATGAATTTCCTTTTTTTTAATTTGAGGCTGATCCTGCTTCCATAACAGTAATAGTTAACTGGTCCAATGGAATCCACACCTTTTTCATATACCCTAATAGCAAAAACTTTAAATGTACATATCCAACATGCGTATATTTAACATTTATACATTTAATACATACATGGTCAATTATATCCCAAAAATGATACTTTTTAAAGAATTAGATAAAAATAAATAGAATTTGTTTATATGTTCTGTATACGTATTATAGTCTTACCTATCCTATCTTGAAACCTCTGGACTACACTAGTGGTTTGAAAACTTTGATGTCCATTAGAATCCCCTGAGAAAATTGTTAACACATTTAAGATGCTGAGGACTCACTCAAACTTTTTTTTTTTTTCTTTTTTTTGTATTTTGAGATGGAGTTTCCCTCTTGTTGCCCAGGCTGGAGTGCAGCGGCACGATCTTGGCTCACTGCAACCTCCACCTCCTGCGTTCAAGCAATTCTCCTGCCTCAGCCTCCCTAGTAGCTGGGATTACAGGTGCCCGCCACCATACCTGGCTAACTTTGTATTTTTAGTAGAGACGGGGTTTTGCCATGTTGTTCAGGCTGGTCTCGAACCCCTGACCTCAGGTGATCCACACGCCTCGGCCTCCCAAAGTGCTGGGATTACAGGCGTGAGCCACTGCGCTGGGCCAAACTTTTTAAATTAGAATCTACTGCTCATGTGTCTTGCTCCTCTTACTCAGGTGACTGCCAGTCTTTGGAAATAGCTGTACTAGATCATTAATTACCAAATATCAGTTAGCTAACAGGCCAGGCTGGCTGAATAAGAATCATATGAGATGCTTAACAGTGTAAAGTCTCAATTTTAGCAATTTTAGCTCTTACAAAGTCTAATTTGTAGGTCACGGAGAAGCCTAGAAATCCAGTTTATTAACAACCCCAGTGATTCTGTGCACCACCAAGTTTAAGAAATATTAAAGATCTATCAAATTCAAGGTGCAATACTCATCGAATTTTATTTGTATACCATCAGGTATACAAATGATTAAATGAAATATTTAAATCCTAGGAGGCCCATTTTCAGCCCTGCAACCATAACCAATTTATTACTCAATTTATTTTATTTTATTTTTGCTTTGCATTTTTCTTTCTATTTTACCTTGCCAGAGGCATTTCTTATTATTTATTTATTTATTTATTATTGAGACCAAGTCTCACACTGTCGCCCCTGCTGGAGTGCAATGGCACGATCTCGGCTCACTGCAACCTCCGCCTCCAGGTTCAAACAATTCTCCTGCCTCAGCCTCCTGAGTAGCTGAGTGCCCGCCACCACACATGGCTAAGTTTTTGTATTTTTAGTAGAGACGGGGTTTCACTATGTTGGCCAGGCTGGTCTTGAACTCCTGATCTCGTGATCCGCCCGCCTCGGCCTCCCAAAGTGCTGGGATTACAGGTGTGAGCCACTGTGCCCGGTCTCTGACTCTTTTTCTCTTCCCTTGAACTTTTTCTTGAAGTCTCTTATAGTAGCCATGAAAATTTACCTTTCAGATGTCTTCTTTGGGAAAGCATCACTGAAAGATGGCTGCAGCCACTGCTAGGAGAGCCTCTACGCCCATCACCTTGTTTGTGCTGGAGCCATGCTTCCCTCAGGCTGCGCCCAGCCAATGACTGAGCAGAGCTGGAGCACTAATGTAGGCCCACTCCTGCCAGATGCCCGACTCCTCCAAGGGATGGCTGCAGCTCAAGAGCTCGCATCAGCCTGGCTACACTTTTCTTGGAAATGTGCTCAGCCTTAGTTCCTTTCTACACAATCCTCCTTCCTTCTCTCCTTTCCTGGGCTCAGAGATGCATCATGGTCTGAAGCCTCTTCCCGTCTTCTCCTGCACCCAGTCTTTATCCTGCTTAGGCCTTTTCCTCCTGGCCTCCATAAATCTCATACATGTCTAATCCCATCTTGATGATATATTTCATGAAGCTGGAGGTGTTGTCAGTTTAACTATATTAGTTGTCCTTCTCTGCTGCTCACATAATGCTAATGTATCTGTGACTAGCTCTCTGACCACATCCTATGAAGTCTGTTTACATATTTTCTTCCTCCACATAATTATTTGTTTTAAACATTTTAAATGGTCTGATTCTCCACATTTGAAACACTCTTCATACCTACATATTATAACCAAGTGATACCCTCACTCAAAGCTACTCTGCTGGTAGATCTCTAAAGTCTTCAAAATTTTACCTGGAAGATAATTAGTCTCATCTCCCTTTGCTAACAGTCTCAACTACATTCTTTGGCAGAAATCTCCAACTAGGCTGATAGTGTCCCAAGAATTATTTAGCATGCTGCAAAGATCTCTTAACTTAAAAAAAAAAATGTTTTTTTAGTCCAATATATCAAGCAAATAAGGTCTTCAGCCTTGCCGGTTTTCTAAAATCAGAAAAGACTGCTTTCAACAGCTTGGGTCCTGGTACTTTTTCCAAAACAAACCTTTCTTCTCTATTACTCTGAAGTTCACATCACATTCTTTGCTCCCCAGAATTTTAATTACATTAAAAATAATATGTCTTATATTCATCCCAATTGACTTGATAATGAGTCTCCGTCATCATGGAGTCCATGAAAATTTTTTATTATTGTGGCACTTTAGTTTGGTCAGGTTTATCAGAGGGGAGCATCTGAATTTAACTGTATGAATTTAACCCAGTTCACCATTCTTAAATTGTCGTTCAGGAACTCCTGGGAGTCCCAAATACCATGTTACAGGGTCTTTGGGGTCAAAATTATAATCATAATAGTATTAAGACATTGCTTTTTCACTGTTCTTCTTGAATTACTATACAGTGGAATTTCTCAGAGCCTATTGATGCAGGATTTTTCTCAGCCACTTTGCCCAGCGACACCCCCCAACCCAGGCCTCACTCAGCCCCAGGCCTACCACTGGAGGCACACCATCGACTTGGCCTGCCTGTGCTGTAGCTTGTAGCTGCATTTGGAGGTTCCCCGGCTCTTGTTCCAAGTCCAAGAAGAATGAGGATACCCTGACAATTGAAGGGTGAAGATGGGCAGAGAAAAATTTTGTTGAGTCATGCAACAGCTCTCAGCAAAGAGGGGACATGGCGGGGTGGTCCCTTACTCCCTGCAGTCAGGTAGTTTCCCTCCTGACTGAATCTGGGGTTTTATGGGCTCAAATTAGGGGAGTGTGTCCTGATTGGTTTGTGAGTATGCAAAGAAAAGCAAAAACAAAGGCCCCAGTCAAAGGTGAGCACAGCAGTGTGAAAAAACAATTAGGAAAGGGTTAGTACATGTAAAATAGGTGAAGGGTAGTGATCAGAGGAAAGCATGCCAAACAGAAAGACAGGTTCTCAGTCCGGTCTGAGGATTTACCCAGGACTGTCTTCAGCTTGAAGGTTGGGTTTCACTGGGACCAGCCCCTATTTGCCTAGGCATTTGCCTGCCTCCTGCCGCTATCCCTATCTGCCATAGGATACTGTCATTGCACTGATGGCTGATGACTGTGGATCTGTGTATTCTCACTTTTTATAAAATTTTCAAAAGTAGTTGGTTTAGGGTATAGTTTCATGTGTTTTCAAATATTAACCTACTTTCTTTTCTTCTACTGTGGTCTTGCTAGCTATCTTTTGTTATGGCAGGTAGAATCTCCATAACCACTTTATCTCCAGTAAATCATTATATGTGAAATTCTGAAGTGTTTCCTGAGCCTTGTACATGTATCCCTGGAATCTGAAATAATAAAGGAAAGTGTTCCCTGCCCCTGTGTAGAAACATAATAACAAGTATGTATACTTTATAGTCTTGTTTTGCAATCTTAAAATATTTTCTTAAAAAGTTTTTTAAACTTTTAAACTCTATTGAAAATTATTATTTTACAATTCAATAATATTTTATTCAAAATAAAGTTTTGTAATATATTTTCCTTATATTTAAGAAAAATCATTGGCCTAAGAGGGGGAAATTAAAAGACGAACTTGCTCAAGTGATAGCTACACTGTCTACAACTAAAGATGTTGAAAGCAATGAAACTGATACTGAAGCAACATATGGAAGGGAGGAATGCACTCCAAAGACACTAGGGGAAGCTAATTAGGAAATAAAAACATGGTGAAAGCTATCTTTTTCTCAGTTTTGTAGATGTTAATAATTTACCTCTTCATGTCTTACGTAACAATTGTTTTTCAAATGGCATTATGGTGTCAATGAAGATGCAGGGTTATTATCTAATCAAACACTTAGAGTTTAAAGAAAAGCAATTTACATACTGTAAATGCTAAAACCCAAGATGAATACATATGTAAAATATCATAAAGATGAATTCTTAGAAAGATAAATGTCTGGAGCAATGGTTCTCAAACTTGTGGTATTACAAACACTTGGAGGCCTCCTTGAAATTCAGATTCCTGGGCCTTACCCCCAAGAGTTTTGATGAAGTAGGTTTGAGGTGAACTTGAGAATTTGCTTTAGTAGTAAGTTCCCAGGTGACAATGAAGCTGCTGGTCTGAGAATCACACTTTGAGAATCACGAAGCTAGAGCAATGATACTCAAACTTCATTGTGGAAAAGAACCCTTGGGGAGCTTGTTGTAATTTCCCAGAGATTTTGAATGACTAGATCTGAGTAGATCTGGGAAGGCTATGAAATTTTTAAGTTCCCAAGGTGATTCTCAAGAAACACAGAACTTTGTTTTAGTAAAAAAATTTTTTTAATCTTCCCAGGTGATTTAAACATTCAGTCATGGTTAACAATCAGTGCTTTGGTGCTATTTCTGTCCTCCAAGTGATTTGGCAGTACTTCTAACCACTGCAAAGTTTTGCTATCCTTTATTCTCTTTGCATCTTGAGCAGGTGGTCTGAGTCCCACTACAGAGCACAACCCTACTGTGCTATCCACCCAGCACTCTCCTACCACCACCTCCCCAATTGCACTATCCACCTTATG
Organism: Homo sapiens; assembly: GCF_000001405.40. NCBI lineage: Eukaryota > Metazoa > Chordata > Mammalia > Primates > Hominidae > Homo > Homo sapiens. The sequence goes on from NC_000002.12 coordinate 150,805,758, forward strand.
CACCTCACCTTATTACTATTGGTTTTTAGCCATCCAATCCATGCTAAGCCATCGATTTCCATGCACCTTATCCATGCTAAGCCACTAAGTTCCATTCATTGATTTTTATTTTTGGTAGGATGTAGAACTTGTGATTATTAACACTCTATTGCCTACCTTGTGAACTAAACAGGCAGTGGAAACCAAAGGAACAAAAGAGGAATAAAGATGCCCCCATGAGAGAAGAAATAAGTGCTGGAATTCCTGGATACAGTTGTTGCTGAGGCACAGGTATAATTTAACCTTTATTTCTGTGAGAAGTCTCATATCCTTTAAAAAAAAAAACATAATTCATGTTTTTTATTTTTGTTTTTGCTTATGCTCACTTGACTTAGATATCTATAACTTGTAGTCAAAAAACTAAGAAACTTGCCTAAATTTACACAGAAAGGTGGGGGCGAAGGCAGAATTGAAAATGTCTCATTAATATTTCTCTTTTATATTGCCCAGCCTGTCTGAATTTGATTTACCTAAAACACCCAAAGGCAAAATAGTGACTTCTCTGGTCTACACTGTAGGGTGGCTGTGCATGGAACTCCTAAACCAAATCGTATAAGAATGAATTGGAATTTCCAGTGATTATTTAGCCACTGTTAATCTACTGAATTAAACACTATGTTTGGACTTGGCAGACATACATCTCCGGAATCTGTCCTTCATGATTTCCAACTCTCCCTGGGAAAGGTCAAGTGCACTAACGGCTTTCACTCTTTTTCAGCCAAGCATGAAAATCTTATTGGAGGAAGAGTCCCTGACCTACTGAGTAGTGTTCCAAACAGTACTATTAATGGCTGTGGAATCCACAAGTTGGCCACAATCTTTCCTGAAGCACAACCCAGGCACATGCCTTGACTTTTATGGCACTTGAATAATGATATTGCACTTTAAAGAGCGTGAGGGGGTTTTAAAAATTCTGGTCTTGTGCCAAGTTTTCCCATTTCATGTAAAAGAAACTTTTTTTTCCACCTGTCTGCATAAAAGGATGCAAGAAGCATGAGGAAAGACAAGAGAAATTCTTCTTGCTTATATCTTATTTCTATCTTGAAATATGACCTACTTTTGAAAAGTTAGAAGGACCCCATCAGAATTCTCAATTGTCAGAGCTCTCCGTCTTCTGAAAGCTGGACTTTTGCTATAAAAGAGATGTCTATAAAAATGAATAAATCTGTTGATACTAGTCATTTTCATTAATTTATGTCTCAACACAAAATTTTAAAAGTACTTATATAATGTGGCTGTAATAAAACCCTATACAGAGAGATTTAAAAATGAATATGAAGCACAGATTTCCACAATCATGTGCCCAATGCACAGAAAGAGCAAACGTGATTTTCTTTTTCCTCTAGGATAAAAAATTTTATTGGGGGTAACTAAAAATATTGGGCAGTATGTGTGGGTTGGAGGTTGGAGGTTAAGATTACTAGATGTGGGCTGGGCGTGGTGGCTCACACCTGTAATCCCAGCACTTTGGGAGGCCAAGGCAGGTGGATCACCTGAGGCCAAGAGTTTGAGACCAGCCCGGCCAACATGGCAAAACCCCGTCTCTACTAAAAATACAAAAATTAGCCAGGCATGGTGGCGGGTGCCTGTAATCCCAGCTACTTGGGAGGCTGAGGCAGGAGGATTGCTTGAACTTGGGAGGTGGAGGTTGTAGTGAGCCCAGATCATGCCATTGTACTCCAGCCCCAGTAACAAAAGCAAAACTCCATCTCAAAAAAAAAAAAAAAAAAAAAAAAAAAAAAAAAAAAAAGATTACTAGACGTATTCTTGAAAAAAAAAAAATTTAAAAAAAAGAACGGGAAGAGTTCTGGATTATCTGGACCAAGGATGATATTGTGAGATTAATCCCAGAAGGAGGTTTTCCCCTTTTGTAGAAGAGAAAATTTAAGAAGACTTTAGTAGTAAAAGATGTGGCTTATAAACAGACTTTATAAACAGAAAAAGAACAGTTATCTACAAAAAATAAAGTTACTCTGATTTAACAGGTTTTGTTTAATTAGCTTTCTTCCATTTTAATTCCCTTTCAATGCAGAGAATAACTGTCTGTTTATGTATCATCACACTTGATCATCAAAACTATCCTACAAGGATGTTGTTATTGTTGTCCCAGTTTGTATTAGTTATCCATCACTGTATAACAAATTAACTCCAAACTTGGAGTCTTATAACAATAAGCATTTATTATCGCACAATTCCTGTGGATTAGGAAAACTGAGCACGATTTAGCTGGGGACCTTAGGCTCATGTTCTTGGTTATTAGCAGGCCTTAGAAATTCTGCTTCCACACATACACACATGGCTGTTGGCAGATCTCAGGTCTTCACTGGCTATTGGCTGGAGACATCAGTTTCTTGGCAAGTGTGTCTCACAATAGGATTGCTCCCAACATAGTGAATTGCTCCCCACAGGACAAGGAATTTGAGAAACAGAACAGATAATGGGTCCTCAAGAAGGAAGCTAATATCTTTGTATAACCTAATCTCAGGAGTGATTTCCTATCATGTCTGTCCCATCGTATTCATTAGAAAAAAGTCACTTAGTGCAGCCCACACTCAAGGGGAGGGAATTATGCAAGTCTGTGAGTACTAGGAGGTAGGGGTCATTAGGGTTATTTTAGAGGCTTCCTACCCCAGAGTTTTCATTATTCTAAGAATGGAGGAAAGTGGGGCTTATAAAAGATAAATAATTTGCCCAAGATCATTTGGCTGTTCCATGCTAAAATAGGAATTCATTTCCAGGCTTTTGGAGTCCAGAGATCAAGCTCTTAATCAATAGGTAGCAGAAAAAAATATACATTGTAAGAAATTGATCTCTTTTTGCTGAACCCTTTTGATGACCATTTGCCCACCAATAGGCAAAAGCTTAAGACCAAATAATGGCACTAATTTAGATTTATCAAATGCATTATGTGCAGGAATACAAGCTAGAATTTCAATTAATTTTTAAGTACATTTTAATATATAACACTTTTCTCAAGTTTTTCACTCTTTCATGTTTGTATATGCATCAATAAAATAAGAGATGCCTGAAACATATTTTTATGTGTTTTATGGACCATGTTTCTCAGAAGCGTTTATTTGGTTTAGAGTTAAGGTTTAAGAAAAAAAATCATAATTTTTCAGAGTCAGCTTTATTAGAAAATGATTACAAACACTCAGCCCCAACCTTGCCATTGCACTAGAATTGGAGAATCAAAGTTTCTGCTTTTATATCAAAAAGAAAGCAGATGTGGTATGTGTAAGGCCATGGAACCACAGTTAGATATTCCCTGCAGAGTACTGATAGCCTGTTATTTCTTACTTAGGTTGAAATGTTTGCAAGAGTTGAATGATAAATGACTCCAGAGAACAAATCAAGAAAGGATCATGACTAGGTGTTAGTAGGTGCAAGTTTTATCACAATACAGGAATTAGAACAATGTAGAAGCAACCCGAGAAAAGGAGAGGCTTTCTAACAACTGTGTTATCAGTTCCATCAGCCCCTCTGTGCAAACCATATGGCCTGTGTCTCAGTCAGCACAGAAGGATTATCCAACTGTCACCTCTCTCCCAACTGGATATTGTGTCATAGCTGAACATCAGGGTTTTCATTTTTATGTATTATTCCTGCGAAGAAAACTTTGGCATAACCTACACCCTTAAGATACTCACCTCCATTTCTTTAACACCTAACACATGGCTAGCTCTTAATCAATGTTTAAGAACTGCCCTGCATTTTTATGAACACGTGGTTAGTTGGAGCTTTGGATTTTCAACCTTACATTGATTGGGACCAGCTGGTAAGGTAAGTGACAAAATTCTGAGAGACAGGTTGCTTGTTCACAATACATTTCATTCAGCAAAGGAAGAAAAGGGTATAAATTTTTCAAGACAGTTATTCTGTATGGGATTTCCAGATCCCCCAGCATCTGAACTTTGAGGATTATTTTTTAAATCACACTTTTTCTTTTCACTTATCCATGAGGCTGTCTGAAAATCTAATTTGTCCTGGAGGATAGTCTCATCATGGAAGCTAGATAAAAATAGTTCATACTCATGAATCTTGTGATCTGTATAGTAGCACTCATGAGCCATTAAAAAATGAAGGAGGAAAAATGTATTTCTGTTTAGAGACTAATGTTAATATTAGTAAACAGTTTCACGTAATTGTACTTCTTGTTATAATCCACATTTCTGTATTTCTAATAAATTGCTATATCAAATCCACTACATATTATTACTTGGAAAAATGTGTCATGTATACTCAGTAAACTTCTGAGTAACCAATTGTCATTGTTCTATGTAAAAATAAAAAATGACATTTTCTGTGGATTTCATAGCAACTCATTACCATGTAAAAAAAATACATAAAAAATTGAATATTTCTACTGGCTATAAACATTTCAGTATAAATAGACATGTCTTCATATAATAACTTTATTTTAAATTAAAGGGTAAAAACTACATTGAATTTGTAGAATGTAATTATATTGGACCTGGCATCACCAAGGGATTGGGGCCAAAGTTCGTCTCTTTTTCTCAATCCATCTTTATTCTATTTTTGTTTTGTTTGTTTTGAACTATTTTGGAGGAAAGCAAATTGAGACCACTGAGATTCAAACTGGCAGGAAAGAAATGGGGGGCAGGGGGTTGTATGATACAAGGGGAAGGTAGAGGTCAGTTTTGTTCACCTTTAACCTTGGCCATGTCTCTACTTATGTATATAAATTCATTGTTCATAAAGTGTGAAGACATTCCCATTCAGCAATGCGTGCCCCTTGAATTACTTTGATTGTAATTATCCAGTCTTACCCTCTTCACCATGAAGGAGAATAACTAACATTTATTGAGTGCTGTCTGAGTGCTTGGCACATTACCTGATTTAATCTTCACCACTACAATTCCAGGAGGTAGGTGGTAGTATTATTCCCATTTTCAAAGGAGAAAAGTGAGGCTTCAGGATCAAGTAACTTGCCCAAGTTCACACATGTAGCATGTGACTAAGCTAGAATTAACACCCAGGTCTCCCGAAACTCTATACCAGTACTCCACATTGTTGCTCACATAACGGATCACAGTGAATGTTACCTGTTCAAAGGGGAAACAAACTGTGATCTTAGGTTGATTAGCAATATGTGTTATTTAACCCACAAATTCTAATATACCTGATCATACAATGCAAAAGAGGTAATATTCAGCTGAATTAGCAAGATAATATTCCACCTACAATATTACTTAAATATTCTTTGAGTGAGATAAAATAAAAAAAAAGTTCCTCTTTTTTATATTTTAATTTTACACACAAACCTATACAAGATTATTTGAGATTTCAATGTACACAGTAAGGTGTTTTTTACTGTGTGGTAGTATTTCCCAATCAAATCTTCTAACAAAATGTCGTATCAGTCATGAAAAAATTCTAGCATCACCCCTTCCATCAAATTTAAGAAAAATATACCATACTTAAAGTCTTTCTGAATAAGTTTTAATGTTTCCTTACTTTTGGGGTTAATTAGAATAGGTAACATATCCATAACTATGAATACTTTTTGTTTTATTTTGTTTTAGCATTTGGTCCACTGGCCTGATGAATAAGCCATAAATAAAACTAGAAACGTTGCCTTATGGCTTCAGTTACTGTTGAAAGTGCCACGGTACTTTCTAGTTTACGAAACCTGTCACATGGTTGAACACAGGCAGCCAAACTGCTATGACTTAGCACTGCAACATGGCATGTTCCTCTCATTCATTAAACTGATTTCACACTGTTTAAAAAAAGAAAAAAAGAACTCAGACATTAAAGACAAATGCTATCTTTCTATATGTAGAATTTTTTTAACCCTCTGTTGTTTCCAGCCAAGATTCAGATTCTTGGCTCTGGTGTCCGGGCTGCTCTCACATTAACTTGTTTCAGAACATGTGCTCCACATTTGTTTCCTAGGATGCAAATGGCTTGGGCATGTGCTGACTAAAACTCTTAACACCAAACGGGTTTAGTGAGATTCATATAGCTTGGCAACCATTTGCTATGAAATTTGGGTAAAGCTCATAATATAATCCTTTTTCACTCTTCTTAACTTCTTCCCTTTGGAGAGTTTTCAGATTATTTCCCGCCAACTTTATTAAGAAACTGGATCAGCCTTCACACCAGAATGTATATATACATGAAAGTAATTGAGCTCAGATAGTACCTTTTTGATTAAGAGAAAATACTCACATCTATTTTAGTAGAATAATCGATGATTAATTTCTTCCTATAGAAGCAATTCTGAAGCCAGAGAGCACAGCCACACGTACAGTCAAAACAGGTGAGAGGAAGCTTTTTCTTTCAGGGATACTGGGTAAAACTTGCAGGGGAGAATCCATAATATTTATTTATTCTGATATCCAAGTTACTACTTTCCAAAGTGCTTTCACTCAATATTGGCAGGCTTGTTTGAGAAATCCAGAGAGAAATGAAAAAAATGGCAATCACTTCATTTTCTGTAAAGATCAGTTGCCAAAAATTATTTTTTCTGAGGTTGCTCAGTGGGCCACGAGAGTAAAATAATGCTTATAGGGCTCGAATGTTAGAATTTCAGGGACTATCAGCCAGAGTCACATTAAAATAAAAAAGGTTTGGAAAGCACATTCCAACTCTGAAGAAAAGGCCAAACTGCTGAGCTCTGCCTTGATATTAAATCAAGCTCTGAGAATGGAAAAGAGATTGTCTTTTTCTTACATTTTTAAGTGACATATTTGATTGTGCATATGTCTTCTTTAGAATTGGAGTTGCCTCTGCTTTGATGGTTTTGGTGTTTGGTAAATATTTGCACATATTTAAATTTTCTTTTGGTTCTCATTTGTTTACATAATCTGATGTAAATGCATGTACACATATATCATAAATATTATATATAGTTTATGAGCACTATTCAATATAAATGTATCCATGAGAAATAGTCCCATTGCTACTTTTTACCAGTGAATGAAAGCATTGTTTCAATGAATGCTTTTGGAACAGGTGAGCACTTTCAGATTGTGCTTTATTCATTCATTCATAAATTTTTTCAACAAATGATTTTATTACCATGTGTCAACACTGATGAAAAGTAGATAAAACTCACCGGTGTTTACCCTATGGACTCTCAGTTAATGGTGAGTTTGTTGAAGATGACAAGAAAATTAGTCATTATAATTTAAGCCTTGATGTGTAAAAAGTCAACAGGACTATCAGACACAGTCTCATTTTTACAAAGGTTTTTCAAAGAACTAGGTAAAAGAGAAGAAATTGCCTTGCAATAGATCTTACCATATATCTAAATAAAATGATAGTAGAATCAGACTTACCTGGGATATCTTCACATCTCTCCTGATGTACTACTTTGGTCTCCATTTTATCTGCACATCCAGTTTTCTCTGCCCCTCTCTCAGTGTCTTGTGTGTATCAAATGTCATTAAAGTTTAATAGAAAACAGATGACTCTTGCCCTGTTCTTTCAAAGGACAGTCACATGAACACCAGTACTCCAGAAGGATGAAACCACACCTTTTCTGAGCACATGGACTCAGGCCTGGGTAGAGGCCCAGGACCCAGAGCCAGTGAGGGATAGGCCCGTAGGAAGTCCAGCAGGAAGAAGAGGCTGAGGAGAGAAAGCCAGGATAATGAAGACCACTTCAAGGGCAACTGGAAGCTGGTAACAGGACATGCCCTAAGGCAGCAGGCCCCAACCTTTTTGGCACCAGGGCCTAGTTTCGTGGAAGACAATATTTCTACGGAGGCAGGGGAATGGTTTTGGGATGAAACTGTTCTACCTCGGATCATCAAGCATTAGGTTCTCATAGGGAGCACGCAACTACATCCCTTGCATGTGGAGTTCACCGTGGGGTTCATGCTCCTGTGAGAATCTGATGCTGCCACTGATCTGTCCATGGTCCAGGGGTTGGAGACCCCTGCCTTAAGGGATATTTCTTTTACCATGGATGAATTCATCACCTTCCAACATCAGCCACATCAGCTTCTCTCTTCTTAGCACCCTTGAGCAAGTCACAGTTATAGAGTGCACAGGCAGAAAAATCACACACACACAGGAGCATGAGTTACAGTTCTGAACTATTTTGAGTAATCAGAAAGTTACCTAAATATTATTTTTTTAAAAAATTAAGGTCAATTTAGCACTGAAATTCTTGACAGATTAAGAAAAAACTGTAACTTTGATAATGTCATGACTTTGGATATTAACTTGGATTATTTGACACGTATTTTATTACTTAGTTTAAATGTAGCAGGTCAAATCATATATTTAGAAATCCGTTAGCTATAAATAGTAAATACCCAATATAAAATAGTTTATAAGACAGGAGTTTTTCTAATCTTCTAATGCCAGCATTTATGATATAGTCTACTGCACAGGAATCTCCATTCAGTTTATAAAAAAAAAAGAAGAAAGAAAAGAAATATTTATGAGATTGATGCTCCCTACATTTTGTTCTATTAGAAACCAAGGCACAGAGAGCTTATAGATCATAGAGCATCATCTAGTTCAGTTGAATATTTAAGGAATTAGGCCTGAGTATGTCCACTCTGAACCGGGCAGTCCCCAGCATCTTCTTATCCTTTCTCCTTATCATCAGGGACAATTTCACTGTCAGGTAGCACATGGGATGTTTCTTTCAAAATTTTAAATGTATGCATAATTACATTGTTCTTTAGCCTTTCAGATATTTCATGAGAACCTAGCCAAAATTTTTGACTAACACATAGTTCTGAGCCAGCATCTAATTAGTATTATGTAAGCTATAATACAACTGAACTCAAACTAAAATATTTTTAAAACCAGAATACGTATCTTCCCAAAATGGTATCTGTTGGTATAACTGATATGCATATTTGGTAAAATTCATTCTTTATACCAGATGTATATTTATTTCAAAGTTAATGTATTTTAGGTCAACCTCTAAAATGTTTCTCTTAACTAGTTTGCTGTGTTCTAACCAAGGCATATTATTTAAATGACACTCTATTACTGCCTTTGTGTATGCAAGAGGAAGCCAGGAGAAAACAAAATCTTTGTAAAACTTAAAGGTATTCTGAATCAGCAGGGTCAGCACTTCATCAAAATAGAAATACGTACATGCATGCACACACAAGAAAAACAATTACTCCCATATCGCATTTTATCACACAACAAGATAGATAAATAAAACAATCTATTGGCAACTAAATAAAGAAGAGGCACAAAATAGCTTTTTATACTTCCCAGAAAAGTCACGAATCCTTTCATCTTGTTTCTCTTTCTTTTTCAACCACTGGTTCCTATCATCTGAGTAGTCCTCCCAAGGCTGGAAAGGGGGACAGGATAAAACAATTTTAGTTTCTTATTTTTTCATTTCTTAAGAGAATGCGTATGCCTGTCTTATTATGAAGCAATTAACACCAAGAGAAGTAATAATCCCTGTGATTTTGTGAGCACTTATTATATACCAGATATTGTCTTAGGCTCTCTCTTCTATCTCATTAGAATCTCCCCACAACCTTAAAAGGTAAATAGTACCATCTCTTTTTATGGATGGTCAAATTGAGTATCTGGAGCTAAGGAAATGTTGGAGGTAGACAGTTAATGAACTTGGGCCACCTGTCTGATCATACTCACCTCTCCACGTTGTAATCCTGACCATGATCTATGTACTTCTATTTAAAGGATGCAGGACATCAGGTCAGCATGTCACAATTTTGGGTTCAGTATATTTTCATATATTTATAAGGCATTCAAACAACAAGTAGGACAAGCATAAACAGAGGTGCCAAAAGAATTTCCATTTTCTGTTTCTGTTTTTCCTCTATCAGAAGCTGCTACTCTCCACAGTGTCAAGACACCTATAGGACTGTCACAATCATGTTCTCCAGGAGCCAGGACTCCTGCCTTTTCACCTCATACCTGCCAGAGAACACCTTCCCTGTCTTCACCTTCCTGGGATAGGGTATCTAGGCATTTTTTGCTACAATTTTTACACTCCCTTAAGGGTCTCCTCAGTTGCATGCACCACAGTTATCATGCTTGCAGCCTTTCTCAATCAGTTCAGAGAGATAAACAGTCCCTTTAGGAGCTAATTTTAGTAAGTATTTTCTCAATTCCCCCAAGGAGAGTGCATGGCTAATACCATTCTAGATGCAGGAGAGAAGATAATTGTATTATGTTCAATAGATACCGTAGAGCGCTAGAACCTAATTCCCTTTCAGAAGCCTATTGAGAAGCCTTGTAAAATGTCTTCTAGTTAGTTTGTGTCCCTCCCAGGAACATAACATTTTCATAACTTTCCAGAAAATATTTTGAGATATCTTTGGGTTTTATTTTCCACCCTTTATTTCTGTTTTCTTTTGCCTTACTCTTTATCAGGCACAGGGCCCTGTACCCATTGCCTTGGGAGACTCTTGTGATAAGATGTAAAAGAGAAGGAACCTAAGAGTCTCTAAATGAGCCTAACAGATGTATTATCTATGCCATGGAATCACCTCCAGCTAGTAAGGGCAGGCTGGAAAGGATTCCGTGATACAGATAACATGCCCAGGAGGTTGGGGTCAGGGATGAAGGCTGGGGGTCATAAAGCTTTCCCTGTCCCTCCCCAAGAGAAGGAAGTTATTCTTTTGGATCCTGAACTGGAGGGAGGAGAGCTGCTGGTTCTGACAGCAGAGGAGGTTTCCAGCCCAGACTCCCAACATTTTACCTGTGATCCAGAACAGAAAGAAATGGTAGCCTGGATAGGCAACAGGACTATTGGCGGTCTTGTAAAATATCCTGGCACCCCAAAAGTGATCCTGAAGCAAAAACATTCCTCAGATCCTGAAGAGGCTATGCAGGCCAGTAGAATGGACACCTCACCAATAACAGTTCTGTACCCCAAACCATTGACTCTACCACCTGCCTTCCCTACAGCAAACCCCAAGATATCTTTGCTAAGACACCATATAAGATGCCAGAACTCAAGCATAATGTTAGGAGGCAAGGATGAGCAAACAAAAGTAATGCATGCCTGGGTTTGTGCACCAAGATCATACCCATGTTGCTTCTCAAAACAGCCAAGAGTGTTAAAAGGTCAGACCTGCTTGTTTTCTCTTTTTACATATAATTAAATGATGATGTAGACAAGTAGTTTGCCACAGCTAGTAAGCAGCAGGCCTGGTACCTGAGGCTTTTAGCTTTAATTTGTATTCTGTCCACATTCTGAAAGATGGCTTCACTCTTTTAACGTTAAATTGAGCTCATCATGACTCAGACAATGCATAAAAAATATAGATATACAAATTAAAATCATATGAAATCCTATCTGATTAGTTATCCTTCCAGATATATCTCTATGCATTCTTAACTTATGAAAGTATGCATATACATATATACAAGTGAACTGGGTTCTCTAAATGTTTTAAACCTTGTTTTTCCCCTTCCACAAGGCATGAAGATCATTTTTTCATATCAATAAATAGAAATCTACATTATCATAAATAAATAAATAAATAAATAAATAAATGTGAAGATGCATAAAGGGTAACAGATACCTGGCCTGGTGGCTGTACATTTTTAATTTGGTTTCATAAATACTTACTGAGGACATTTTTTATGCCAGGCTTCATGCTAGATATTATGGAAAAAGATGAATAATACACAGATACTGCTCTTGAGATGTTCTCAGTTTAGCAGGTGAAGCAGACAGGTAAATATAATATTATAGCAGTGTAAGCCCTGAACATAATAGGTATACAAAATATAGCCTGTTAGATAATCTGCAGCTTCATTTGTACGGTACAACAGTCTCGTGTTTCTTTCTACTTCTCTAGTTCCTTTTACATGTACAACAATTTCAGTGTGGGTTTTGCATCCTCATTCCAATGGGAATTCCTGTCTCCTCCTTGAATATCTCTAAGTCAGCTTGTAATTTCCAATGACAATCAAATAAGTTACCTGCTAGGTATTTATAAAAATGATATGAATGAGTTCACCAAATGTATAAAATTCAAACAATAATCATGATGAAGAAACAATATCTTTCACAATTAAATAACTAGAACACTTCTACTAGCCATTTCATTTTTGCCAAATGACAAATCAGAATGTTAACATAAATTGCAAAATACATACCTTTAGAGCGTTATTTCAACATTTTGAAGGTCATCAATTCATAAAATTCTGCTTTATGTGATCCAAAAGAGTAACACTGGTGAAACATTGTTTTTGATTAAAACTTCTGTCCAGTAGGTCAAGAAGTAGCAGATCTATGATATTGATCTATGATGTTTGTATATTCAGATGTATTTTACAGTCTATTCATGCATGTTAACATTTACTCAGCATGCACAATGTCTTGTTATATTTGAAGACAAAATTTATACACATATTATGACCTAAAAATACTTGCAGAACAGAATTTTATTAAGCACTATTTAAATTCATACAAAGAAAATACATACCAACTCATTTATGCACTGAGGATATGCAAATATACTGTTTAGTTTACATTAGGTTAATTGGGAAAAGACTTCTGGAGGAAATGAATTGCCAGTTGCATTTTGAAATAGTTTATAGATACAGGCAAAGAAGAAAAATCATACAGAGGGATGGAGTTGAAGATATGCAATTTGTGGCAAATTGGGTGGGTAGACTTCTAAGAAGTCTCCAGCCATTCTTTTATTCAATAGACATACACTGCACATAGTTTACACAAGAACAGTGTTAGGTCCTGAGGATACAAAGCCAGGTAATATAGCATTCTTGCCTGCAAGCTCATAGATTCGTGCAGGAGATGGGCATAAATAAAGATAGGATAAGTAAAAAAAAAAAAAAATTATGACACAGTAAGATAAATAAATTTCATTCATTTTCCTGGAGGCATAGGATACAAGTAGAGAACAGAGAAGTGAAATTTTAAAAGTGGTATTTGGAGTGCCCAGTAAGGATCAGCTAATAGTAACAGATATTATCTTTTTCCTTCCTTATTCAGTAAGCTTTTCCAAAAACAGGTCTGCATTTGAGGCCAGGCACGGTGGCTCATGCCTGTAATTCTAGCACTTTGGGAGGCCGAGGTGGGCAGATTGCCTGAGCTCAGGAGTTCAAGACCAGCCTGGGCAACACGGTGAAACCCTGTCTCTACTAAAAATACAAAAAATCAGCCGGGTATGGTAGCATGTGCCTGTAGTCCCAGCTACTCGGGAGGCCAAGGCAGGAGAATTGCTTGAACCTGGGAGGCAGAGCTTGGAGTGAGCCGAGATCATGCCACTGAACTCCAGCCTGGGTGACAGAGCGAGACTCTGTCTCCAAAAAAAAAAAGGTTTGCAGTTGCTGCCTCAATAACACTCATACTTTCATTCCTTGCAACCTAGCTTCCATGCCTCCAGCTCTTGCTCTACATAATTAAAGTCTTCAATGACTCCTCAGTTGCCTAATCCATGGGTCTTTGCTCAGCTGCCATTATCTGACAGATACCTCTGCCATTCTCTGTTACACCTCTTCAACATTTACCTTTTCTCCAAAACACTTTCTCTCCATGCTCTCCTGTCACCTCTGAGAACATCTGAGTTTCTTCTTACTCTGCTTCCATTTCCATTTCCTAAATGGAGGCTTTCTCAAGTCTGCACTCAATCATCTTCTGGAGACTTGATCACCTCAACGAGAGGGTTAACAACAAACCAAGAGTCAGCATGCTGACCCCCTGCTACACTCTACCCCATTGTTTCTGTAGACAGAATATCTGACACTAGAATCATAAGACCTTTGTGTTTAAGAATTCCTTAAGGAGTTTTTGAGATCCTGAATTCCAGCAGAATGGCTGACACCAACCAGCCTGAAGACCCCTACCAAGGAACCGTCTCACTGACTCAGCACAAAAATGAGGTTTCTTCACCTCTCTGTCCCCCCAACTTCAACCCTCACTTCTCAACCAATCAGCAATCCCCACACTTCAGCCCTTGTCCAGAAACAATAATTAATTGATCATCATTAATATCCATTGCCATGCCCCGTTTTCTTAAAATATTGGCTATTCAACACTCTCCATACTAAAATCTGATTTTCCTAAAAACATTTTGTCATCATATTGGATCCTTTAACTTAAAAAATTATAATTTTTTATTTTACAACAATGAACTGAATGTAATAAGTAAATAAAGTATATCTATTCTGCCTTGAATTATTTCTCATTGTTGTATAAGAAATTCTGTTGATTCAAGTTTATCCAGCTCTCCCCAAGTCAACAATCATAATATCACCTGAGTTTCCACATTAGGTTTTAATCAACTGTTCAAAACATATACAGGATTCAAAGAATAAGACATTGAAGGAAACCCCAAATAATTATTATTTCTCAAAACTTACTTGTGTCAATCACAAAATTTATTTTGTCCTTTATATCTTAAGTATCTCATTGTGCTTTTGATTTCAAAAAATATCGTTATTGCAAATATTAAGTCTCAAACTGGGTGAGGAAATAATCTGTGCAACAAACTCCCATGACACGAGTTTACCTGTATAACAAACCTGCATATGTACCCCTGAACTTAAAGTTAAAAAAAAAGAAAAGGAAATGCTAGTCAACTAAGGAAAACAGAAAATAGTCAATAGCTACTTATTAAGCACCTACTATGTGCCTACACCCAACTGGGCACCAAAATTGTAATATGAAGGAAAATCCTAGCCTTGAAAAACCTACTGACAATATGACTTCAATGTCAGAAGTGCTAAAATGAAGGTGGTATGTGCAAAAACAGAGGAAGAGCAATTTTCATTTTGATTGTATGGTTTAAGCCAAATTTTATCAAAGTGCTGCTCAAGAAACACTAGTATAAGAACCACCACGATTGTTAAAAATGTATATTTTGATTGAGAACCTCACAGAGAGGGGCACCAAAATATATACTTTTAACAAAATACCTAGACAAGTGGTTTTTAAACTTTTTGAACATGATCAATAGTAAGAAAATAAAACCATTTTACTTTGCAACCCAAAATACACCTATATAACTGAAATCACAGAAAGTTCTACACAAAAAGTTTTAGCTTTTACTATCAAAGGAGTACTATGATATTTTCTTTCTTTCTTTTTTTTTTTTGTTTGTTTGTTTGTTTGTTAATTGCTGTTTGGGCCTTAACCTAAATCAACTTCTTGATTCATTAAATGGGCAGAAACTGGTGATTCTTATACAAGCTCAAATTTTAGAATCTGTGGTTTAAGAACTTACATGGATTTCAGAATCAGAAACTTGAGAACTTAAAATCTACTATTGTCCCTTAGTAGCTGTGGAGCAATAGAAAATATATTACATTTCTTTCTACCTTATTTCTTCCAAATGTAAAATTGAAATAATAATACCTATCGTACAATATGTTTAGTGGGAGATCATCAGTAAAATCACTTATCATGGGGTTAGACATAGAATAAGCATCTAGCAACTTTCATGGCATAATCACAGAATTGACCTATGGACTAGAAAAAAAAAACAGGCAGCACGACTGGAGGAAGATGCCAGAGAAGAAAGAAATGTTCCCTCCGAATGTCACAAGAAGGTGCAGTCATCCAAAACTCTGTCCGCAGAAGGGCGTAGGTAAAATGAATAGAGCCAGCAGAATGCTCTAAAACTAGCTGTACCTTGAGTCAGGCTGTTGGGTTTTTTTTCCCTGACATACGCTGATCCATGATTCCATTTCTGGATGGAAACATGGAACCATAGATCTAGAATGAAGTGCTTGTTTAAAATGAACTGCTGTCTTAACCAGTGGAAAATAGAGCGGGATGATGTGTATTCTCAAACCATGTTAGTAGATTTTGAAACTAAGTGTAGCTAGATTTCCAGTGACACTTCAACTTTTTGGAAGAAAGAGAAGAGGTGTACGGTACAGGACACAGAATAGGAACACCCAGGAGATAACTACAAAAATGAAAAGTGAACCTGCCATATATTTATATATTAGGCCTTATCTCACAAAATAAAATTTTTAAGTAGATAGTGCAATTCTCACTGAATTGTTTTCTTATGTCCATAATCAGATTATATTCAAAGGGATACTTTAAAATAAAACGTAAATAATCACACATACCATGGACACTGGATACCAAGATAGAAGAGAGACGCTGCAGGTCTATACGGTACCTGGTTAAGCAATGTCAAGAAGGTGGCAACCCTAAGAGTCTGAGACCAAAGCACTTCCTGCTCTTCCTGATTGAGATACTCTCAAAGTAATGTTCAAGTTTTGCCCTGAAAATTCGATTTTTTGATTCCATGTTTCTAAGAAAATTCCATGTTTGATTTCATGTTTCTAGGAAAATTTCATGTTTGATCCCATCTTTCTAGGAAAAGTATCAATCCTCCTCAATAGGGACCTTTTTATCTCAAAAGTCTAAAGATAATTTTTGCATTCAATCTGGAACACTGTAGACCAAGTCCAAAATCTTTAGTCTAATTCTAAAACAGATGAGCATCTGTTCACATGAAAATTAAATAATGGCCCTTGATACAGTCTTTTAAAGCAGTGTAGATTGACAACAGATTCTAGTTCAACAATTTGTATGTAATAGCATGACAATAAAACCATATATAGGAATATGGAAATGTTCAAGTCCTTTAAAGCAGCAAACAGGCATATGCTTATATAGTATATGTCATTTTTTTAAAAAATCACAGAACTAAGCAAAACATTTGTTTTCCTTTTTCCTTAGTATTCATTTTTTTCCTAGCCAGATATGCAGTATTATTTTTATACTATACTATTTTTATCCTAGCTATAGGGTATTATTTTTTATTTATTATTTTTCCTAGTCAGATATAGAGTAAATTATATAATTTGTGTAAAGCTTTGCCTTTTATGACAGATTGAGAAATACATAATAAACTACATAGACGCTGTGCTATGCACAGAAGACATTCTAGACTCTGAAGAGTAACAAAACATATCTCACCATGTCTTCTAACCCAAGCTCAAAGACTTGTGCTTTGCTATAACAAACCACAAACAAACTCAGCAATATAAGGAGTAATAATACAAGTTACTAAGCAAGACAACTTTACACTGTTATAATAAGGTAGAAATTTGTGATGTGTAATGGTTCTGAAGGCTGGTGATGCCTGCAGTTTGTCCCAAGGTGTCTGATACTCCAAGTATTTTCAAAGGCATCAACAGTATCCACCTAGATTCCCACCTGCCACTTCAGTATTTT